>NC_000007.14:100385566-100688597 GCF_000001405.40 Homo sapiens | reverse complement strand
TGCCAGGTGAGCCCCGGGCCAAGGGTGGTTGCCCTGCTGAGGCCGAAAGGACTCGAGCTTCCCATCTCCTCGCCTCCCCCAGGTCTTTCACCGTCTGGACTCATCTCTGGGTAACTCATGGTGTGAGTGGCCACGTGGCTGGCTCAGGTGAGTCCTTTTAGACCCCAGGTGACCCACCAGCTAGTCCGGGGCCCATTGTTGTGCCCACTAGGATGTCCCCCATGGTGTCCTCCCTGCGCTTTAAAGTTCTCCTTCGTGTGCTGTTCTTCATGGCCCCTGTTCCCCCACAGGTGTTTGGACAGTGAACGCCAGGTCCCCTCCTCCCCACCCCCGGCCTCTCAAACACGCCCAGCCCCACGATGGCAGCAGAGACACTCAACTTTGGGCCTGAGTGGTGAGTCACTTGTGCCTCGGCTGCCGTGGAGATTCGAGAAAGCACAGTCAGGCTGCCCTGACCTCTGTCTTCTTCTCTCTGTGTTGTGTCCAGGCTCAGGGCCCTGTCCGGGGGCGGCAGCGTGGCCTCCCCACCCCCGTCCCCTGCCATGCCCAAATACAAGCTGGCTGACTACCGTTATGGGCGAGAGGAAATGCTGGCTCTCTACGTCAAGGAGAACAAGGTGGGTGCGTGGGCGAGGGGGGTTGGCGGTGGTGGCCTCTGCCTGTGGAGGGGATCTGGCAGCATGTGGTGTCTTGGCTGTCCCAACCCACTGCCAGGTCCCGGAAGAGCTGCAGGACAAGGAGTTCGCCGCGGTGCTGCAGGACGAGCCACTGCAGCCCCTGGCTCTGGAGCCGCTGACTGAGGAGGAACAGGTGGGACCGGGCCAGGAGCTGAGGCTGCGGGAGCCTGGGAGGGGAGGCCATGGGTTGGGTTAGGAGGAGAGGGGCCAGCGCTGAGGAGACAGGCGGGGAGGGTGCTGTGGGGTGGGGGTGGAGGTGGTTGGGTGCCTGGGTCCTCACTCCCGCCCCTGGCTCCCTCCTCAGAGAAACTTCTCCCTGTCAGTGAACAGCGTGGCTGTGCTGAGGCTGATGGGGAAAGGGGCTGGCCCCCCCCTGGCTGGCACCTCCCGAGGCAGGGGCAGCACGCGGAGCCGAGGTAGAGGGGTGATGGCGTGTCCTGGGGACGGGCAGATCTGGGCCCCTGACTTCGAGAACGTGCAGCAGGTTTCATTGTGCGTCTGGCCTCTTCTCTAGGCCGCGGCCGTGGTGACAGCTGCTTTTACCAAAGAAGCATCGAAGAAGGCGATGGGGCCTTTGGACGAAGCCCCCGGGAAATCCAGCGCAGCCAGAGCTGGGATGACAGGTGGGGCGGGGAGGGGGCATGGCGCAGAGCCGGGCAGGCCAGGGAGGGGAGGCCTGGGCCCTGTCGCTAGAGGGTAACAGAGGCCCACCAGATAAGCCCTGTCCGAGATCCCGGTGCTCCTGACCCCTGGTTTCGTTTGTCCCCTTCCTCCCTCCACTGCCTCAGGGCACAGTGGACAAGGCATGGGGCGGTTGCACAGGGTGGCAGGGGAGGCTGTACTGTTTCTGACCCACACGTTTCCCCTGCTGCAGAGGCGAGAGGCGGTTTGAGAAGTCAGCAAGGCGGGATGGAGGTACGAGGCTGCTGAGGGCGGCGGCCGGGGCGGCAGGGAGGACCAAGATGGGTGGCCCAGTCTGGGGGTGCTTATTTCGGAGGTGTTGGGGGCAGGAGGGCCTGGAGCTGGCCCCCCCAACGTTTCTTGAGGGTCCAGGCACCACGCTGCCTTTCTAATAACTGCCCCTGTCTTCCCGTCTCCCAGCACGATGTGGCTTTGAGGAGGGAGGGGCTGGCCCAAGGAAGGAGCACGCCCGCTCAGACAGCGAGAACTGGCGCTCCCTACGGGAGGAACAGGAGGAGGAGGAGGAGGGCAGCTGGAGGCTCGGAGCAGGGCCCCGGCGAGACGGCGACCGCTGGCGCTCCGCCAGCCCTGGTGAGATTGGGGCCTGGTAGCATTGGCGGGGGCAGTGGGGAGCAGGAACTGTAATGAGAGGGTGGGCTCCTGTAGCCACGGGGAGGGAGCAGAGGCTGGCTGGTGTGGGAGTGGCCGGGACAGCAGCCCTGGAGGTGCTCCGTGAGCTGCAGCAGAGGGGGCCGCTGGCTTCGCTTGGGTACCCACTCTTCTTCTCCCTGACTTTTCCTGTGCAGATGGTGGTCCCCGCTCTGCTGGCTGGCGGGAACATGGGGAACGGCGGCGCAAGTTTGAATTTGATTTGCGAGGGGATCGAGGAGGGTGTGGTGAAGAGGAGGGGCGGGGAGGGGGAGGCAGCTCTCACCTGCGGCGGTGCCGAGCGCCTGAAGGCTTTGAGGAGGACAAGGATGGGCTCCCAGAGTGGTGCCTGGACGATGAGGATGAAGAAATGGGCACCTTTGATGCCTCTGGGGCCTTCTTGCCTCTCAAGGTATCTGTGAGGAGGCGAGGGTGGGAACCTGCCCTTCCGGGGTCCTCTTCCTCCCCACCCACCCCAGCTGTTCTCTGCTCCCCACCCCGGCCCCATGCAGAAGGGCCCCAAGGAGCCCATTCCTGAGGAGCAGGAGCTGGACTTCCAAGGGTTGGAGGAGGAGGAGGAACCTTCCGAAGGGCTAGAGGAGGAAGGGCCTGAGGCAGGTGAGCCGCGGGGTGCCCAGCGGGCCTGGGGCTGGGCCGGGCAGGCACTGGTGTTCTTTGCCGGGCTGGGCATTGGCTGCCCACCTACCTGTAGAATCAGGCTACTTAGATCTGGAAGAAGAGTGCTGAGAGGTGGGGAGGAACCAGGGGGTAGCAGAGCCATGTCTTCAAGGCAGTGTACCAGATAGAAATCAGGCGTAATCAAAATGACCTTTGAAAGTCCCTTGAAGAAGCTGTAGAACCTGGAGTGACGTCTGCGGTGTTGTGTGGTGTTGTGCGATGTTGTGATATGTTCCTGCCGCGTCTGGCAGCGTGGAGGCGAGGGTCAGGGCACCGCATTCCCTCTGCCATTAGTTGAGTTGACCCAAGTGAAGTGGTGGACTCGGCCTAAGGGAGTGTGACCCGCGGTTCCAGCCACACTCAAGGGCTTGTGCTAACTCGCGTGGCAGGCCCAGCCCTTGGTTCTGAACTCTGGCCATCTCCCTCTTCTAGGTGGGAAAGAGCTGACCCCACTGCCTCCTCAGGAGGAGAAGTCCAGCTCCCCATCCCCACTGCCCACCCTGGGCCCACTCTGGGGGACAAACGGGGATGGGGACGAAACTGCAGAGAAAGAGCCCCCAGCGGCCGAAGGTAGGAAGGGAGGATGGCCTACCTCCCGGGTGCGCTGGGGCTGTGGGAGAAAGTGCTCCCCACTCGTGGGGGTGGGCACACAGGGCATTCACATTGAGGAGCCATGGCAAGAGCGTGGTGTTCTGGAGTGAGAGTAGGCGAAAGCTATCTTGTCTCCTCCCCGCCCTTCTTTCCACCTCCTATCTCATGCCTTCCAGATGATATTCGGGGGATCCAGCTGAGTCCCGGGGTGGGCTCCTCTGCTGGCCCACCCGGAGATCTGGAGGATGATGAAGGCTTGAAGCACCTGCAGCAGGTGTGGGGGCCTGAGAAAGCGGGAGGGACCCTTCCCACTTCTGACCTGACCTGCTTGGCCCCAGCCCCGGCCCCAGCTCAAGCTCCATCCCCATCCCCATCCTGATGTTGCTGAGATTGGCAGCTGAGCCTTTCTTCTTTTTCTGGGCATCCAGGAGGCGGAGAAGCTGGTGGCCTCCCTGCAGGACAGCTCCTTGGAGGAGGAGCAGTTCACGGCTGCCATGCAGACCCAGGGCCTGCGCCACTCTGCAGCCGCCACTGCCCTCCCGCTCAGCCATGGGGCTGCCCGGAAGTGGTTCTACAAGGACCCACAGGGCGAGATCCAAGGTACCTGTGTGGGATGGGAGGGCTGCTCAAGGCCGTTCTGGTTCAGGGTGTCTCTGGCATACCCTGTGACCCCAGTGGTTCTCCCGCTCCCTCGCTCCCTGTCCAGGCCCCTTCACGACACAGGAGATGGCAGAGTGGTTCCAGGCCGGCTACTTTTCCATGTCACTGCTGGTGAAGCGGGGCTGCGATGAGGGCTTCCAGCCGCTGGGCGAGGTGATCAAGATGTGGGGCCGCGTGCCCTTTGCCCCAGGGCCCTCACCTCCCCCACTGCTGGTGAGCCGCTTCTCCCCTGCATGGAGGGACAGGGTGTGAGGGGTGCCGGCAGGAGTCCAGCAGAGTCCCCTCCTCCCTGCTGGGGGCACTGGCCGAGCTCTCACCTGAGCAGGGAAACATGGACCAGGAGCGGCTGAAGAAGCAACAGGAGCTGGCCGCGGCGGCCTTGTACCAGCAGCTGCAGCACCAGCAGTTTCTCCAGCTGGTCAGCAGGTATGGGGGGCCTGGGGTGGGCTGGGAGAAGGCCCGGCGCTGGCTCTGTGGCCCACCATCTCCACTGTCCCATTTGCAGCCGCCAGCTCCCACAGTGCGCGCTCCGAGAAAAGGCAGCTCTGGGGGACCTGACACCGCCACCACCGCCGCCGCCACAGCAGCAGCAGCAGCAGCTCACGGCATTCCTGCAGCAGCTCCAGGCGCTCAAACCCCCCAGGTGCGTGGTGCGTGCGAGCCCTCAGGATACAGGGTGGGGGGGGGATGGGGGCAGACCAGAGATGGATTTGGGGTCCTAAGAATCCACAATTTGCTCCTCAGAGGCGGGGACCAGAACCTGCTCCCGACGATGAGCCGGTCCTTGTCGGTGCCAGATTCGGGCCGCCTCTGGGACGTACATACCTCAGCCTCATCACAGTCAGGTGTGTGGCCTGACTGGTCCCCACCCCCAAGGCAGTCTCCGGGTGAAATGGGGTCTGGGGTCTGCTCCCCACCCCCACACGCCCCTAGCTGCCATTCTGGCTGGGGAGCCCACTGCTGCGGCTGGACTAGATCAGTGGGCCCAAGTGCCCACCTGCAGCCGCCTCTGCCCCCCTGCCCCCTGCAGGTGGTGAGGCCAGTCTTTGGGACATACCAATTAACTCTTCGACTCAGGGTCCAATTCTAGAACAACTCCAGCTGCAACATAAAGTGAGTGGGCATCCTGGGGCTGAGGCCCTGGGAATGAAGGGTGGACCGAGGCAGGCCCCAGGCTGTCCCCTGCAGCTCTCCCCTCTGATGGGCCACTGGTCTCAGTTCCAGGAGCGCAGAGAAGTGGAGCTCAGGGCGAAGCGGGAGGAAGAGGAACGCAAGCGTCGAGAGGAGAAGCGCCGCCAGCAGCAGCAGGAGGAGCAGAAGCGGCGGCAGGAGGAGGAAGAGCTGTTTCGGCGCAAGCACGTGGGTGCTCCCAAGCCTCAGCTGGCTGGGTGGACAACCCTCGCCAGGTCCCCTCACCATGTCCCCCTCTTAGGTGCGGCAGCAGGAGCTATTGCTGAAGTTGCTACAGCAGCAGCAGGCGGTCCCTGTGCCCCCCGCACCCAGCTCCCCGCCCCCACTCTGGGCTGGCCTGGCCAAGCAGGGGCTGTCCATGAAGACGCTCCTGGAGTTGCAGCTGGAGGGCGAGCGGCAGCTGCACAAACAGCCCCCACCTCGGGAGCCAGCTCGGGCCCAGGCCCCCAACCACCGAGTGGTGAGCAGGCCGGGAACCTCCCGGGCTCCCCCTACAGTTTCCAGGGTGGCACAGGGAGGGGGATACTGAACCCAGACTTGTGCAGCCCCAGCCCCAGTCCCAGCCTCTCCTGTGATGGCAACAGCTCTTGTGGCCCTCACCTCACCTGTCTCCCTTTGCCACCTAAACAAGCCTCCCCATCCGCTTTTCTGGGGTGCCTTTGTTTGAGCCACTCTGATCTTCTGCCATCTGTAGCAGCTTGGGGGCCTGGGCACTGCCCCCCTGAACCAGTGGGTGTCTGAGGCTGGGCCACTGTGGGGCGGGCCAGACAAGAGTGGGGGCGGCAGCAGCGGCCTGGGGCTCTGGGAGGACACCCCCAAGAGCGGCGGGAGCCTGGTCCGTGGCCTCGGCCTGAAGAACAGCCGGAGCAGCCCATCTCTCAGGTGGGCGTGGCACCTGGAGGCTCCGGGATGGCCCTGAGGGGGAAGGTGGCAGACCCCCCCAACCCCTGCCAGCTGATTTCCAACCCTGACTCACCCTCCCCCTTCAGTGACTCATACAGCCACCTATCGGGTCGGCCCATTCGCAAAAAGACGGAGGAAGAAGAGAAGCTGCTGAAGCTGCTGCAGGGCATTCCCAGGCCCCAGGACGGCTTCACCCAGTGGTGCGAGCAGATGCTGCACACGCTGAGCGCCACGGGCAGCCTGGACGGTGGGCGAGCGGCTCCCAGGAGGTGGGCGGGACCTGGGTCTCCAGACCCGGCCAGGGGGCCCTGACAGCCTTCGCTCATCCTGCAGTGCCCATGGCTGTAGCGATCCTCAAGGAGGTGGAATCCCCCTATGATGTCCACGATTATATCCGTTCCTGCCTGGGGGACACGCTGGAAGCCAAAGAATTTGCCAAACAATTCCTGGAGCGGAGGGCCAAGCAGAAAGCCAGCCAGCAGCGGCAGCAGCAGCAGGTGAGGCAGCCGGCACCAGCAGCTGGGGTGGGCTTGCCTGGTGCCTCCTGACCTTCACCCTCCTCTCCGCTGCCTTAGGAGGCATGGCTGAGCAGCGCCTCGCTGCAGACGGCCTTCCAGGCCAACCACAGCACCAAACTCGGCCCCGGGGAGGGCAGCAAGGCCAAGAGGCGGGCACTGATGCTGCACTCAGACCCCAGCATCCTGGGTGAGCTGGGCTGGGGCAGGAGCGGGACTTCCTTGGCACAGGGCAGGAGGAGCCCAGGAGAGAGCTCAGACGCAGCTTCTCCCCGGCTTCAGGGTACTCCCTGCACGGATCTTCTGGTGAGATCGAGAGCGTGGATGACTACTGACCAGCCCGGACCCCCAGCCCCTGGGCTGTAGGCCAGGGCAGCCACAGCGGCGTGGACCGAGGGTCCCAGCCTGCAGGCTCCCCGCAGAGAGCACAGGAAGAGGCAGGGGCGGGGTCCCCAGCACTTGTTACAAACACACGATGCACCTTAACTCACCCACCACGAGGCACTTTACAGACTGGGGGAGGGGGTTTTTCTTTTTATTTTTTTTTTTAATTTTAAACGACTGAAGAAAACATTAGGAGAGGCAAAAATATTGTTAAAAACTAGACTCTAAACACCCCTTCCTGCTGTGAGGATAGTGGGTGTGACAATGGAAGGTCCACAGAGGTTTTTGTTTTTTGGTTTTTTTTTTTTTTTTAAGAAAAAAAGATGAAAAATGAAAAAAAAAATGGTTAGGAGGCTGAAAGAAAAAACACACTGTTATTTTGGGGCAGTGGGGACACAGGCCCCGTGGACCTGTCCTGCCTGGCCCCCAAGGCCATACTTACCCCCCAGAAGGCGGGCCATGGGGTAACTGGAAGCTGGGGGCCAGCAGTTTGCACAGGAGGCCTGTCTGAGCCCCACCCGCCAGACCTGTTGTGAGCAGCTCCTGTCACTGAGGCTGGCTGAGGTGTCCGGGGTGGGGCCAAAGTAGCCCCTTGGCTTCGCTGCTTTGGGGGACAGTTGCACAAATTGGACGAGTGGCCCCAGCTCTCTGGCTGCCATCTTGTGCTGGCCGAGTAGACGGGAGGGGCCAAGCCGTGCCAACCTCTCTGGCTGGCAGGGTGGGGCAGCAGGACTCTGGTTCTGGTGAGGGGCGTCTCCCACTGCTGCCATTTTGGGGGACACCCTGGGTTTGAACCTGAAAGCCCCAGCTCTCTGCCTTGCCACGTGAATGTATTCTTTGGGCCACAAGCCCCCGCCTCACCCCTGCCTGAGCTGCCTCACCCCTGTGAGCGGCGGGGGTGGATGATTGCTCCAGAGGCTGCAGAGAGAAGGCTGAGCTGTTTCTCCAGTGAAGGGGGCAGGAGGAGGGGCCTCAAAGGCAAGGAGTGGGTGGCTTTGGGCTTAGGGTTGCAGTAGAGGGGCTGCCGCCCGGGGCCCCAACCTGTAGCCAGCTCGTAAGATGTGGACCACCCAGCTCTGCACCTGACCCTTCCGCTGACCAAATGGGAGAGGAGCAGGTGGCCTTCCGGGTCTGATATGATGCGCTTTTTACCGTTGGGTAAGGTTGGGGTGAAGAGAAGTGTGCGGCTCCTGGGTCAGAGGAGGCTGCCCCTTCTATTGCTCACCCACTTCTTATTCCCGGTCCCCTACTTGGGTTCGTCTCCGCCCATTTTGGGTTTTGTAACAGTTTTGTCTTTTGGGTTTCTCATCCAGCTCCTCCCATTGACCTCATTGCTCAGAGTGCAGTATTAGGGCAAGGCTTCGCCACTGCCTCCCTCCATGAATGTATTTCTCCCTCCTGCCCTGGGGACATGGGGAGTGGCCCGTTTCTTTCCCCATCTAGTCCCAGAAAGATGGTGTTTGGTTTTCTGTTGTTGGATTTTTTTTTTTTTTTTTTTTTTTTTGCACCAAAGTGGCAACTAGGTCAGTGTTGGGGGATCAAGCTGGCCTCGGGGTGGGGGGCCCCCACCTGCCTCTCCCTGGTTCCCACAGTGTTAGCGTCCCTGAAAAGACAATATTCTCTCTAAAGCAATAAGGGGTGACGGGCCGGGGGGAGTGTTTGCTGCTGCTGGCCCCCAGCTCCCCTTCCCTCTTGCCAGGTGTGGGGGAGACTCCTGTTGTGACTGAATGTAACCCCCCCACCCCTGCCGCAGCCAATGCAGGGGAAGGGGGACACTCTTCCTGTCTCTTCTCCCCAGCTAAAGAGACTTTGGACTTAGGGGGCCCATGAGCCTGGAGAGGCCTTAACCCTGTGAGGAAGTATAGGGGGAGCCCTCTCCCACCCCCATCCCCTTCTGAGAGTGGTCAATGTTTACAAGCCCCTGAGCCCCCCTGCCCAGGGACTCAGACCCTGTTGCTGTCCTTCCCCGGCCCCGGTCTTCCTGGGCCCTCGCTGCTCCCCTGCCCTTCCTGGGGTTGGGGTGGGTGCAGGGGTCACCGTGTTCCCTGTCTGCCTTGTACCCACAGTCTCCCCGCCCCCTCTCCACCCTGTGTGACTTCCCTCTCTTTTACCTGCTCCTGTAAATACTCCCTTCTCCCAATAAAACTTGGTGTGTGTTCTCCCGTTCCGCCTCCACTGCTCGTTATCTGGGGAGAGCCATGGGGATGAGTGGCTCTGCACAGAGCTGGGAACTAGGAGCTCTGAGCAGTGCCCGCCTGGTCAGGCTGGCTCTGGTCAGCAGCCTGACGGGGGAAACCATGGTGAGGGCTGCTTATCCGAGAACCTCTGGACGGAAGGCTCTGGGCTGGGGCTTCAGCTTTGCTCTGAGGGAGAGTGGGGACCCCACCCCCAGCCCCAGCTGCCTGGCAGGCCCCATACCTTCCCCACCATCCACCCCCTCAGCAGCCCTCAGGCAACAAAGTCCAGAAACAAGGAGAACACAGCAAGGGCAGAGACCAGGTACAGAGTTGGAATTGGCTCCTTTATGGAAAAACTGAAAATATAATAAAAATTAAAATAAAACCAGTTTTAAAAAAGCCAGCCCCTGGGGTTTCCACCTCCTGCCTCCGGCCCTCCAGAGGGGTGAGGCCCCAACCCCAGGGCAGCAGAAGGATGAGGGCCTCCTGCTCCTCCTCTTCCCCCATTCCATCCCCTTCTTATCTCCACAGTGGGGGCCCCGGGAGGAACCAAACCTGGGTGGGAGGGCAGGGACCCAAGGCCCCGTGGCCCGGGGAAGGGGGCTGGGATTGCGCCAGCCCCGCAGCCCTGGCCTGTAGTGTGGGCATGGGCAGGGCCCCTCCTGGCCTGGGCCCAGTGGGGGTGGGGCCATTAGTTCCAGATCTTGAGGAAGGAGTCCCAGGAGCCCGTGGCCACAGCCATGCCATCGTCGGTGACCCCGAGGCAGCTCACGCGGTTGTCGTGGCCAGCGAGGACTCCTGTGAAGAAGAGAGAAGTCAGAACCCATTGGGCCTGGGCTCCAGGTCCCTGCCCACCCAGCCTGGGCCCCAGCTGTCACCTGCACGGTCGCCCTTCATGGCATCCCAGATGTTGCAGTTGAAGTCGTCGTAGCCAGCGAGCAGCAGCCGTCCGCTGCGCGAGAAGGCAACAGAGGTGATGCCACAGATGATGTTGTCATGGGAGTACATGAGGAGCTCCTGATCGGCCCGCAGGTCGAAGAGGCGGCACGTGGCGTCGTCAGAGCCGGTGGTGAAGGCGTAGCCGTTGGGGAAGAACTGCAGGACACGGGACCCAGATGGGGTGAGGGTGAGGGTGAGGAGCAGGGCCGGGAGCCTGGTGGGGAGGGCCTGGCCTAGCTCGCCCCAAAACTCACAGCCACTGCATTGATGTCGGATTCATGGCCGATGAAGGTCTGTCGGCACATGGAATCCCGCACGTCCCACAGCTTGATAGAGGCATCACAGGCGCCTGACACAAACGTGCGGCCATCGGGGGCCAGGGACAGGGACATCACATCCCCACTGTGTCCAGCAAAACCCACTGTCTGCTGGCCTGTCTCAATGTCCCACAGGGCACTGGAGAGGTGACAGGAAGAAAGAAAAGATAAGAGACAGGGCGAAGAACAGAGTCCCTGTTCTCCCCGCCCCACCACGTGAGCCCAACCCTGTGGAAGGGTCCAGGGAGGCTCTTCTCAGAGCCTTAGGTGGGGAGGGGACGCATCCCTCCCTGACCCCCTTAGCGCCCACCAGGAGAGGGAGGCTACGGTGCATGCTGCATGTTGAGCACTGGGACGGTGGCCCCTGAGGCAGGAAGTGTGGGTTTGCCCAGACTGCCCAGCCCTGGCAGAGCCTCACCAGGTGGTATCCCCAGAGCTGGTGATGATTTGGTTGTCATCCAGGAAGCGGCAACACGACAGGTACCCTGGGGAAGGAGCTGGTCAGCCAGGTCTCCACACGGAGGGCAGTGCACCCCCCAACCCCAAAAAGGGCCCGAACTGGGCCAGGCCCCTCACCAGTGTGGCCAGGCAGCTCCCGGCTGACCCTGACGTTGCCCTCGCGGGTCTTGAGGCTGTAGATGGAGCAGATGTTGTCCAACCCCCCACAGGCCACAAAGTTCCCTGAGGGCGCGTAGGCACAGGTCATTACCCAGGAGGAGCGCAGCGGGATGGCGTGGACCTGCGGAGCAGGGGAAGCGCCGGGGTCAGAGCCAGCCAGGGCCCTGTGGCCCTGCCCCACCCCGCAGCCCGCGCCACCCTACCTTGTTGGTGGTGTAGCTGTCCCAGATGATGAGCTTCCCATCCTGGGAGGCGCTGACCAGCAGCCTGGTGGGGAACGGTGTAGGGAGAGCAGAAGGGTGGCGTGAAAACAAGACACACCCCCTTCCCTTTGGGTGGGAGAAGGTAGGGTCTCTCTCTGTTGTGCAGGCTGGAGTGCAGTGGCACCATCACAGCTCACTGCAGCCTGGAACTCCTAGGCTCAAGTGATCCTCCCACCTCAGCCTCCCCCGCATAGCTGGGACTACAAGGTGAGCACCACCACACCCAGCTCATTTTTCAATTTTTAGTAGAGCCAGGGTCTCACTATGTTGCCCAGGCTGGTCTCAAACTCCTGAGCTCAAGTGATCCTGCCCTGGCCTCCCCACGTGCTGGGATTACAGGCGTGAGCCACCTGAGAGACAGTCTCCAGCTGCAGCCCACAAGTTCTCACCAGCATGGTCCTGCCTGTCCAGGTCTGGCGGACATGTCTGGGAGTCACCGTTTTTCCAGACGTACGCTGGGTATTTTGGTGGCCTGCTTACTCCGCCAGATCTGAGGCTGCTCCCACGGCCTGCTAGAAAGTCGGCCCACAGCGCCAGCCCGCGCACACACACACACCTTGAGTCGGTCCCCCAGTGCATGGCATAGATCTTTGCCAGGTGCCCACGGAGGGTCCTCCGGGTCCTCATCTGGATTCTCCCCACTGGGTCCAGCCCAGCTGTGATCTGGAGGTAGAGACAGAATGCGCTCGGGGAGGCCCAGGCAGCAGGACTGCAGAGGGCAGCGGCCTCTGATCCTTGCCCCTTCAACCCCTAGTTACGCTCTGGCCACCAAGTGCCCTCACCTGGGTCAGTGTTGAGTCCCCACATGCTTTTCGGGCATCCTGTAAGGGATGGCAGAGCCAGAGAGACGCGAGAGAAGACAGGTTGGGGAGGAAAGGGAGAGAAGAGAACAGAAGACAGGAGTGGACAGGGTCAGATTCTGAGCCATTAAGGGGCCCTCCCTCCCCCTTCCCCCACCAACACCCTCACCCAACCCGGTCCAGGGCACCGGGCGGTGTACACATGAATCGCCCGCCCCGCACCAGGCCCTCACCCGGATCTGGTTCCGGAGCTGCTCGGCCTCCTGTCTCAGTTGCTCCAGCTCACTCATGGCGCCGGGCCCGTGGGGCAGGGTTGGGGGCGGCTGGGGGCCGCGGGACGGGGGCTGGGGGAGGCAGCTCCTGGCCGCTGGCCCGAGGCCTGGGGGATGCAGGGCTGACGTCAGGCCCGAGGCCGCCGGGGAAGTGGGGAGAAAGGCGGGGTTGCAGCGCGGCCCGGAAGGGGTAAGCAAGGGGAGGGGGAAGGGGCGGCGCGGCCGCCGTCCCCGGGCACAACCAGGGTCTCCGGCACCAGAGACGTCGCCGAGTAAGAGCCGACTTCCCCAATCTTCCTCCCGCCCCCCGGAAACGGAGCGGGAAGTGCAAGAGGAAGCGCAGGGGAAACCCCTCCCTCGGACACAGCCCGGGCAGGACACCCGCGGCAGGAACTGGGGCGGGGGGGGCGGGGGTGTCCCTTCGAAAACAGACCTGGCTTCTGCCCCAGCCCGCACAGGCACCGCCCTCCAAGCACCTAATTTTAAAAGGGGCGGTGCCTCTTGAAATTCACCCCACAAGGCGCACACCCTCCACACACACCCCCAGCTTCGATGGTGGCGGGTGGGGGGAGAGACCAGAGGGGAAAGCTGGGCTGTTCGTGGGGTTGCCTAGGCAACCGTCACCCGGACCGAGAGCACCTCATTGGTGAAATGCCCCCACCCTAGCCCCGTTGCCAAGGCAACCGCATCCACGGCAGAGACCTGTAGGGTGGGTGACCCCACCCCCGGCCCCATCGCCCCCGCCCGACCCAGCCTCCCGCCCTCCCCAGAACCGGCCCGGGTGGCTGTTTACAGGATTTGGGAAAAGCCGATTGGGCGCTAATAGGTTCTGGACGGCTCACCCCGGATAATCCCCGGTCCGGCTGCGCCCCATTAGCCGTCCGCCGCGGGTGGGGGTGACAGCGGCGGGGAAGGCAGCCCCGAGCCGCTGCTCCCTCCAGCGCAGGGACCGCCCGCCCCGCCGCGCCCGCAGAAAGCCCGTGGGAGCCGCTCTCGAGTAATTACGGCTCCGCAACGAGGTCCCCGGCCCCGAGGCGCGGAGGTGCTCTCTCCCAGGCGCGGGCGGGCGGCCCCAGGCGGCCTGGCCGCGGCGCCCTGGACACCCGGGGGGCCCAGCCCGCAGGCTCGGCGCCCGGGCCCCAGGGGCCCGGCTGGCTCCGCTCCGGGAGCCTGAGTCCTTCCCCGCCCGCGGGACACCTGTGCGATCCGGCCGTACACACTGCACTTGGCCGGCCCAGGCGTCCCCCACCCAGCTCCCACTTCCCCCAGGCGCAGGGCGTTCCTCTTCCCCACTGACATTTCCCCTCCTTGTAAGTTCAGCTTTCTACGCCAGTGCCAAGGGGTGACCCTCAAAATCGGGGGATGGGGGGTGCGGGCAGAACTCCTTACTCTACCCAACCCCCAGGCCCGCACAAAGCCTCTTCCACCTACTAGCAGCCCAGGCCTGGCGGCACCGCCGGAGGCCCAGGGCAGAAGGAAGCACGGCTGGAGGAAGAAACTGGGGGCGGGGGCGACGTTCTCAGCCCTCGGTCCCCATCACCCCCCAGGGCCCTCAGCAGCCCCCAGACTCTAGGGATATAGCAGCCGGCGCTCCATAGAGAAATGAGGGTGCAACCGCCTCCGCAGGTCTGGCGGGGCTCAGGAGAGTGACGGGAGGGTCCCTGGATCTGGCAGCTGGAAGGCGCGGGCTGGTGCGGCGCTGCGAAGCGCAGTGGGCCTGGCCCTCCAGCCCCTACGACCTCCATTTTGCCTAAAAGAAAGCTGGGCGGGGGGCGGGCGCCTGGGAGCTGGGCTTGGGGTGAGGATCTGTAAAGGGAATAGGGCGCCGAGGGCTCCAGTTTCGGCGAGTGGGGCCAGAAACCACGGGCAGCACCCAAATCGTGGGTAGGGTGGAGACGAAAGGAAGGGTGGCGCGCGGCCTTGCCTGCTTCTCCCCGATTTTGGAGTTGTGCAAGGCGAGGGCCGGCAGGGGTGCGACAGTGGAGGACACGAGGGGTGCTCCCCGGGGGCAGGCGGGAGGGTGGCGGTGGGGAAAGGGGGCGGGGCGGGGCCTAGAGGAAGCCCGGAATTTAGCCCCCCAACTTCCGAGGGAGCAAGAGGCAGTCGGGGCTGGGCTGGGGTCTGGGGTCGGGCAAAAACTTCGCTGATGGTGCGGGGAAGCGCACGCACGGTGGGGGGCGAGGGTTCCCCAGTTCCCCTTCCGGGTTTGGGAGCGACCGGGCAAGAGGGGAAGGGAGCGGAGGTCTGGGGAGTTACGTCCGCTCCCAGGAGGCCAGCCCCGGGAGACCGAAGGAAGAGAGGTTCCCCTGGGGGAAATTGGGGCTGGGGGGCGAGAGGACTCCTTTTGCCAGCGAAGGTACCTGTGGCGGTGGGACTCTGCGGCGGAGGTCGCTGGCGGTGCGCGGGCGGCGCTGTCTTCCTCCGCGGCGGAGGCGGCGGCGGCGGCGGCGGCGGCGGCGGCGGCGGCGCGGATGGATTTCCTCAGTGGCCCCAGCCCCGCCGCCAGCGCTGCCTCCCCAGAGCGGAGGGATCCCGCCCGCCAGTGACGCGGCTGCCGCCGCCGCGCCCAGGACCCGGCTGGGCGAGACCAACTGCCTCGCACTTGGGGGAAGCCAGGAGACAAAACCCCACCGAGGGAGCAAAGACGGGCCCAGTCGCTCCCAAGGTTCTCACCCTACGCTTTGTGGACGCAAACCGTACTCAAAGGGTTTGCTTCACGGAAAGGAGTAAGACATCCCCCCTCTGGGACTGGAGGAGGTGGTACTGGCATATGAGGAGGGTGAGACCGCTCGCTGGTCACGTGATCAGCCTCCCGCCCCGCCTGGAATGGGTGGCTCCAGACTGGGAAGGGGAGTTCGACGCCCCAGTTCCCGGTTGGGCCACGCCCCGGCCCTGAGGAGGCCACGCCCCTCACCAGGGGGCGGAGCTAAAGAGACCTGGACGGGGCCGGCCTCGAGGCTGCTGGAAGAAGAAGCGCGATTCCGAGAAAGTCCCCGAGCGGGAGTGGGTAGGGGCTGATGCGGGCGCCCCGGGAATGCCATGAGAAGGGTCGTGTCCAGGCATTTCCTCAGCCTCGCCCACTGGGCCTTTGTAGACCCCCTTTCAGGGCTTGCCACTGAAATAACAACTCATTTATTGAGAGCCACACTTTTTTTTTTTGAGACGGAGTCTCTCTCTGTCGCCCAGGCTGGAGTGCTATCTCAACTCACTGCAACCTCCGCCGCCCGGGTGCAAGCGATTCTCCTGCCTCAGCCTCCTGAGTAGCTGGGACTACAGGCGTGTGCCACCACACCCGGCTAATTTTTTGTATTTTTAGTAGAGACGGGGTTTCACGGTGTTAGCCAGGATGGTCTCCATCTCCTGACCTCGTGATCTGCCTGTCTCGGCCTCCCAAAGTGCTGGGATTACAGGCGTGAGCCACCGCGCCTGGCCCGACACTTATTTTTTAATTGGAGTACAGTGACGCGATTGTAGGTCACTGCCACCTCAATCTCCTCGGCTCAAGTGATCTTCCTGCCTCAGCCTCCCTAGTACCTGGGACCACAGGCGTGCCCCAGCCACCATGCCCAGCTAATTTTTAAATTTTTGGTAGAGGTGGGGTCTTGCTATGCTGCCCAGGCTGACATATGTTAAGTCTCACAATACTGGGAAATTAAGTGCTAACATTCTCCCCATTTTCTTTTCTTTTCTTTTTTTTTTTTTTGGAGACAGGGTCTCACTCTGTCGCCCAGGCTGAAGTGCAGTGGCATGATCTCGGCTCACTGCAACCTCCGCCTCCTGGGTTCAGGCGATTCTCCTGCCTCAGCCTCTGGAGTAGGTGGGATTACAGGCGCCCGCCACCATGCCCAGCTAATTTTTTTTTGTATTTTTAGTAGAGACGAGGTTTCACCATGTCGGCCAGGCTGGTCTCAAACTCCTGACCTCAGGTGATGTGCCCGTCTCGGCCTCCCAAAGTGCTGGGATTACAGGCGTGAGCCACCGCGCCCAGCCTTCTCCCCATTTTCTAATAGTGGAAAGAGACCTGAGGCTGCAGAGTTTAGATATGAACCCAGGCAGCCAAAACTTTACTGTACATTCCAGTTTATCTGTATGAGCCTCTAGATGAACCCCTTCCTCCAGGGACCTTGCCTGTAAAGGGACAAGAACGTAGGTCTAGGCCTCAGTTTCCACATCTGTTAAATGGGGATGTTGACAGCATCTGCCCTCCAAGTCCCGGATTCTTACTGAGAACCCCATCGATTGTGGAAATGCTTTGGGAAGTTCAAGGCAACGAATAGCCTTCACTGAGTCCTTGTAATTTGAAAGTATCAAAACACGCAGCCATAAGAAAGAACGAGATGGGGCTCACGCCTGTAATCCTAGCACTGTGAGAGGCCGAGGCGGGTGGATCACTTGAGGTCAGGAGTTTGAGACAAGCCTGGCCAATATGGTGAAACCCCGTCTCTGCTAAAAATACAAACATTAGCTGGGCGTGGTGGCACACACCTGTAATCCCAGCTACTCAGGAGGCTGAGGCAGGAGAATTGCTTGAACCCGGGAGGCGGAGGTTGCAGTGAGCCAAAATCACACCACTCACTGCACTCCGGCCTGGGCAACAGAGCAAGACTTTGACTCAAGAAGAAGAAAGAAAGACAAAAGAAGAAAAAGTAAAAGAAAGAAAAGGAGGGAAGGAAGGGAAGGAAAGAAAAAAAGAAAGGAAAGAGAAAGGAAGAGAGAAAAAAGAAGAAATCATGTCCTTTGCAGCAACATGGATGCAGAAAAGAGAGAGAGAGAGAAAGAGAAAGAAAAGAGAGAAGGAAGGAAGGGAAAGAAAGAAAGAAGAAACAAAAGAAAAGAAAAGAAGAAGAAATCGTGTCCTTTGCAGTAACATGGATGCAGCTAGAGGCTTTTATCCTAAGTGGATAAATTTCTGCAGGAACAGAAAACCAAACACTGCATGTTCTCACTTATAAGTAGGAGCTAAACACTGGGTACTCATGAACATAAAGATGGGAACAATAGACACGGGGGATTACTAGAGGGGGGAAGGGTTGAAAAACTACCTATTGGGTACTGTACCCCAGGTGACGGGATCAATTGTACCCCAAACTTCAGCATCACAAGATATACCCATGTACATGGGTACATTCATGTGCACATGAGTCAGAATCTAAAAAGATGAAATTATATTTTAAAAAGTATCAAAACATACTCTTCATTTAGTCTCTGTGAAAGACATTACAAATCACTTTTCAAAAACAATTGTTTTTTCTTTTTTCTTTTTTTTTTTTTTCTGAAATGGAGTCTTGCTCTGTCACCCAGAGCTGGAGTGCAATGGCACAATCTCGGCTTACTGCAACCTCTGCCTCTTGGGTTCAAGCGATTCTCCTGTCTCAGCCTCCCGAGTAGCTGGGATTATAGGAGCATGCCACCAGGCCTGGCTAATTTTTGCATTTTTAGCAGAGATGGGGTTTCATGTTGGCCAGGTTGGTCTTGAACTCCTGACCTCGTGATCTGCCCGCCTCGGCCTCCCAAAGTGCTGGGATTACAGATGTCAGCCACCGTGCCCAGCCTACAATTGTTTTTTCCAAATCGAATATGTTATGAACATAGTAGTTGTCTTTGTAATGGGTACACACACTCACACACACAGAATGATCTGCCTGGTGGGGCAGGGAATTGTAAACATGCCAAAGGGAAAATGAAAAAAGAATCCTGTAGGTTTTCATTATTTTAGGCAATTATGTCCATATCACTTACAAAGCTATTGCCAAATCTGTCTAAGGAAGCAGAGTTTGAAGGTGGGCCGGGGGGGACATCTGGGAGAAATTCGAAAATGGCATAACAGAGCTCTCAATATGAGAAACAAAAGCCCAATATTTTTTTAAAGAAAATATAAACAATCGTATTCGTAGTTAGATGCAAATTCTATTTATGCATACCTGCCAATTCAGTGACATATAAGCAATAGATAACAGATGTCAACTACACATGAGAATTTGGGAGGGACCTCAGAGATAATTACGTTGATTTCCTCAATCTGTAGATGGCCACGATGACTTCCCTAAAGTCACTTAACAACAAGCAGCGCAGGACTACAGCACAATTTTGTCAATCTCAAGAGGGCATGTGTGCTGCTTTGGTTTCTGTGCTAATAAGCTTTCCTGTTTTAACTCATTCCGTTGATATTTACTGAACCGGATGATGTATCAGGCACTGCCCTAGGCAATGAGGATGCAACCTTGAATGACAGGTGCACCCTCCTCATGGAGCTTGCAATCTATAGAGGAGGCAGATGGGCATTGAAATATGGATTAGGGTCAGGCGTGGTGGCTCACACCTGTAATCCCAGCATTTTGGGAGGCAGAGGTGGGCGGATCACTTGAGTCCAGGAGTTCAAGACCAGCCTGGGCAACATAGCAAGACTACGTCGTTAAAAAAAAAAGAGAGAGAAAGAAAGAAATACATGGTGGCGTGCGCCTGTAGTCCCAGCTACTCGGAAGGCTGAGGTGGGAAGATGACTTGAACTCCTGAGGCAAAGGTTGTGGTGAGCTGAATTTCTGCCACCGCACTCCAGCCTGGGTGACAGAGCCAGGCCCTGTCTCAAAACAAAACAAAACAAAACAAACAAACAAAAATGAAAAAATAACAGTGCTTGGCCTGGAGGTATTGTTTACTTCGAGCAGAACATTTGAGATGGAACATATTCTGGGAGGAAGATCAAGAGTTTAAGATTGGGAAGTTTTAGGTTTGAAGTGCCTATGGAGAAAATTTTTTTTGGTGTTTTTGGTTTTGTTTTTTTTGAGACAGGGTCTCACTCTGTCACCAAGACTGGAGTGCAGTGGCGCAATCACAGCTTGCTGCAGCCTCGACCTCCTGGGCTGAGATGATCCTCTCACCTCAGCCTCCCCAGTAGATGGAACTACTGGTGCACACCACCATGCCTGGCTAATTTTTTGTATTTTTTTTTGTAGAGACAGGGTTTTGTCATGTTGCCCAGGCTGGTCTCGAACTCCTGGCCTCAAGCGATCCGCCAGCCTCAGCCTCCCAAAGTGCTGGGATTACCGGTGTGAGCCACCGCACTCAGCCGGATCTCGCTCTGTCGCCCAGGCTGTAGTGCAGTGGCGCAATCTCGGCCCACTGCAACCTCTGCCTCCTGGGTTCAAGTGATTTTCCTGCCTCAGCCTCCTGAGTAGCTGCGACTACAGATACGTGCCACCAGGCCCGGCTAATTTTTTGTATTTTTAGTAGAGACGGGGTTTCACCGTGTTAGCAAGGATGGTCTCGATCTCCTTACCTCGTGATCCACCTGCCTCAGCCTCCCAAAGTGCTGGGATTACAGGCGTGAGCCACTGTGCCCGGCCTCTTTTTTTGTTTTTTTTAACTTTTATTTTAGATTCACGGGGTACGTGTGCAGGTTTGTTATATGGGTAAATTGTGTGACACTGAGGTTTGGAATACGATTGATCCCATCACCCATGTAATGAGCACGGTACCCAATAGGTAGTTTTTCTTTTTCTTTTTTTCTTTGAGACAGGGTCTTGCTCTGTTGCCCAGGCTGGAGTGCAATGGCACGATCTCAGCTCACTGCAACCTCCGCCTCCTGGGTTCAAGTGGTTCGTCTGCCTCAGCCTCCCAAGTAGCTAGGATTACAGGTGTGCACCACCACACCTGGCTAATTTTTGTATTTTAAGTAGAGATGGGGTTTCGCCATGATAGCCAGGCTGGTCTTGAACTCCTGGCCTCAAGTGATCTACCTGCCTTGGCCTCCCAAAGTGCTGGGATTACAGGCGTGAGCCACCATGCCTGGCCCCATTAGGTATTAATAGTTTTCAACCCTTGCCCCATCTTCTTCCTTCTTCCCCCTAGTGGTCCCCAGTGTCTATTGATGCCGTCTTTATGTCCATGAGTACCCAATGTTTAGCTCCTGTTTACAAGTGAGAACATATGGTATTTGGTTTTCTGTTCCTGCTCTAAATTCACTTAAGAGAATGGACTCCAGCTGCATCCATGTTGCTGCAAAAAACATGTTTCTTTGTTTCTTCATTTTGTTTCTTTTTATGGCTGCATAGTATTCCATAACATACATGTACCATTTTCTTTATCCAGTCCACCATTGATGGGCACCTAAGCTGAGTTCATGTCTTTGCTCTTGTGAATAGTGCTGCAAGGAACATACGAGTGCATATTTCTTTCTGGTAGAAGGATTTTTTTTCTTTTGGGTAAATACCCAGTAATGAGATTGCTGGGTCAAACTGTAGTTCTATTTTTAGTTCTTTGAGAAATCCAGGAGAAATGTTTAATAGGTGGCTGTAGACACAGTCCTGGAATTCAGCAGAGAAATCTGGGTTGGAATAGAGCCCCAAGAGTGAGTGGCACATTCTAGCAGATGACGTCATAAAGAGGTGCAGGGAAAAGACAAGATGGCCTAAGACCAAGCTCTGAGGAACTCCGACATTTAGAGGTCAGGTGGAGAACAAGTTGCCAAAGGAGAAGCCGGCGAACTAAGAAGAAAATCAGGAGGATGCGGACTTCTGGAACCCAAAAGAAAAGAGTGTTCCAAAAAAGGAATGGGAAACTGTGCTGAAGGCTGCAGAGACATGAAGCAAGCCTGCCCTGAGAAGTGTGCAGTGGATTGGGTAGAAGCCACTGTAGCTCTGCCTACGGCATTTGCAATGGGTGAGTGAGAAATGATGCAGTGGAGAAAAACAACGTGGACCAGACTTTGGGTATCTCAGCTTGGCCGGGGACCATGTACAAAGCTGGTGCAGCAGTGAGAAGAGGAAGTGGAATCAAGATAGTCGGGGTTTTTTAGGCCGGGCGCGGTGGCTCATGCCTGTCATCCCAACGTTTTTGGGAGGCTGAGGCAGGAGGATCGCTTGAGGTCAGGAGTTCGAGACCAGCCTGGGCAACATGGTGAAACCTCATCTCTACTAAAAATACAAAAAATTAGCCAGGCATGGTGGCGTGTGCCTGTAATCCCAGCTACTCAGGAGGGAGGCGGGAGAATTGCTGGAACTCAGATTACAGGGAGTCGAGATTGCACCACTGCACTCCAGCCTGGGCGACAAGAGCGAAACTCCATCTAAAAAAAAAAAAAAAGATATGTATATTTTTTAGGCTGGGCGTGGTGGCTCGTGCCTGTCATCCTAGCATTTTGGGAGGCTGAGGCAAGAGGATCGCTTGAGGCCAGCTTGCACAACACAGCAAGATCTCATCTCTACAAAAAAAATTGTAGAAACCCTGTCTCTACAGAAAAATTACATATATATATATATATATTTTTTTTTTTTTCCTTTTGAAACAGAGTCTTGCTCTGTCACTCAGGCTGGAGTGCAGTGGTGCTGCGATCTCGGTTCACTGCAACTTTCACTTCCCAGGTTCAAGCAATTCTCCTGCCTCAGCCTCCCAAGTAGCTGGGATTACAGGCATGTGCCACCACGCCCAACTCATTTTGATATTTTTAGTAGAGACAGGGTTTCACCATGTTGGCCAGGCTGGTCTCAAACTCCGGACCTCAGGTGATCCAGTCGCCTCAGCCTCCCAAAGTGCTTGGATTAGAGGCATGAGCCGCCGCGCCTGGCCGTTATTTGAGTTTTGATGAGAGCTACTGGAGCTAATTTAGATGGTAATGAGGAGGGCAGGAGGAAAGAGAGAGGAAAAAGAAGTTGGCCAGATGCAAGGAAGGACAGAGTTGCCAGGTGATGACCAATGAGTAGCCAACTTATCTGAGCAGGCAGGACCCTCGAGAGCAAGTGGCGGATGTGGCTCTGATGGGTCACAGGGCCTCCTTCCTCTACCTCTTCTGGCTTCTTAGCATCTCCTCCTCCTCAGGGCACTCTGCAAACATTGTTTTTCCCAGAATACTGACTTTGGCCTCCTCTGCTCACTCTCCATGTTATTCATTGGTGACTTCATCCATTACTGTCTCCAGCCCAGATGTCTCTTCCCCGTGTGCCGACTTGGTGTACATCCAATGGCTGACTGAATATCCCCACTTAGATGCCCGTGGACAGTGGCATGCTGGCATCCGCTCATGCCAGGTCACGAGTGCCCATTGTACACCCAGCTCCTTATTCAGTGAAGGCATCTTGGTAGCAGAAACTTGAAGAGCTGGGCGCGGTGGCTCACGCCTGTAATCCCGGCAGTTTAGGAGGCCCAGGTAGGTGGATCACCTGAGGTCAACATGGTGAAACTCCGTCTCTACTAAAAAATACAAAAAAATTAGCTGGGCGTGGTGGCGGGTGTCTGTAATCCCAGCTACTCAAGAGGCTAAGGCAGGAGAACCGCTTGACCCCAAGAGGTGGAGGTTGCAGTAAGCCGAGATAGCGCCATTGCACTCTAGCCTGAGTGACAAGAGCGAAACTCCATCTCAAAAAAAATAAAATAAAATAAAATAAGATAGTAGGAACTTGAACTCAGCCAAGGTGTGACTGTTTACGTCATGGACATTGGCAAATGCTTCCGATCAGGGCTCCCCCTTTTTGAAGAGCTGGTTGTTAGGAATGGTGGCTCACCACCAGGAGTTTGAGACTAGCCTGGGCAACACAGCGAGACCCCATCTTCAAAAAAAAGATTAAAAATTATCCAGGTTTGGTGGCATGCCTGTAGTCCCAGCAACTCAGGAGGCTGAGGTGAGAGGACTGCTTGAGCCCAGAAGTTGGAGGCTGCAGTAAGCTATGATCGCACCACTGCACTCCAGCCTGAGTGACAGAGCAACACCCTGTCTCAAAACAAACAAACAAAAAACCATTTACTACACACCACTGTTCACAGACATTTCACATTCAACATATTCAAAACTAAGTTAATCATCTTCCCCTGAGCCCAACCCTGCCCAACCTTACCCCTTCCCTGAATATCCTGGCCCAGTTGACAGCACCAGCACCCACTCAGATATTTCCCATGCCTTCCCTCCCCATATCCAAAGGATGGTCAGTTAGGGTATAGGCGAAGCGGCTATAACAAAGAATTCCCCAAAATTCAGTGACTTAACCTCAAAATAGATACTCCAGGACTGTGGGGACATCTCTGCCATCTTTTTTTTCCTTTTGTTTTCTTTTTGTTTTTGTTTTTTTTGAGAGGGAGTCTCGCTCTGTCATCCAGGCTGGAGTGCAGTGGTGCGATCTCACCTCACTGCAACCTCCGCCTCCTGGGTTCAAGTGATTCTCCTGTCTCAGCCCCTGAGTAGCTGGGATTACAGGTGTGTGCCACCACACCCGGCTAAGTTTTGTATTTTTAGCAGAGACGGCATTTCACCATGTTGGCCAGACTGGTCTCGAACTCCTGACCTCAAGTCTGCCCACCTCGGGCTCCCAAAGTGCTGGGATTACAGGCATGAGCCACGGCACCCAGCTGGTCTCTGCCATCTTAAACATGTGGCTTCTATCTCTCTGTTCCATGGGGCCTAGGCAGAAATCACCATCATATCTGAATGTGGGAAGGGGGTTAAAGCAGGAAGCACAGGTCCTTTCCTGATTAAGGACACCACTAACCTGCTCAGAAGTTGTCCAGATGCAGCTGGACACAGTGGCTCATGCCTGTAATCCCAGTACTTTGGGAGGCCAGAAGAAGGTTTGCTTGAGGTCAGGAGTTCAAGACCAGCCTGGTTAACATAGCAAGACCCCCATCTCTATTATTTAAATTTCTAATAAAAAATGAATTAAAGTCCGGGCACGGTGGCTCACACCTGTAATCCCAGCACTTTGGGAGGCCGAGGCGGGCGGATCACGAGGTCAGGAGTTCGACACCAGCCCGACCAACATGGTGAAACCCTGTCTCTACTAAAAATAAAAAAAAAAAAATTAACCAGGTGTGGTGGCACACACCTGTAATCCCAGCTACTCAGGAGGCTGAGGCAGGAGAATGGTGTGAACCCGGGAGGTGGAGCTTGCAGTGAGCTGAGATTGCACCACTGCACTCCAGCCTGGGCAACAGAGTGAGACTCCGTCTCAAAATTAATTAATTAATTAATCAATCAATCAATTAATTAATTAAAATAAAAAGTTAGTCAGATGCAAGGAAAGCTGGGACATGTAGTCTCTATCCATGTACACAGCTAAAACATTATTAATAAACAAAGAAGGCAATTTAGGAGGCCGAGGCAGGGGGATTACTTGAGCCCAGGGGTTCGAGACCAGCCTGGGCAACGTAGTGAGACCCTGTCTCTATAAAAAATAAAAAATAATAAAATAGGCTGAGCATGGTGACTCACACCTGTAATCTCAGCACTTTGGGGGCCGAAGGAGAAAGATTGCTTGAGCTCAGGAATTCGAAACCAGCCTGGGCAACATAGTGAGACTTCATGTTTGCTAAAGATAAAAATAAATAAATTAATTAACCAGATGTGGTGGCTCATGCCTGTAGTCCCAGCAACTCAGGAGGCTGAGGTGGGAGGGTCCCTTGAGCCCAGGGGATTGAGGCTGCAGTGAGCTATGATCACACCCCTGCATTCCAGCCTGGGTGACAGAGTGAGACCCTGTCTCAAAAAATAAAAATAATTGATGATAACAATAATAAACAAAGAAGGGCAATGGGAAATGGTATAAGAGTAGCAGTCTATGCCTAGTGGATCCATCATGTCAATGTTATCGCTCTCTCTTTTTTTTTTTTTTTTTGACAGCCTCAACCTCCTGGGCTCAAGTGATCCTCTTGCCTCAGCCTCCTGAGTAGCTAGAACTACAAGCACGCACCACCACGACAGGCTAATTAAAAAAAAATTTTTTTTTCTATAGAGATGGGGTCTCGATATGTTGCCTAGAGTGGTCTCCAACACTGGCCTCAAGTGATCCTCCTGCCTCAGCCTCCCAAAGTGTTGGGATTACAGGCATGAGCCACTGTGCCCAGCCCAATGCTATCTCTTGAATACTGCTTAAATCCATCCCTTCTACGGTGTGCCAATTGCTATTACCTTGATTCCTGCCCATTTCCTGGCCTCTAACTTAGTCCCTTTCTAATCAATCTACCAAATGGCTGCCAGAGGTATCTTTCTAAAATGCCAGTTGGGTCAATAACCCTCCTGTTCAAAATCTTGCAGTAGTTCCCAGGGGTTTCCAGGAGAAGAGTCAACTTCTTTGCATGACACAAAGGCCAGGTCTTGTCCCCTCAACTCAGAAATGCCTTTCACCCCTCCTCCAGCTCCACTTCCTTGTCTGCCAGAAAAACCCAGGCCATTTCCTGGGACTTAGTTTAAATATTGTTTTAAATGTTGTTTGTGCCCCACTGCAATGCTGGCTCCATTCCTGTTGAAGCCTTTACTGGACTGTGTATTTCTGGGCACTTGCCATCCATCCTGGGACCGGGGCTCCCTGTGAAGCCAAGGCACTTGGTTTATCTGACAGAAGGCTGGGTGAAGGCTGGGTACAGTGGCTCAGGCCTGTAATCCCAGCACCTTTCGAGGCTGAGGCAGGTGGATTGCTTGAGGTCAGGAGTTTGAGACCAGCCTGGGCAGCATGGCAAAACCTCATCTCTGCAAAAAATACAAAAATCAGGCCAGGCACGGTGGCTCACACCTATAATCCCAGCACTTTGGGAGGCCAAGGCAGGCGGATCACCTGAGGTCAGGAGTTCGAGACCCGCCTGGGCAACATGGCAAAACCCTGTGTCTACTAAAAATCCAAAAATTTGCCAGGCGTGGTGGTGCGTGCCTGTAGTCCCAGCCACTTGGGAGTGAGACAGAAGAGTCACGTGAACCTGGGAGGCAGTGGTGGCAGTGAGCCAAGATCATGCCATTGCACTCCAGTCTGGGCTTCAGAGCAAGACTCTGTCTCAAGAAAAAAAAAAAACCAGTTGGGTGTAGTGGTGTGTGCCTGTGGTCCCAGCTGCTCGGGAGACTGAAGCAAAAGGATTGCTTGACTCCGGGAGACTGAGGCTGCAATGAGCTGTGATCACGCCACTGCACTCCAGCCTGAGTGACAGAACGAAATCCTGTCTCAAGAAAGAAAACAAGGGCTGGGTGTGGTGGCTCACGCCTGTAATCCAAGCACTTTGGGAAGCCAAGGTGGGTGAATCACTTGAGGTCAGGAGTTCAAGACCAGCCTGGCCAACATGGTGAAACCCTGTCTCTACTAAAAATAAAAAAAAAATTAGCTGGGCGTGGTGGTGCATGCCTGTAATCCCAGCTACTCAGGAGGCTGAGGCAGGAGAATCGCTTGAATCCAAAAGGCGGAGGTTGCAGTAAGCTGATATTGCGCCACTTCACTCCAGCCTGGGCGACAGAGCGAGACTCCTTCTCAAAGGAAAAAAAAAAAAACAGCCAGCTTGGGAAACATAGCAAGACCCTGTTTCTACCAAAAACAAAAAAAAGGCCGGGCGCGGTGGCTCACACCTGTAATCCCAGCACTTTGGGAGGCTGAGGCAGTTGGATCATGAGGTCATGAGTTGAAGACCAGCCTGGTCAAGATGGTAAAACCCCATCTCCACTAAAAATACAAAAACTAACCAGGCGTGGTGGCGGGCGCCTGTAATCCCAGCTACTCGGGAGGCTGAGGCAGACAATTGCTTGAACCCGGGAAGTAAAGGCTGCAGTGAGCCAAGATGGCGCTACTGCACTCCAGCCTGGGTGACAGAGCAAGACTCCATCTCAAAAAAAAAAGGAAAGAAAGAAACAAAAATAAACAAATAAAAACGGTTGTAGGCATGAACCCATTGGTTTTATTTTTATTTTATTTTATTTTATTTTATTTTTAAGAGACAGTGTCTCACTCTGTCACCCAGGCTGCAATGGTGTGATCATAGCTCACTGCAGCCTCGACCTCATCCAGCTGGTCATTAATTACTTCATCTCATCTCCTCCTGACACTGACCTCTGTCAGCGGCTCACATCCAACCCTCCTTCTAGACTGAACTCCTATTTCCACATATTCCAGAAGTTTTCATGTCCTTAGACCTCTGTCCATGCTGTTCTCTTTGTGGGATATCTTTCCCGCTTTCTTCACCTATGAGCTTCTATTCATCCTTCACGGTTTTTGTTTGTTTGTTTGTTTTTGAGACGAAGTTTCACTCTTGTTGCCCAGGCTGGAATGCAATGGCACAATCTCAGCTCACTGCAACCTCTGCCTCCCAGGTTGAAGTGATTCTCCTGCCTCAGCCTCCCAGGTAGCTGGGACTACAGGCGCCCACCACCACGCCCAGCTAACTTTTTGTATTTTTAGTAGAGATGGGGTTTCGCCATATTGGCCAGGCTGGTCCCAAACGCCTGACCTCAGGTGATCCACCCGCCTCAGCCTCCCACAGTGCTGCGATTACAGGCCTGAGCCACTGTGCATGAACTCATCCTTCACAGTTTAGTTCCAACTTCACTTCTAGAAGATTTCCTGGATTCTCAGCGACAGGTAACCCCTCCCTCCTCCGGGCATCTTTTTTTTTTTTTTTTAATTGAGGTGGAGTCTCACTCTGTCACCCAGGCTGGAGTGCAGTGGTGCAATCTAGGCCCACTGCAACCTCCGCCTCCCGGTTATAATCTATTTTCCTGCCTCAGTCTCCTGAGTAGCTGGGATAACAGGCGCATGCCACCACGCCCAGCTAATTTTTTGTATTTTTAATAGAGACGGGGTTTCACCATATTGGTCAGGCTGGCCTTCAACTCCTTACCTCAAATGATCCACTCGCCTCGGCCTCCCAAAGTGCTGGGATTACAGACGTGAGCCACTGCGCCCGGCCCTGGCCTCCTTTTCACCTCTCTTCTGTGCGTATCTGAGCTCCCCACTGCACCAAAGCTCCTTGAGAGCAAGGATATCCCGTATGTCACCCATCTCAGTATCCCTCCTATGTCTAGCATGGTGCCTGCCACACAGTAGGCATCAAAGATGTTTCTTGGCCAGGCACAGGGCTCATGCTTGTAATCCCAGCATTTTGGGAGGCCAAGACAGGAGGATCTCGAGCCCGGGAGTTCGAGGCTGCACTGATCCGTGACCATACCACTGCGCTCCAGCCTGAGCAATAAAGCAAGACCCTGTCTCTTTATTTTATTTTTTGAGACATGGTCTTGCTCTGCTGCCCAGGCTGGAGTGCAGTAGTATGATCATGGCTCACTACAGCCTCAACCTCTCGGGCTCAAGTGATCCTCTCACTTCATCCTCCCAAGTAACTGGGACTACAGGATCACACCACCATGC
The DNA here is from genome assembly GCF_000001405.40 of Homo sapiens. Lineage (NCBI taxonomy): Eukaryota > Metazoa > Chordata > Mammalia > Primates > Hominidae > Homo > Homo sapiens. Next base: position 100,660,189 of record NC_000007.14, on the reverse strand, counting down.
CTGGCTAATTTTTTAGAAAACTTTTTGTAGAGATGGGTTCTTGATATGTTGCTCAAGCTGGTTTCTAACTCCAAGGTTCAAGCCATCTTCCTGCCTTGGTCTCCCAAAGTGCTGGGTTTATAGGCATGAGCCACCATGTCCAGCACTTGTCTCTTAAAAAGGAAAAAAGGGATATTTGTTGAATCAATGAATGGATAAGTGAAATGTATTAATTGCTTTACCCTAACCACTTCCATAATACACAGAATCTTATGTCAGATCCCATGACAAAAGAAAATTGGTCACAGTTGACTGGGGTTAAATCAAGTTCTGCCCTGTAGTTAGCCAACTGTAGCTTTCCCCCCAGCCATGAGAAGAAAATTCACTGCTTATTACCAAATAGACTGCAGGTTTCCAACTTAATGCATAATAATATTAAGGCCTTAAAACATCCACAGGGACACTTACTGAATAGTCCTGTATGCCCAGCTTTCAGCCAGACACTGACTCCAGAATCAGATGGGGGCCTCATCGCCAGCTGTCCTGTAGATAGAGACAGCACAACTTGGTGAGAAACACAGAGGTGTTAGGAAACAAAGGCATATCTCAACTGGGTGATAAGAGCTGTGGGTTCTAATCCTGGCTCTGATCCCAGCGGACTGTGTGATCCAGGACAGAGCTCAGGTTCTAGCTGGAAAAAAAAAAAAAAAACAAAAAACAAAAAAAACCTGTAGAACTCCTACAGGCACACACCAGCATGCCTGGCCAGACTGGACAAGTTTCCTTTTGTTTTTTTATTCTTTTTAGATGGAGTCTTGCTCTGTCACCCAGGCTGGAGTGCAGTGGTGTGATCTTGGCTCACTGGCTCACTGCAACCTCCCCCTCCTGGGTTCAAGCGATTCTCCTGCCTCAGCCTCCCGAGTAGCTGGGACTACAGGCGTGCACCACCACACCCAGTTAATTTTTTTATTTTTAGTAGAGACAGGATTTCACAATGTTGGCCAGGCTGCTCTTGAATTCCTCACCTCAAGTGTTCCACCTGCCTTGGCCTCATAAAGTGCTGGGATTAAAGGTGTGAGCCACCATTCCCAGCCAAGACTGGGGAAGTTTCTTTTCTTCTTCATTTTTTTTTTTTTTTTTTTTTTGGGGAGATGGGGTCTGTTTGTTGCCCAGGCTGGTCTCAAACTCCTGGCCTCAAGCGATCCTCCCACCTCAGCCTCCCAAAATGCCGGGATTATAGGCGTGAGCCACCACATGCCCTGCCTGGGCAAGTTTCTAAATCTGAGATGGTTGGGGTGGTGGGGAGGAAAGAAGGGATAGTAGGAATTGGCAAGGTGAACTTCAGAGTAAGCGAGGCAACATCATTAAATGCCAACAAAAGGAGAGGGATAAGATGAATATAATCACTTTCCACCCCAACATTCCTTTCATCCTCACCTCAGCATTTTAAACGATAAGAAATGCAAGCACTCGGCTGGGCATGCTGGCTCACGCCTGTAATCCTAGCACTTTGGGAGGCAGAGGTGGGCCGTTCATTTGAGATCAGGAGTTTGAGACCAGCCTGGCCAACATGGTGAAACCCCGTCTCTACTACTACTACTACTACTAATAATAAAACTAGCCAGGAGTGGTGGCACACACCTATAACCCCAGCTACTTGGGAGGCTGAGGCAGAAGAATTGTTTAAACCCAGGAGGCAGATGTTGCAGTGAGTTGAGATTGCGCCATTGCACTCCAGCCTGGGCAACAGAGTGAGACTCCAGCTCAAAAAGAAAAAAAGAAATGTAAGCACTTTAAGAGATCCACTCAATTCTTCCAGACCTCAATGGACTGACCTAGGGTCACTTTGGAAAAATCTCACTCTCCCAGCTCCTGAGTCGGCCCTCTCCCCTACAGCTCACCACTCCTGCTGAAACCTGGACCCTTTCAGTCTTAGAAGCCAAGTCTGAACTTGGAACCAACCCTAGGCATTGAAATGCCACCGTCGTCAGTAGGTAATCCATGAGCCAGCTAAAGCCATCTGTCCTTTGGCCGGGGAGGGGTGGAGTCTCTTCCAGGGTGGGCATGTGGTGAGCAGAGAACCTTCAGGGGCACGCGGACCTCACATAGTATCCACTTCCTGTGCTATCTCTGGTCTCAAAGCTCCCTCGCCCCCAAACAAGTAGATGGGCATAGTCAACACACACAAGCATTCAGATGTGCATATGTACACACATGCACCCATATGCCAACACACATAGACACATACATACAGACACACACACACCCTCACATAAGAGTCCCTCACCTACCCCAAGTTGTCAGAGCTGCTCCTTTGCCTTTGCTACCAAAACTGTGGTACTGGGAGCCCAGAAGAACCTGGGATCCAAGCAGTAGAAAACCCTGTTGTTAGCCAGGCGCTGTGGCTGACACCTGTAATCCCAGTGACTGAGGAAGCCAAAGTGGGAGGATCACTTGAGGCCAGGAGTTCGAGACCAGACTGGGCAACATAGTTTTTTCTTAAAAAAAAAAAAAAAAAAAAAAAAGCCAGGTGTGGTGGTGTGCACCTGTAAGTCCCAGCTACTCAGGAGGCTGAGGCGAGAGGATCACTTGAACCCAGGAGTTCAAGGTTACAGTGAGCTATAAGTGTGCCACTGCACTCCAGCCTGGGTGACGGAAGACCCTAACTCAAAAAGAAAAGAAACAAAAACCCTCTTGTTGATAAATGCCTCCTCAGGAGAACAGGCGCTGAAGAGAGACAGATGGAGAAAGGAAGCTAAAGCCAGATGGGCTGAATGCCTGTGTGTGAACGTATGTACACATGTGTAAGCATGTGTACACATGTATAAGGCCTAGGTACTGCGGGGGGTGGGGGGGAAAGCAAGGCAAGGAAAAAAGGGGCCAACGAAAGACAAAGGAGGGAAGTTGGACACGGTGGCTCATGCTTTTAATCCCAGCACTTTGGGACTTTGAGGCCAGGAGTTCAAGACCAGCCTGGGCAAGGTAGCAAGACCCAGTCTCTTAAAAAAAAAAAAAAGGTAAAAACAGAGAGAGATGGAGACACACCCCCTTTGGTCCCTCTCTCAATCTTCCCTTCCCTCCCTCTCCCGGTGATTCCATTTAGACCTTGGTGATTCCATTTAGGCCTGGGTGTGGCAGAACCGGGCTCAGAGCAGCCTGAAGATAGATAACCCTTCTGGGAACTGGACCTCTCTCCCCAATCCTGCTTTAAAAAGTAAGGGGGTAGAGGTCGGGCGCAGTGGCTCACGCCTGTAATTCTGGCATTTCGAGAGGCTGAGGTGGGAGGATCGCTTGAGGCCAGGACTTCGAGATCAACCTGGGCAAAAGAGCAAGACCCCGTCTCTATAAAAAATTTTTTTTTAATCCAGGCGTGCTGGCACCTGCCTGTAATCCCAGCTACTTGGGAGGCTGAGGAGGATCGCTTGAGCTCAGGAGTTCGAGACCAGCCTGGGCAACATCACAAGACCTCCGTCTCTACCATAAAAATAAAAATAAAAATAAAAAGCAAGGGGATAGGGACCTCATCAGTCGTCCTGCAGAGTCCTGGTCTCCGCCTCTTCCCTGCTCTCCTCTCTGCCGCCAGTTCCTTAGCGACGGTCTCTAAGTCCCTGCTAGGTGCCCCCTGCCCCATCTCCTCCTGGCCGCTTAATAGAGTGTATCTTCCCCTTTAAAGCAGCTGCCCCCGGTCGGTCATTGTCTCGCCTGGCAGCCAATCGGCGGCGCCGTTGGAGCGGGGGATCCGGCCTCCCAATTGGCCGCTGAGAGTCCCGCCCCGCCAGGGATCCCGGGAGCTGTCCGGCCGCCTCGGTGCTGATCCCGCCACCGCCCACGGGCCGCTAGCAGCGCAGCGGGCACTATGAGCGGGGGCGTCTACGGCGGAGGTGAGCGAGCCTCGGGCCCCCGGCTCCCGCAGCCCTGCGTTCCAAACCCGCGCCATCCATCCGAGCTCTGGGCACCCCGGGGCCTGTCACCTCCGCGCACGAGCGGGTCGAGTCTCAGGCTCGGGTCTCCCGCCACCCCTGCGCTCGGTCCTCCCCAGACGCCCCGCGCGCACAGGGCCCTACCTTGCAACCCACCTCCACCTGGCCCCGGGCCCCTTCCTTTCCCGTCGGGAGGGTGCCCTGAGCAAGGCCATTGGGCAAGAAGGGACCCTGGCGGTGTGATGCCCCCACCCCCAGTCCCAGGACCTCGGACTCCAGGCCCAGCTCCCACCGGCCCCAGACTGGTGTTGAAAGTGGCGAGACTGTGGCTCTGCCCTGACTTTCTCTCGGAGCTACCTAGCGGGAGAGAGTTCGGGGGAGGTCCCCTTACAGGCCTGTCTCCCCGCACAGATGAGGTGGGGGCGCTGGTCTTTGACATTGGCTCCTTCTCAGTCCGCGCTGGGTACGCTGGGGAGGACTGTCCCAAGGTGAGCCTTCCAGTCTCCTCTCCAAATCCTAGGGGCTTCGGACCCTTCTTCAGGCTTTCCAGTGACCCAGGGCTCTCCCAGATCGCCCAGAAGCTCTGCTGAGCGGGAATATGGGAATAAACCCAGGGGCGGTCTGAGGACCCTGCTGTGGGGCTGGACAGGGGCAAGAGGGTGACCTCTCTCCCTGCCAATACTCCCCCAACCCTTCCCCACCAGGCTGACTTCCCCACCACAGTGGGGCTGCTGGCCGCGGAGGAGGGGGGCGGGCTGGAGCTGGAGGGGGACAAAGAGAAGAAAGGGAAGATCTTCCACATCGACACCAATGCCCTGCACGTGCCTCGGGATGGAGCGGAGGTCATGTCGCCCCTCAAGAATGGCATGAGTAAGGGGCCCCCACCCATCACCTCCTGACAGAAAAGGAGCCCGCTCCCCACAATCTGGGTCATAGCAGCCCCCACTCCCCGCGGAGTCTTCCTTGCAGCCCCAGGGTTCTTCTGGCTGCCAGGGTTCTTCTCGCTGGGTTCCCTTCCCAGGGGCCCACCAGGTTTCTGGGAAGGGGGGCGTTCCCCTGGAGCTGGACTCACTGACCCTCCTTTGGGCTTGGCCTTTCTCCCTCCTTTTCTTCCTGTCCCTGTCCCCTGCCTGCCTTCTTGCGTCTCTGCACGCTGCTCTTCTGGCCCCAGTCGAGGACTGGGAGTGCTTCCGAGCCATCCTGGATCACACCTACAGCAAACACGTCAAGTCTGAGCCAAACCTGCACCCAGTGCTCATGTCCGAGGCTCCGGTGAGTGCCTCCTCCATCCTCATGTCCAACCCTGATCTCCACTGCACCTCCTTCCCACCATCCACCTCTCCTCCTCTCCCCTCAAGCCACTGCTCTGAGCCACTTCCCTTCCCTTTTCAGACTCCCCTCACCCATCCCAAACAATTTCCTTCCTTCTTGGCTAAGTCTCCATCCCTCCTGCTCTCTTCTTGCTCTATGCACTCTGCTGCCCTTCTCTGTCTCCAAGTCCTTTTTAAATTTTTTTTTTTTGACACAGTCTCACTCCGTCACCCAGGCTGGAGTGCAATGGTGAGATCTCAGCCTCTGCCTCCCGACATCAAAGGAATCTCCTGCCTCAGCCTCCTGAGTATCTGGGATTACAGGCACCCGCCACCACGCCTGGCTAATTTTTTGTATTTTTAGTAGACAGGGGGTTTCGCCTTGTTGGCCAGGCTGGTCTCGAACTCCTGACCTCAGGTGATCCACCCGCCTTGGCCTCCCAAAGTGTTGGGATTACAGGCATGAGGCACCACGCCCAGCCTCCAAGTCCTTTTTTGACCTTTTCACTTATTATTATTATTATTATTATTATTATTATTATTATTATGGTCAACTTTGGTGAGCTGGGGATGTTGGCTCACACCTGTAATCCCAACACTTTGGGAAGCCAAGGCAGGAGGATCACTTGAGCCCAGGAGTTTGAGACCACCCTAGGCAATATGGCAAGACCCGTCTCTTTTATTAAAACAATAAAAATTAAAAATTTTTTGCCGGGTGTGGTGGCTCACGCCTGTAATCCCAGCACTTTGGGAGGCCGAGGCGGGTGGATCACGAGGTCAAGAGATCAAGACCATCCTGGATAACACGGTGAAACCCCATCTCTACTAAAAATACAAAAAATTAGCCAGGCATGGTGGCGGGCACCTGTAGTCCCAGCTACTCGGGAGGCTGAGGCAGGAGAATGGCGTGAACCCGGGAGGCGGAGCTTGCAGTGAGCTGAGATCGCACCACTGCACTCCAGCCTGGGCAACAGAGCGAGACTCTGTCTCAAAAAAAAAAAAAATTTAAAACCTCATTTAAAAAAATGTTCTTACCCACCTCCTTATAAATTCCTCTTTATAAAAGCAACTGTTTTTCTCCTTTTTAGCTAATGTTGGGGGTATTTTCTTCCATATCTCTAATACTACACTTAAATTGCTGCCTGTGGAGTGTTTAGTTTTAGGTATTATCGCTGAATTTTCCACTTTAGAAAATGATCGCTTAGCTCTCTTTTCCTCCCCAGCCTATGCCACACGTATTTCTTATCACCCTCCTTTAAGTACAGTGGGTTTTGTTGTTGTTGTTGTTGTTGTTTGGGGTTTTGTTTGTTGTTTGTTTTTGAGACTTTGCCTCAAAAACAGGGGGTCTGCTCAGTTTGTCACCCAGGTTGGATTGCAGTGGCACAATTCTTCAGCCTTGGTCTCCTGGGCTCAAGTGATCCTCTCATTTCAGTCTCCAGAGTAGCTGGAACTACAGGCATAAGCCACCATGCCCAGCTGATTTTTAAATTTTTTTTAGAGACAGGGTTTCATCATGTTGTCCAGGCTGGTCTTGAATTCCTGGGCTCAAGCAATCTGCCCGCCTCGGCCTCCCAAAAGGCTGGGATTACAGGCGAGATCCACCACACCCAGCCCAGTTGTATTTTAGACTTTAAAAGAAATCAGTATTCAGTATTTACATTCTTTTTAAATTAGAAATAATTTTAAGAGAATCTTTTGCAGAGATGGGGTCTCATCATATTGCCCAGGCTGGCTTCAAACTCCTGTGCTTAAGCGATCCTTCTACTTCAGCTAACAAAGTGCTGGGATTACAGGCATGAGTCACTGTGCTCAGCCCAATATTTACACTCCTATTACTATGTATGCTAATCAGGCCTGAGACAGGCAATACACCATGATCACCTTTCCTTTCTTGTGCAACTTTTTGTTTTCCTAGAACTGGAAAAAAAATGTGTTCAATTTTTTTTTTTTTTTTTTTTTTTTTTTTTTTTTTTTTTTTTTTGAGACGGAGTTTTGCTCTGTCACCAGGCTGGAGTGCAGTGGTGCGATCTCAGCTCACTGCAAGCTCCGCCTCCCGGGTTCAAGTGATTCTCCTGCCTCAGCCTCCTGAGTAGCTGGGACTACAGGTGCGTGCCACCACGCCCAGCTAATTTTTGTATTTTTAGTAGAGACGGGGTTTCACCATGTTGGCCGGGATGGTCTCGATCTCTTGACCTCGTGATCCACCGACCTTGGCCTCCCAAAGTGCTGGGATTACAGGCGTAAGCCACCATCCCAGCCCTGTGTTTGATTATATTTGGTCTGGTTTTCTATCTACTTAACAGTGTGAACCCTAAATCATTCATCAATTGTATCTTTTGTCAAGACGTCAATTCCATTAGATATTTTATCAATTTCTTTTTTTTTTTTTTTTTGAGACATAGTCTTGCTCTGTTGCCCAGGCTGGAGTGCCATGGCGCGATCTCGGCTCACTGCAAGCTCCACCTCCTGGGTTCTCCTGCCTCAGCCTCCCGAGTAGCTGGGACTACAGGTGCCCACCACCACATCCGACTAATTTTTTGTATTTTTTTTTTTTTTTTTGAGATGGAGTCTCACTCTGTTGCCCAGGCTGGAGTGCAGTGGTGCGATCTCGGCTCACTGAAAGCTCCATTTCTCCTGCCTCAGCCTCCCAAGTAGCTGGGACTCACACCATTCTCCTGCCTCGGCCTCCCAAGTAGCTGGGACTATAGGCACCCACCACCACGCCCGGCTAATTTTTTGTATTTTTAGTAGAGGCGGGGTTTCACCGTGTTAGCCAGGATGGTCTCCATCTCCTGACCTCGCGATCCGCCGGCCTCGGCCTCCCAAAGTGCTGGGATTACAGGCGTGAGCCACCACACCTGGCCTCTCATCAATTTCATTTCTTGAAGAAATTTCTTCAGGAGCCCACTGACCTGGTCCAGTTTGCACTAGTAGCCCTCTGCCAGGGGACAGACCTGTCATGCTGGCATCTTCCTTCACCATCATCTTGTAGAATCCTTTTGCCTCTGTCCTGGTTAGAAGTCCTGTTTCCTGTACTTGACTCCTTTTCTTGACTTATTCCTTTGTTTTCATGGAGCAGGTCCTTCAGTAACTGCCTTAGAAAGGTCATGAGAGGCCAGAGACAGTGGCTCACTCCTGTAATCCCAGCACTTTGGGAGGCCTTGAGTCCAGGAGTTTGAGACCAGCCTGGGCAATATACTGATACCTTATCTCTACCAAAAATATAAAAATTAGCTGGCCATGGTGGTGCATGCTTGTAGTACCAGCTACTCGGAAGGCTGAGGCAAGAGAATTGCTTGTACCCAGGAGGCAGAGATTGCAGTCAGCCTAGATCATGCCACTGAACTCCAGCCTGGGCGACAGAGTGAGACTCCATTTAAAAAAATAATTAATTAAATAATAATCTAAAAAAAAACTTTTTTTTTTTTTTGAGATGAAGTGTCACTCTTGTCCCCCAGGCTGGAGTGCAATGGCGTGATCTTGGCTCACTGCAACCTCCGCTTCCCGGGTTCAAGGATTCTCCTGCCTCAGCATCCCAAGTAGCTGGGATTACAGGCACCTCCCATCACACCTGGCTAATTTTTGTATTTTTAGTAGAGACGGGGTTTCACCATGTTGGCCAGGCTGGTCTCAAACTCCTGACCTCAGGTGATCTGCCCGCCTTGGCCTCCCAAAGCGCTGGGATTACAGGCATGAGCCACCGCGCCCAGCATCTAAAAAAAAAATTTAAAATAAGGTCATGGGAAGTATATTTTTTGAGACTTTTGTGTGTCTCACCTTGAGTTGATAGCTTAGCTAGGTATCCCATGCCAGGTTAGAAATCATTATTCTTCAGAATCTTGAAGGCACTTTTCCATTGTCCTTCTTCCAGCATATATCGTTGCCATTTAGAAGGATGAAACCATCTGATTTCTGATCCTCTGATGTAATGTTTTTCTTTCTGAAAGTTTATAGAATTTTTACTTTATCCTCAGTGTGGTGTATTTTCATTCATGGCTCTAGGCACTTAGTATGTCTCTTCATTCTGAAAACATATGTCTTTCAATTCAGTGAAAAAGAATTATTTATTTAATTATTTATTTCTCTCCATTTTCTCTCTTGGGATTTTCTGTTATTGGATTTTGTTGCCCCCTGAATTGGTCCCCTAATTTAATTCCCTTTTCTCTTATATTTTCCATCTCTTTACCTTTTTCCTTTGGTTTCCAAGATATTCCCTCCACTTTATGTTCCAATCCTTCTATTGAGTTTTTCATTTCTGTTCATGTAGTTTTAATTCCCACAAGCTCCTTACTTTAAATTTTTTTTTTAATGAGACAGCATCTCACTATGTTGTCCAGGCTAGTTTCGAACTCCTGGGTTCAAGCAATCCTCCTGCCTCGGCCTCCCAAAGTGCTGGGATTATAGGCGTAAGCCACCCTGTCTGGCCTGTGCAAATGTTTTAAATGCATGTGTGTGTGACTGTGAGTGTGAATATATGTGTATGTGTGTGTGTGAGTTTGTGTGTGAATGTGAGTATATATGTGTTTGACCGTGTGTTTGTGAGTGTGTTTGCATGTGTGACCGTGAGTGTATGTATAGTGTGAATGCATGTGTGTGTTTATGTGTGTCTGTGAATGTGAGTGTATGTGTGTGTGTTTGAGTGTATGTGTGTGTGTGTGCAAGTGAATGCATGTGTGTATGACCGTGAGTGTATGTGTGAGTGTTTAGGTTGTGTATGTGTGTGCAAGTGTTTGGATGTGTGTGTGTGACCGTGAGTGTATGTGTGAGTGAGTGGGTTGCGTGTGCGTGGATGTGGGTCTGTGCCTCTCCCTTCCTGAATCCTCCCCCTCTGCACTTTCTCCACAGTGGAACACACGGGCCAAGCGGGAGAAGCTGACAGAGCTGATGTTCGAGCAGTACAACATTCCTGCCTTCTTCTTATGCAAGACGGCTGTGCTCACCGCGTATCCTCTGGACTGAGCTGCTCTGACTGGGTGGAGGGCTGGGGTGGGGCCTGTGCTGAGCTCAGCTGTGATGAGCTGGAGGGTCAGGCCTGGTTCTCTGAAGATCAGTGTCCCAATGGGCAGACACCTCCCTCTGCCCCACTAGTGCAGAAGGCCCAGTGGACTGAGCACCTCCGACTCTGGGGTGGCCAGATCAGCGGCCCCTTTCGGTTCCCCGGATCAGGCTGAGCAGACAGTGAGCTGGGCCCGGGAGAGAGTAGGGGCTGGAACTGGACAGAGGAGGGAGACGTGTAGAACACTGCGGCAGTCCCTTCCCAAGAACTCCTTCAACACTGACTGTTTTTAGGATCTGCCTTGCATTGAACCCTGTGCTATGCACTGGGGTGATAGCGACCCTAATTTCAGGGAATCTGTAGGACACAACCAAAAATAAAGGGGCTGGCCAGGCGCGGTGGCTCACGCCTGTAATCCCAGCATTTTGGGAGGCCAAGGCGGGCAGATCACTTGAGGTCAGGAGTTAGAGACCAGTCCGGCCAACATGGCAAAAGCCCGTGTCTACTAAAAATGGAAAAATTAGCCAGGCATAGTGGTGGGCACCTGTAGTCCCAGCTACTTGGGAGGCTGAGGCAGGAGAATCTCTTGAACCCAGGAGGCAGAGGTTGCAGTGAGCTATTGCATTCCAGCCTGGGCGACAAAACGAAACTCAGTTTCAAAAAAAAAAAAATAACTAAAGAAGTAACTGGGGTCGCCGGGTGTGGTGGCTCATGCCTGTAATCCCGGCACTTTGGGAGGCCGAGGCGGGCAGATCACGAGGTCAGGAGATCGAGACCATCCTGGCTAACACGGTGAAATCCCATCTCTACTAAAAATACGAAAAATTGGCCGGGCGTGGTGGCAGGCACCTGTAGTCCCAGCTACTCGGGAGGCTGAGGCAGGAGAATGGCATGAACCCGGGAGGCGGAGCTTGCAGTGAGCTGAGATTGCGCCACTGCACTCCAGCCTGGGAGACAGCAAGACTCCATCTCAAAAAAAAAAAAAAAGAAGTAACTGGGGTCTCAGAGCCTTTCTCCAGGAGATGAGTCATCACCAGGGGGAGAGATTTGCAGACTGGGGATGGGCTGGACCCCGGTAGAGCAGAGAGTGACCAGACAAGATCTGGGCCCAGGCCCCTCACTTGCTGCTGCTGTCTCTTTGACTTACCCATCCGATGCCAGCTTTGCAAACGGGCGGTCCACTGGCCTCGTGCTGGACAGTGGAGCCACCCACACCACGGCCATTCCAGTACATGACGGCTACGTTCTGCAGCAAGGTGGGGCTTCGGCAGGGGGTGGGGGTGCTCCAGGAGGACCAGGTCCTGACAGTGCCTTCCTTCTAGGCATCGTCAAGTCCCCTCTGGCAGGGGACTTCATCTCCATGCAGTGCCGGGAGCTGTTCCAGGAGATGGCCATTGACATCATCCCACCTTACATGATCGCAGCCAAGGTGGGGCCTCTGGGGACATGGAGCTGCCACTAGAGTCCTGGCCACTCGCCCCATGGCCGTCAACCCTCTGACACATGAGATATCAGAGCAGAGAGCAGCAGGCTCCCCAGTGGGTCCTGGCTCCAGTTCCTCCTTTTATAATCGAGGCATCCGAAATCCAGACAGGCTGAGGGATATGCTGAGGTCATGAAACCAGCTGGCAGACAGCAGGATGTGTGAGGGCCAGTGTGGTGGGTTCTAGGGTCCAATATAGACCCAGGTTCAAGTTCTGCCTCTGCCGTGCAAGAGCTGCAGGACCGGTCAGGCATGGTGGCTCACACCTGTAATCCCAGCACTTCGGGAGGCTGAGGCAGGCAGATCGCTTTGAGCTCACTTCGAGACCAGCCTGGGCAACATGGTGAAGCCACGTCTCTACTAAAACTGCAAGAACTAGCCAAGCATGGTGGTGCATGCCTGTAGTCCCAGCTACTTGGGAGGCTGAGACTGGAGAATCACCTGAACCCCGGAGGCAGAGGTTGCAGTGAGCCGAGATCGCGCCACTGCACTCCAGCCTGGGCGACCGAGTGAGACTCCATCTGAAAAAAAAAAAAAAAAAGAGCTGTGTGACCAACAGCATGATATCAAAGCTCCCTGGGCCTCAGGTTTGTCTTATGTAAAGTGGAACGGCAGTAGGCAGTAGCCAGGGTGCTGTGAGTATGAAGTGACACTGTGTGCTTAGCTCCATTCCGTGCCCTCACATGGATCATGACCCCCTAGGAGGCCATTCCCTTGAGGTTCTGTCACTGCTGTATTCCTGGTGTTCTCCAGATCAGCTGCACCCACCGCATGAAAGGCACACATGGAGAGAGAGGCATGCCCCATTCTCTCTCCTCTCCATCAGGGAAGGGTGAGAAACCCCTCTTGCAGGCAGCACAGCAGAGCCTGCAGCGCCAGGTAGCTGCAGAGCTGGGAACAGTGCCAGGAAGGTGGGGGTGGGGGTCAGGTGGGCTAGGAAAGGGTGTTCCTACACTGTGCCCCCACAGGAGCCTGTCCGGGAGGGTGCCCCCCCAAACTGGAAGAAGAAGGAGAAGCTACCCCAGGTCTCCAAGTCCTGGCATAACTACATGTGTAATGTGAGCCTCTGGAGAGGGCCACCTGAAACCCCCCTCCCCTGCCATGAATCGGGGGCGGGACAGAGGCCCCGCATGGGAGGGGGAGCAGGGAGGGGGAGCGGGGCAGGGGGTGCTGCTCACGGGGAAGGCAGGCCCTCACCACCTCCGCTGGGATTTCAGGAGGTGATCCAGGACTTCCAGGCCTCCGTGCTGCAGGTCTCAGACTCCCCCTACGATGAACAGTGAGTGTGGCTCAGGGCTTTGGGGTGGGAGAGAGGGCAGAACCGGCACTCTTGGGGTGGGCTGGGGGGCTCTGGTGCTGCCCACGCACTGATCCTTCTTGAGCACCCCAGGCAGAGTCCTGCTCCCTTCTGGGTAGGGTGGCTGCACAAATGCCCACAGTGCACTACGAGATGCCCAATGGCTACAATACAGACTACGGCGCCGAGCGACTCCGCATCCCTGAGGGCCTGTTTGATCCCTCGAACGTCAAGGTTTGGCTGTGTGGCGAGGACTGGGGTGGGTGCTGGCTGCAGTCCCTGGATCCTGGGGCGTGGGGGAGGCTGGGAAGGATTGCAGGGGTCTGGGGGGAAGGGGGAGAGAGCCCACAGCCCCAGTCACCTCTCTCTGCAGGGCCTGTCGGGGAACACCATGTTGGGTGTGGGCCACGTGGTGACCACCAGCATCGGCATGTGTGACATTGATATTCGCCCGGTGAGGCCAGGCCGGAGCTGAGGCTCGGCAAAGGGGCCCAGGGGAAGTGGGGAGACGGGGTTGGGGGGCTGCCCCCGCAGCTCACTCCTTCTCCCTGCTCTCAGGGCCTGTACGGGAGTGTCATTGTCACCGGCGGGAACACACTGCTGCAGGGCTTCACTGACAGGCTCAATCGAGAGCTTTCCCAGAAGACCCCACCGGTAGGAGCCCACCCCTGACCCAGAGCCCTGGACACCCGTCCTGGCTCAGCTGTCCAGGACTGAGTCCCTTCATCCTTCCCATGTCCTTCCTTCTGTTCTGGCCACCAGAGCAGAACCCCTGCCCCTGTGGCTTCCCAAGTCTTCCCCTCTCCCCCAAGCCCTGTCCCTTCCCAGAACCTAGGTGTCTGCTTCCCCCAGCCCCTTTTTACCCCCAGAGCATGCGACTGAAACTCATTGCCAGCAACAGCACCATGGAGCGCAAGTTCAGCCCCTGGATCGGGGGTTCCATCCTGGCCTCACTGGTGAGAGGAAAGGGACCTGGCCTAGCACTGACTGTGGGGGAGAGGGGAGACCCAGACAGTGCCCGCCACTTTGACTGCCTCTTCGTTCATTCATTCATTCAACAAACATTTAGTTTTGAGAAATGTCAGTCAATGAATGTTCCCAGAAGGGTGAACAGGACACAAATCGGGGGGCAGGGGCCCGGTATGGTGGCCCACACCTGTCATCCCAGCACTTTGGGTGGCTGAAGTGGGGGGATGGCTTGAGGCTAGGAGTTGAAAACCCAGCAGGGGAACATAGCAAGACCCATCTCTACTTTTACAAACTGGGGAGAAGAGGCTGCGCACAGTGGCTCATGCCGGTAATCCCTGCAGTTTGGGAGGCCGAGACGGGTGGATCACTTGAGCTCAGGAGTTCGAGACCAGCCTGGCCAACATGACGAAACCTTGTCTCTACTAAAAATCCAAAAATTAGCCAGGCATGGTGGTGCATGCCTGTAATCCCAGCTATTCAGGAGGCTGAGGCAGGAGAATCTCTTGAACCCAGGAGACGGAGACTGCAGTGAGCTGAGATCGTGCCACTGCACTCCAGCCTGGGTGACGCAGTAAGACTCTCAAAAAAAAAAAAAAATTGGGAGTAGAGGGACAGGTAGTTGGAGAGATTGGTCAGGATGAGATTTTGGTGATACACCCACTGTGCTCAGTCAGCAGAGGGGAGACCCTGATGTTTTGGGGCAAGGGAGTGATGTGGCAATGCAGGCATGATTGGAAAGACTGCCAGGCATGAGTCTTTGGGGTCGGGGTATGAGCTGGGGTCAAGGGGACCTTACAAGGAGGCTGTTTTGATTGTCCCGGAGTCATAGCATGGGTAGCAGTGGGGATGGGGTGGACAGCAAGGGGCAACTAGTAAAGGAGGCAGGCAGGTTGGTTCTGGGGCAGGAGGTGGTAAGTTCAGTCTGGACCTGCTGCTGGGTTCGAAGGAAGGTACTGAGCAGGGAGCTGGAGTTGCAACCCGCATCTGGAGGGTATCAGTCACACAGAGGGGACAGTGGGGCCATGACAGACAAGGAGGACATCCACGAGAAAGGAAGTCCCCCAGGGAGACAGAAACCAGGGTCAGAAAGACAGAGGCTGGCAGTCTGAACTTAGCTCAGGGCTGAAGCATGTCAGCCACACAGTTCTTGTTTTTTTCCTTTTTTTGTTTTTGTTTTTGTTTTCGAGACAGTCTCACTGTCGCCCAGGCTGGAGTGCAGTGGAGCAATCTTGGCTCACTGCAACCTCCATCTCCTGGGTTCAAGCGATTCTTCTGCCTCAGCCTCCCGAGTAGCTGGGATTACATGCGTGAGCCACCACGCCTGGCTAATTTTTGGATTGTTAATAGAGATGGGGTTTCACCGTGTTGGCTAAGCTTGTCTCAAACTCCTGACCTCAAGTGATCTGCCCATCTTGGCCTCCCAAAGTGCTGGGATTACAGGTGTGAGCCACCATGCCCGGCCTGAAATTAAGTATTAATAATATATCCTGGACAAGTGGAGTGGCTCACACCTGTAATCCCAGCACTTTGAGAGGCCAAGGCGGGAGGATCATTTGAGCCCAAAATTTCTAGACCAGCCTGGGCAACAAAGCGAGACCTCATCTCTACAAAAAATTTAAAAAGCAACTGGCAATGTGGCGCATACCTGTAGTCCCACCTACTTGGGAGGCCAAGGTTGGAGGATCACTGGAACCTGGAAGGTTGAGGCTGCAGTGAGCTGTGCCACTGCATTCCAACCTGGGTGACAGAGCAAGATCCTGTCTCAAAAAAAACCCAAAAAAATTGGGTGTGTATTTTCCACTTAGAGCACGTCTCAATTTGGACCAGGGCTGGTGAGCTACAGGAAGCTAGTGGCCACTGCATTGGACAGCACATGTGTGTAGGCTGAGAAAGATCAAAGAAGCCCAGCCGTGGTAGCTCACGCCTGTAATCCCAACATTATGGGAGGCTGAGGTGGAACGATTACTTGAGCCCAGGAGTTTGAGACCAGGCTGGGCAACATAGTGAGACACCATCTCTACAAAAAATAAAAATTAGGCTGGGCGCGGTGGCTCACGCTTGTAATCCCAGCACTTTGGGAGGCCGAGGCGGGCGGATCATCTGAGGTCAGGAGTTTGAGACCAGCTTGGCCAACATGGCGAAACCCTGTCTCTACTAAAAATACAAAAATTAGCCGGGCGTGTTGGCACGCGCCTGTAATCCCAGCTACCCAGCAGGCTGAAGCAGGAGAATCGCTGGAACCTGGGAGGCGGAGGCTGCAGTGAGCCAAGATCGCACCACTGCATTCCAGCCTGGGCGACAGAGCAAGACTCCATCTCAAAAAAATAAAATAAAAATAAAAATAATTAAAATTAAAATTTTAAAAAAATAGAGAGAAGGGACACTCTGAGATGCTCATTGCAGGAACCCTCAAGGGGCAAGTTGTAATGCCGAAGGCTGCAGATGGGGTGCCACAGTGTTGGAATGGTGAGGTGGAGGGAATATCTTCCTTGGGAAAGAGGGAGACTGGCGGTGTTCCAAAGCCCTGATGGAGTGAGAAGAGGACACCTGGTGGGGAAGGACTGTGTGTGTGTAGGGGGTGTTGAGTGCCAGGTGCAGGTTGCCTGGCCTGGGGCTGTGCGTGCCATCCCCCCAGCTCAGGAACAGGGCCTAGCTCAGGGCAGAGACTGCTGTTCAATAATACTTGTTGAATGAATGAATTATTGATTGAATGATATGAAGAGGATACTCTCCCTCTGAATATGAAAGGGGACAGACCGAGGAGGGGAGGATGAGGTGGGGAGGGGCTTCAGAGGGATGTGAACCCAAGGGGTGGTTGGGGCCTGTTGGAGGATTCCCAGGGGCTGCACCTGCCTGTCCACACCTCCCTCCAAGGCCACCCTGACCCTGATATTACCCCCTCCACCCAGGGCACTTTCCAGCAGATGTGGATCTCCAAGCAGGAATATGAGGAGGGCGGGAAGCAGTGCGTGGAGCGAAAGTGCCCCTGATGGCACTCCTCCCCACACACCTGCTCCCAAGCTCAGATGGAAGTCCCTTAACCCCCATGCCACATTGCCCCCCTCCTCCTTTCCCTCTTGTCCTCATTAATGGTGATGTTTCTGGGTTGAAAGAAGTAAAAATGTTTTAAGAAAAAAAAGTTTGGCCTCCGTGGGGTGGGGAGTGGGCACAGGGGTCTGGAGGGAGGTGAGGGGAGGGAGTCTCACTTCTACACCCATGCCGATCCCACAGTGGGTGCTGGGACACAGCCCCAGGGGCCATGGATTCCTCAGGTTTCCTAGGGGTTGTGACCCAGGGAGGGCCACATGACGAGGACCGGGGGTTGGGGGAGTTGCTGGGGGCTAACAGTTGTGGTGGGAGGTGGGAGGGGCTGCAGGGTGCAGTGGAGGGGCACGGCCTGGGGTGAGTGTGGCAGGAGGTGGGTGGAGCAGGAGGTGAAGCCTGGATGGGCGGAACAGGAGGTGGGGCCTGGTGGGCGGGGCCTCAGCGTAGGCCTTAGGTCTCAGGGGAGCAGCACGCCTGAGCACCCCAGGACCTGCGCTCAGGTGAGATGCGCTATGCCTTCCTTCCTGGGGCTCTTGGTGGTGACAGACATGGGGCGGGGACTAGGGCGCTGGTGCATCCCAGCAGCTCGGAACTTCTCTGGACCTGAGTAGGAGCTGATGTTTCCCAGGGGAAACCCGAAAGGGAAACTTGGTGGGACCCTGAGCCCTCCTCTTCAGAGCTACTTGTCTTGGGGCCCTCGGAAGGGTTTGGGGACCTGCGCCCCCTGCCTGTTTAGCAGTTTATGCCTGTGACATGTTTCTGGGGTGAGGCTAACTGGCCTTTCATCAGCCTCAGAACCCAAAGAGGTAGAAACCCATGTGATCCAAGTCCTTCGGTGACCAAACGGGCCGGTGCCCAGGGAGGACCATGACTTGTCCAGGGTCACCCAGCTCTGCCCACACCTTGGCGGGGACTCTGATCACTCCTCCCCACTGACCCACATATCCCTGACCCCAGGACCCCTATCTGGGAGCTCTCGCTGGTCTCATCTGACCATGTGCTCCCACCTGTGCCCCTCCTTCTCCAGCAGCCAGCAGGAGTCTGAGAACGACCTTTCAAAAGAGACACACATGCACACCACCAGACCAGACCCCCAAGTCACACCACTGTGGTGCCTCCAGCTTAGAATGCCACTGGGGCAAGTGTCAGGACAGGGAGGACAGCTGATATGTCACAGGACCGGGGCACTGGGGGACTCTGAAGGCCAGATGAGGAAGGGGCAGATGTCTTAGGGGTGAATCTTCCACCTGGGCATGGCGGGGCTTAGGAAGGGGTCCCCAGGATCCAGGGAGGGGTAAAAGCAGGAGAGGGGAGGGGGCACCCATGTCTCTGCCCTCCCCCACTATCGGCCCCCTTCCCCCACCCCTGATGGGAACTAGGAGGCCAAAGTCCGCCCCAAGGTCAAAAAATTGATTGTTTTGCAGGGAGGAGGCAGGCGTGGGGCTGTGGAGAGATTGGCAGGGGAGAGCACAGCCCCTTGTGCTCTGGCCTGGACCCGGGGGCCACGTCTGGAAGGCTGGACTGAGGCCAGGACTGTGCCCCCACCCTTGGGGGTGGTGAGGAGCAGCCTTGGTTCAGGCTGCCTGCCAGGACTGATAAGGGGCCCTCCTAGGGCTCCCACAAACGGTTTATCGGTTTATCGCTGGGGGACAGCCTGCAGGCTTCAGGAGGGGACACAAGCATGGAGCGGCTTTGGGGTCTATTCCAGAGAGCGGTAAGACTAGTGGGATTGGGAAGACCCCTTAGGCCTTCTCTCTAAGTCCCTCAGCCCCCTCCCAAGCCCCTGAGGCTGGCCCCTCCTGGACCGTGTCCTGACCTCGCTTCTTCCCACCCCTGCCCCTCCCCCACGCCCCCACCACCATGCTCATTTGACACCCCCAAGTCACTGACCTCATTATTGCCAGATGCCTCCCCACCCCCCAGGCCTCTTGCCCCAATCTCATGCCCACCTCGCCTGCACAGCAACAACTGTCCCCAAGATCCTCTCAGACCGTCTACCAGCGTGTGGAAGGCCCCCGGAAAGGGCACCTGGAGGAGGAAGAGGAAGACGGGGAGGAGGGGGCGGAGACATTGGCCCACTTCTGCCCCATGGAGCTGAGGGGCCCTGAGCCCCTGGGCTCTAGACCCAGGCAGCCAAACCTCATTCCCTGGGCGGCAGCAGGACGGAGGGCTGCCCCCTACCTGGTCCTGACGGCCCTGCTGATCTTCACTGGGGGTGAGAGCCGTCCCCCTCCCCAGAAGTGAAGGGCTTGGGCTGGGGGAGATTTCTGGGGTCCAGAGGTGGGCATAAAGAGAATCCCCATCTTGCCACCCGCCAGCCTTCCTACTGGGCTACGTCGCCTTCCGAGGGTCCTGCCAGGCGTGCGGAGACTCTGTGTTGGTGGTCAGTGAGGATGTCAACTATGAGCCTGACCTGGATTTCCACCAGGGCAGACTCTACTGGAGCGACCTCCAGGCCATGTTCCTGCAGTTCCTGGGGGAGGGGCGCCTGGAGGACACCATCAGGTAGGGATGGCCCTGCCCCATCCTGTTCTCGAGTGTCCCTCCCCTCATCCGCTCAGACTGGGCCTCCCTGCCTCCTGGCCCAGGCCTCTGGTGTCTGGGTCCCCCTCCTGAGTCCTCCCATCTGCCTTCCTGGCCCCCCTGTTCAGCGGTCCTGGGAAGGATGGCAGGCATTCGGAGCTGAGGTTCCAGGGGACTGAGGCTCTGAGGGTGGCATATTTGGGAGGTGAGGGAGCTGACTGTCTGAGATCAGAGGGGTGCAGCATCCAGTATCAGACTGGACAGACCCAGAAAAGCCTTGAATGCCTCACCCAGGCGCCTAGATTTGGAGCAGGGAGCGCTGAGGGGTTCTGAGAAGCCGCATTCTAGGGAATCAGAAAACCAAGCAAGCAAGCCTGGGCAATACGATGAAACCCCGTCTCTACCAAAGAAAACACAAAAATTAGCTGGGGATGATGGCGAGTGCCTGTAGTCCCAGTTACTTGGGAGCTTGACGGGGGAGGATTGCCTGAGCCGGGGAGGCGGAGGTTGCAGTGAGCCGAGATTATGCCACTGCACTCCAGCCTGGGAGACAGAGCGAGACCCTGTTTCAAAAACAAAATAACGGCAGGGTGCGGTGGCTCAGGCCTGTAATCCCAGCACTTTGGGAGGCGGAGGCGGGCAGATCACTAGGTCAGGATATCGAGACCATCTTGGCTAACACGGTGAAACCCCGTCTGTACTAAAAACACAAAATATTAGCCGGGCATGGTGGCGGGCGCCTCTAGTCCCAGCTATTCGGGAGGCTGAGGCAGGAGAATGGCTTGAACCCAGGAGGTGGAGCATGCATTGAGCCGAGATCACGCCACTGCACTTCAGCCTGGGCAACAGAGCGAGACTCCATCTCAAAAAAAAAAAAAAAGAAAAGAAAAAAAGAAAAACAAGTAAGCAAATGCATTTGTGGGTGCAGATCCAAAAGCTAGGTCCACCCATAGCCCTCTTTTGGGACGGGAGTAATTTTTCAGTGGATTCGCCTGGGTTTTCTAAGTAGGTAATCAGCTAAGCTACAGATAGTAGGAGATGGAGATTCTCTTTTCCAATGCTTATACCTTCTACGTTTTTTTTTTTTTCATTTCTCATTGCATTTGAGAGGACATGAATTTAAGGTAACCGTGGCAGTAGGTATCCTTGCCTATTTCCTGACTTTAATAGCAATGCTTTTATAATACTTTGCCATTGACAATGAACTTTGCTGTGCTCCAGACAGCTTTTTAAAATTGAATTAAGGAAGTTTCCTTTCACTCCTAGCTCACTGAGACTTTTATTGATTGATTGATTTTTTGAGACGGAGTCTCCCTCTTATCACCCAGGCTGGAGTGCAGTGGTGCAATCTTGGCTCACTGCAGCCTCCGCCTCCCAGGTTCACGCGATTCTCATGCCTCAGCCTCCTGAGTAGCTGGGATTACAGGTGTGTGCCATCACGCTTGATTAATTTTTGTATTTTTTAGTAGAGACAGGGTTTTGCCATGTTGCCCAGGTTGGTCTCCAACTCGTAAGCTCAAGCGATCTGCCAAAGCGCTTCGGCTTCCCAAAGTGCTGGGATTACAGGCATGAGCCACAGCACCCAGCCTCTTCTTTAATGTTTATATAGTAATTTGTGTTAATAGATTTCCTTATCTTCCTGAGCTCAACGCTAACCTTGATCAAGGTGTATGATTACTCTTTTGATATGTTGCTGGATTCACCTGCTGAAAGACCTTGAGTCTGTGGAATCAACAATGTTCAGGGCTTTATTTTTTTGAGATAGGGCCTCACTGTCACCCAGACAGTGCCGAGATGATAGCTCACTGCAGCCTCCAACTCCTGGACCCAAGTGATCCTCCCACCTTAGCCTTTCAAGTAGCTAGGACTACAGATGTGTGCCACTATGCCCGGCTATTTTTTTTTTTTTTACTTTTTTTGAGACAGAGTTTCACTGTTGCCCAGGCTGGAGTGCAGTGGTGCGATCTCGGCTCATGGCAACCTCCACCTCCCAGGTTCAAGCAATTCTCCTGCCTTAGCCTCCCGAGTAGCTGGGATCACAGGTGCCTGCCACCACACCCAACCAATTTTTTGTATTTTTAGTAGAGACGGGGTTTCACCATGTTGGGCAGACTGGTCTCAAACTCCTGACCTCAGATGATCCACCCACCACGGCCTCCCAAAGTGCAGGGATTACAGGCATGAGCCACCATGCCCAGCCTAATTTTTAATTTTTTTTAGTAGAAACGAGGTCTCCCTATGTTGCCCAGGATGGTCTCAAACTACTGGCCTCAAACAATCCTCCCACCTCAGCCTCCCAAAATGCTGGGATTATAGGAATGAGGTACCGCACCCAGCCTGCTCAGGGCTTTTAAATTAAATTACAGGTCAGGCATGGTGGCTCACACCTGTAATCCCAGCACTTTGGGAGGCCGAGGTGGGCAGATCATGAGGTCAGGAGATCGAGACTATCCTGGCTAACATGGTGAAACCCCGTTTCTACTAAAAACACAAAAAATTAGCTGGGCGTGGTGGCGGGCACCTATAGTCCCAGCTACTTGGGAGGCTGAGGCAGGAGAATGGCATGAACCCGGGAGGCGGAGCTTGCAGTGAACCGAGATCGCGCCACTGCACTCCAGCCTGGGCGACAGAGCAAGACTCTGTCTCAAAAAAACAAAACAAATACAAAATTAGCCGGGCGTAGTGGCGCATGCCTGTAATCCCAGCTACTCGGGAGGCTGAAGCAGGAGAATCGCTTAAACCCAGGAGGCGGAGGTTGCGGTGAGTCAACGTCGTGCCATTGCACTCCAGCCTGGGCAACAAGAGTGAAACTCCATCTCAAAAAAAAAAAAATTAAATTACATTAATTTTTTTTTGAGACAGGGCCTTGCTCTGTCACCTAGGCTAGAATGCAGTGGTGCAATCTGGGCTCACTGCAGCCTCGATTTCCCAAGCTCAGGTGATTCTCCCATCTCAGCCTCCTGAGTAGCTGGGTCTACAGGGAGGGGCCACCACGCCCAGCTAATTTTTCATTTTTCTTTTTTCAAAATTATTATTATTATTTAGGGACAGGATTTATTTATTTTTATATATTTGCAACCAATTCTCACTCTGTTGCCCAAGCTGGAGTACAGTGGCATGATCTTAGCTCACTGTAACCTCCGCCTCCCGGCTTCAGGTGATTTTTGTGCCTCAGCTTCCCAAGTAGCTGGGACTACAGGCGTGAGCCACCATGCCCAGCTAATTTATGATTTTTTTGTTTGTTTTTTGTTTTTTTCTTTTTTTTTGTGAGACAGAGTTTCACTCTTGTTGCCCAGGCTGGAGAGCAATGGCACGATCTTGGCTCACTGCAAACTCCGCCTCCCGGGTTCAAGCGATTCTCCTGCCTCAGCTCCCCGAGTAGCTGGGATTACAGTCATGCGCCACGACACCCAGCTAATTTTGTATTTTTAGTGGAGATGGGGTTTCTCCATGTTGGTCAGTCTGGTCTCGAACTCCTGACCTCAGGAGATCCACCCACCTCGGCCTCCCAAAGTGCTGGGATTACAGGTGTGAGCCACTGCGCCCGGCAATTTATGTATTTTTTTTAGGGACAGGGTTTCATCATGTTGGCCAGGCTGGTTTCGAACTCCTGGGCTCAAGCAATCCTCCTACCTTGGCCTCCCAAATTTCTTGGATTACAGGCGTAAGCCATGGTGCCCAGCCTGTTCAGGGCTACTTTTATTTTTTTGAGCAGTATTTGGTCATCTGGGTACAGGCTGAGCAGGTAGATAGTTTGACAGGTCTAGAAGCGGGGTGTGGCACTGAGGCAAAAGTAGCAGTTTTGGGGAGAGAGCAAGGATGTTGCAGTGAGCCGAGATCGCGCCATTGCATTCCAGCCTGGGCAACAAGAGTGAAACATGGCTCTCGGTGGGATGGAGAGGGAAGAGAAAGTGGGGGGAGATGATACATGTGGAGCTATAGGACATTTGTCATGTTCAATGGGGTTGAAGAGCAGGTACAGCGAGGATAACTGGGGGAGTTGGAACCTGACAGGGTCTACTCAGAGAGTAGGATTCTGGATCCTTGAAAACTTCCTGATACAATATATCCTGTCTATCTCAGAGTCTCCAGCACCTACCACAATGCCTGGCACTTACTAGATGTTCAGTAGATCCTCAATGGATAAGTATTCCAGAGATGGAGTGCGGGTAATGACAAGATGCAGGATACGGGCCAGGCACAGTGGCTCACGCCTGTAATCCCAGCACTTTGGGAGGTCAAGGCAGGTGGATCATCTGAGGTCAGGAGTTTGAGACCAGCCTGGCCAACATGGTGAAATCCTGTCTCTACTAAAAATACAAAAATTAACTGGGTGTGATGGTGCATGCCTGTAATCCCAGCTACTCGGGAGGCTGAGGCAGGAGAATCACTTGAAACTGGGAGGCAGAGGTTGCAGTGAGCTGAGATCGCACCAATGCACTCCAGCCTGTGAAACAGAGCAAGACTCCATCTCAAAAAAAAAAAAAAAAAAAAAAAGATGCAGGGTGTGACCAGGGAAGTGGAGTGCCTGGACTGGAGGTGACAATGATGAAGTAATTAATTCATTTATCCAACAAGTATTTTGGGGCATCTACTACGTGGCAGGTACTAAGCTAAGCAGGTGGTGGTGAGATAGAGACTAAAACAGTCTAACTTTGTTCTCATGGTGCTTACAATCCACTGGAGAAAACCAATACTAAACTAACAATCATTCACGACTACATAATTATGACTGGAATCATTGCTTTGAAAGAAAAGCAAAGGATGTGAGGCTCAGTGTGGTGGCTCACACCTGTGAGCCCAGCACTTTGGGAGGCTGAGGTGGGAGGATCTCTTGAGCCCAGTTTGAGACCAGCCTGGGCAACATAGAGAGATCCTGTCTCTTAAAAAAATAATAATAATTTGACCAGGCACGGTGGCTCACACCTGTAATCCCAGCACTTTGGGAGGCCAAGGCAGGTGGATCTCCTGAGGACAGGAGTTCGAGACCAGCCTGGCCAACATGGTGAAACACTGTTTCACCCTTTTTAGGCTCTACTAAAAATACAAAAAAAATTAGCTGGGCATGTTGGCGGGCACCTATAATCCCAGCTACTTGGGAGGCTGAGGCAGGAGAATTGTTTGAACCTGGGAGGTGGAGGTTGCAGTGAGCCAAGATTGCGCCATTGCATTCCAGCTTGGGCAACAAGAGTGAAACTCCATGTCAAAAATAATAATAATAATAATAATAATAATTTTTTAAAAAAGAAAAATAAAAAATTAGCCCAGTATGGTGGTGCATGCCTAGAGTCCCGGCTATTCAGGAGGCTGAGGCAGGAGGATGGCTTGAGCTTAGGAGCTGAAGGTTGCAGTGAGCTATGGTCATGCCACTGCACTCCAGGCTGGGTGACAGAGTGAGACCCTATCTCCAAAAAAAGAAAAGAAAAGGGGCCGGGCGCCATGGCTCATACCTGTAATCCCAGCATTTTGGGAGGTGAAGGTGGGCTGATTGCCTGAGGCCAGGAGTTTGAGACCAGCCTAGCCGACATGCCGAAACCCTGTCTCTACTAAAAAAATACAAAACTAGCTGAGTGTGGTGGTAGGCGCCTGTGGTCCTAGCTACTCAGGAGGCTGAGGCAGGAGAATCACTTGTACCCAGGAGGCAGAGGTTGCAGTGAGCTGAGATTGCACGACTACACACCAGCCTGGGCGACAGAGCGAGACTCCGTCTCAAAAAAAAAAAGAAAGAAAGAAAGAAAAAAGAAAAGAAAAGTGTGTAAAGAAAGACTATAACCAGGATCCTGATTTAGATTGCAGTTCAGGGAAGGCTTCGTTGAGGAACTGACGAGTCTAAACTGCCAAGATGAGTAATTTGCCAGGCAAAGAGACTGTGGAAAAACATTCAGGCTGAGATTCACCATTTGCGAAGGGTCTGAAATGTGAAGATGGTGGCCTCTTGGAGGAAGGGAAAGATGGTCCATGTGGCCGGTGAGGTGGATGTAGCTCAGGCCCTAAAGGGCCTTACTGGCTACTTTAACTGTTTTGAATTGAATTTTCCTGCCTCATCCCTGAGTGATCCTCCCCACTCCCCTCCCCATAAGCACCTTATCTCACGCTTTTGATGTGTAGCTTTAAATACACATATGGGGCGGGTCGTCATGGTTCATGCCTGTAGTCCCAGCACTTTGGGAGGATCGCTTGAGGCCAGGAGTTCAAGACCAGCTTGGGAAACACAGCAAGACTTCTCGTCTACAAAAAATTTTTAAAAATCAGCGGTTGGTGGCGTACACCTGTAGTCCCAGCTGCTCAGGAGGCTGAGGCGGGAGGATGGCTTGAGCCCAGGAACCGGTGATTCCCCTGAGTACCTTGGTGTAAAGTGTCTCCATGAGGCCCACGTGGAGGATGGGGGAGATGAGGAGGGTCTGCTGCCTGCCCAGTTAGCTCTTTCGAAGGAAAGTGTTTGGGTGCTGTGTGTGTGTGTGTGTGTGTGTGTGTGTGTGTGTGTGTGTGTTGACGTCGGGAGGAACGAGGTTGGGGGAGAGAGTTTGGCTTGAGCCGGGAAGAACCTACAGGATGATGGGCAGGACCCCCAGCTATGGGAAGTCAGGTTTTAAGCAGAGTGAGGTCCTGAGAGTCTCCGGCGCCGCCCTGGTGGTGATGGGAGAAAATGGGTCCGCGGAGGGCCCTGCACTGCGGCTCGCGCCTGTAATGCCAGCACTTTGGGAGGCCGAGGCGGGCAGATCACCTGAGATCAGGAGTTTGAGACCAACCTGGTCAACATGGTGAAACCCGTCTCTACTAAAAATACAAAAATTAGCCGGGCGTGATGGCACGTGCCTGTAATCCCTGATACGAGGGAGGCCGAGGCAGGAAAATGGCTTGAACCAGGAAGGCGGAAGTTGCAGAGAGCCGAGATTGGTCCACTGCACTCCAGCCTGGGCGACAGAGCGACACTCCGTCTCAAAAAAAAAAAAAAAAAAAAAAAAAAAAGCGTCCGCGGGGAGCGCTCTTTTCCTAAACTCAGGAACCCCTCGCCGCCCCTGCCCCTGGCGACCCCACGTCTCTGGCATCCTTCCCTCTTCCCTCCCTCTCCTCCGGGCGCCCAGAAAAGTCCCCACCTCTCCCCGCTTAGGCAAACCAGCCTTCGGGAACGGGTGGCAGGCTCGGCCGGGATGGCCGCTCTGACTCAGGACATTCGCGCGGCGCTCTCCCGCCAGAAGCTGGACCACGTGTGGACCGACACGCACTACGTGGGGCTGCAATTCCCGGATCCGTGAGTGCGCGCGCGGGCGGGGGGCGCGCGGGGAGGGGGACGCGGCTCGGGGCGCTCACCAGCCCCGCTCCCCAGGGCTCACCCCAACACCCTGCACTGGGTCGATGAGGCCGGGAAGGTCGGAGAGCAGCTGCCGCTGGAGGACCCTGACGTCTACTGCCCCTACAGCGCCATCGGCAACGTCACGGTGAGCACCCCCTGCCCGCTCCTAGGATGGGGCGCGGCACGAGCCCTTTCCTGGGTCTCGAAGGAGGGACGCGGGGAGCGCGCCTCACCGTCCTCGTGTCCCCAGGGAGAGCTGGTGTACGCCCACTACGGGCGGCCCGAAGACCTGCAGGACCTGCGGGCCAGGGGCGTGGATCCAGTGGGCCGCCTGCTGCTGGTGCGCGTGGGGGTGATCAGCTTCGCCCAGAAGGTAAGTGTCCCTGGACAGAGGGAGGGCTTGAGCCCGGGAACCGGAGGGTCGGACTGCCAGTGAGAATCGTTCAGGGTGCTGTGAGAGGGAGACAGGAAAGAACCATGTGGCTGGATGGTAAGAAAATATAAGCTGGGCACGATGGTTCTCACCTGCAATCCCAGCACTTTAGGAGGCCAAGACAGGAGGATCGCTTGAGGCCAGGAATTCAAGGCAACACGGTGAGAACCCCCTCTCTACTAAAAAAAAAAAAAAAAAAAAAGGTTCTTTTTTTTTTTTTTTTAGTTAGCTGGGCTGGTGGCACATGCATGTGGTCCCAGCTACTCCGGAGGCTCCGGTGGGAGGATCGCTTGAGCCCAGGAGTGCCAGGCTGCAGTGAGCTATGATCGCGCCACTGCACTCCAGCCTGGGCAAGAGAGACTCTGTCTCAAAAAGAAAAAAAAAAAAAAGAGAGAGAAACAGAGAAGGGAGGGAGGGAGGGAGGAAGGAAGGAAGGAAAATGTTGGCTGGTCTGGGAATTGAATCAGAAGGAAAAAAGAAAATGTTGGCTGGGAACAAATTGGGTGTTGGGGGAAATCAGATGGGGAAGGGAACAGAAACATGGGGTACCCTGGAGCCCGGTGGGGTTTGAGGGCTGCCTAGGAGCTGCTGAGGTTGGGAAGACACAGGCCAGGTAGTGCCCCCACATCCTCTCCGTGGGATGGACAGTTGCAAGCAAAGGCCTTGCCATTTCCTGGTTTCTCCTGCCCTTATGAATCGGGTTTTTTTCTGGGAGGAGTCCTCTAGTCACCTTCCTCCCCAGGTGACCAATGCTCAGGACTTCGGGGCTCAAGGAGTGCTCATATACCCAGAGCCAGCGGACTTCTCCCAGGACCCACCCAAGCCAAGCCTGTCCAGCCAGCAGGCAGTGTATGGACATGTGAGTCTGGGGAGGCTGGTCGTGCTGTTCCCAGGTCCCGAGGCCACACCTTCTTGCTCAGAATAGGGCTGGCATGTTTTTCGTTTTTCCTGGAAGCCCAGCTCGCAGCTTTGCGTGGGCACCCCTTTCCCTGCAGGTGCACCTGGGAACTGGAGACCCCTACACACCTGGCTTCCCTTCCTTCAATCAAACCCAGTTCCCTCCAGTTGCATCATCAGGCCTTCCCAGCATCCCAGCCCAGCCCATCAGTGCAGACATTGCCTCCCGCCTGCTGAGGTGAGGGGAGTGTTGGGGACCAGAAGAGGAGGAAGCAGAGAGAGGAAGGCTGCAGCGAGGCCACAGGGTGATTGTGGGTGAACTAGAAAAAGGTGACTCTTGTTTAAGCCTGCAGTGAGCCATGACTACACCACTGCACTCCAGCCTGGGAGACAGAGAGACCCTGACCTTTTTTTTTTTTTGAGATGGAGTCTTGCTCTGTCTTCCAGGCTGGAGTGCAGTGGTGCAATCTTGGCTCACTGCAACCTCCACCTCCCGGGTTCAAGTGATTCTTCTGCCTCAGACTCCAGAGTATCTAGGATTACAGGTGCCCCCCCACCACGCCCGGCTAATTTTTGTATTTTTAGTAGAGGGTTTCACCATGTTGGCCAGACTGGTCTCGAACTCCTGACCTAGTGATCCGCCCATCTCGGCCTCCCAAAATGCTGGGATTACAGGTGTGAGCCACCATGCCTGGCCGGGACCCTGACTCTTTAAAAAAAAAAAAAAAAAAAAAAAAAGTGACTCTTCTGGATGGACACAGCCTTTCTCCAGGGTCTACTGTCTGGCAACTAAAGTTCCCACTGGATTGCACACCTACCTCAGCTGAGAACCATCCAAGGCAGCCCTGACTGCACTGCCCTACCCAGGCAGCGTCCAGAGGCAGCGATCTGGAGCCAGAAAGGGTGGGAGGGAAAGAAATAAGGAAAAGAGTGATTTGGACTCTTCTGGGTCTCTCTACAACTTCCCCCTTTCTGCCTTCCTCCTCTCCAGGAAGCTCAAAGGCCCTGTGGCCCCCCAAGAATGGCAGGGGAGCCTCCTAGGCTCCCCTTATCACCTGGGCCCCGGGCCACGACTGCGGCTAGTGGTCAACAATCACAGGACCTCCACCCCCATCAACAACATCTTCGGCTGCATCGAAGGCCGCTCAGAGCCAGGTATGCTGTGTGTCCAGTATCACTCACAGCTGGTGGTGGGCTGGGGGAATTTCTGCCCATACACCCTGGCAAGATAGGGGGCTGGTGCAGGAGGCCCCAAGAGGGGACAGGAGTGGTGCCCAGAGGAGGGAAGCTGGCAAGTTGAGGCTGAACTGGGTCTGATGGTGGCAGCAGTGAACAGACCTCACCTTCCAGCCTGTCTAGTGATGGAATGGGGGTTGTTGCCCAGTAGTGAGCTCCCCAGCACTGGAAGTGAGTAAGCCTAAGTTGGATGATGTTGTAATAGAAACTCAAGCATGGGCCGGGTGTGGTGGCTCACGCCTGTAATCCCAGCACTTTGGGAGGCCCAGGCAGGTGGATCACTTGAGGTCAGGAGTTTGAGACCAGCTTGGCTAACATGGTGAAACCCCGTCTCTACTAAAAATACAAACATTAGCTGGGCCCGGTGGCATGCATCTGTAATTCCAGCTATTCCGGAGGCTCGGACAGGAGAATCACTTGAACCCAGGAGGTGGAGGCTGCTGTGAGCCGAGATTGTGCCATTGCACTCCAGCCTGGGCAACAGAGCAAGACTTTGTCTCAAGAAAAAGAAAAAAAAGAGAAAGAAAGAAAGAGAGAAAGAGAAAGAAAAAAAGAAAGAAAGAGAGAGAGAGAAAGGAAGGAAGGAAGGAAGGAAGGAAGGAAGACTCAAGCATGAAAGAAAGATCAGATCAGATTAGATAGAAGCATAGATGGCCCTTTCAAGCATAGCTAGATGTGGATGGCAGTGGAGAATTAAAATAAGTAATTGACAGATGGGGCAACAAAGCCAAGACTTCACAAAAAATTTAAAAATAAGAGAAATTGGCTGGGTGCGGTGGCTCACGCCTGTAATCCCAGCACTTTGGAAGGCCGAGGTGGGCGGATCATGAGGTCAGGAGATCGAGACCATCCTGGCTAACATGGTGAAACCCTGTCTACTAAAAATACAAAAAAATTAGCTGGGCATGGTGGCAGGCGCCTGTACTCCCAGCTACTCAGGAGGCTGAGGCAGGAGAATGGCGTGAACCCGGGAGGTGGAGCTTGCCGTGAGCCAAGATCGTGCCACTGCACTCCAGCCTGGGCAACAGAGCGAGACTCCAAAAAATAAATTAAATAAATAAATAAGTAAGTAAGTAAAAGAAATTAGCCGAGCATGGTGGCACACATCTGTGGTCCCAGCTACTTGGGAGGCTCAGGCAGGAGGATGGCTTGAGCCAGGGAGTTTGAAGCTGCAGTGAGCTATGATCACACCACTGCACACTCCAGCCTGGGTGACAGAAACCTTGTAAGTCCAGAATGACCTCAGGCACCCAGCTGAAGGAGCACACCATCCAGGAAGGGCCAAGTGGGGAGGGGCGCCCTCTTTAGGGACTGGAGGGACTGCAGGGCTAGGGTTGCCGGAATTGTGATGGGCTGAGAGACACAGGCAGATGGAGGATGCCCCCAGGGTGCAGGGTGCAGTGTCAGAAGTGGGTCCCAAACATCCCCTCCCCAGATCACTACGTTGTCATCGGGGCCCAGAGGGATGCATGGGGCCCAGGAGCAGCTAAATCCGCTGTGGGGACGGCTATACTCCTGGAGCTGGTGCGGACCTTTTCCTCCATGGTGAGCAACGGTAAGGTCAGGGCCAGGGCCTGGGCCTGGGCTAGGCAGCGGTGGGCCTGTGGCCCGAGGAGGATAGGGCAGAGAGGCAGTGAGGGACACAGACTGGCCAGTGGTCACTTGGACCTCGGCATCCACATTGTACCTGAGTGGCCCTGGGCCAGTCACTTCACCTCTATTTCGTCACCTAAAAATGAAAGTGAGGCCGGGTGCGGTAGCTCACGCCTGTAGTCCCAGCACTTTGGGAGGCCGAGGCAGATGGATCACCTGAGGTCAGGAGTTTGAGACCAGCCTAGCCAACATGGTGAAACCCTCTACTAAAAATACAAAAATTAGCCAGGCGTGGTGGAGGGCGCCTGTAATCCCAGCTACTAGGGAGGCTGAGGCAGGAGAATCGCTTGAACCTGGGAGGCGGAGTTTGCAGTAAGCCGAGATCGCACCACTGCACTCCAGCCTGGGCAACAGAATGAGCCTCCTTCTAAAAAAAAGAAAGAAAAGAAAAGAAAAAAAGTGACATGAATGATAATCATAGTCCATGGGTCTGTGTCAAGATTAAGCATGTTGGGCTGGACGTGATGGCTCATGCCTGTAATCCCAGCACTTTGGGAGGCCAACACAGGAGAATCGCTGGAGACCAGGAATTCAAAACCAGCCTGGGCAACATAGGGAGACTGCATCTCTACAAAAGTTTTTTAAAAATTGGCTGGACTTAGTGGTGCATGCCTGTAATCCCAGCTACTTGGGAGGCTGAGGCAAGAGGATGACTTGAACCTGAGAGGTCAAGGCTACATTGAGCCATGATTGCACCACTGCACTCCAGCCTGGGCGAGAGAGTGAGATCCTGTCTCAGAGAGAGAGACAGAGAAACAGAGACCCTGGGGGACCAGGACAGAAGAAGACAAGGGGAGGGTCTTTGCTTGGCCCCTGCTAAGCCTGTCCTCCTTCCCCTCTGTCCCCAGGCTTCCGGCCCCGCAGAAGTCTCCTCTTCATCAGCTGGGACGGTGGTGACTTTGGAAGCGTGGGCTCCACGGAGTGGCTAGAGGTGATACGGGGTCCCGGGCAGGTCGTTAGGCATTGGGGAGAGGTGGGGGTGGGGGGTTCCCACTCCACACTGGTCACCCACCCACAGGGCTACCTCAGCGTGCTGCACCTCAAAGCCGTAGTGTACGTGAGCCTGGACAACGCAGTGCTGGGTGAGCTGGGGCAGTGCCACCACCTGGCCCCCTGGGGTCCACCCTTGCCTCTGGGGCTGAGCCCTGAGCCTGGCATCCCTCCCCTCCCCTTTTTCCAGGGGATGACAAGTTTCATGCCAAGACCAGCCCCCTTCTGACAAGTCTCATTGAGAGTGTCCTGAAGCAGGCAAGAGCACCCCAGGAATAGGGGGTGAAGGGGAGTAGGTTGCGGGGAGGAGCAGAGCCTGATCAGTGCCCTTCCCCAACCCCCAGGTGGATTCTCCCAACCACAGTGGGCAGACTCTCTATGAACAGGTGGTGTTCACCAATCCCAGCTGGGATGCTGAGGTGTAAGTTGGGGGGGTAGGGAGAGCTGGGGAGGGATGTGGGGGAGCCTGAACCCACAGATCGCTCCAACCCACCTGCCCCCAGGATCCGGCCCCTACCCATGGACAGCAGTGCCTATTCCTTCACGGCCTTTGTGGGAGTCCCTGCCGTCGAGTTCTCCTTTATGGAGGTGAGACGTCCTCCCCCTGCCCCAGACACAGCGCTAGTCCTTCAGCCTGTCTGCCTCCGCCCCAGCGTCCACCCTGTCCTGGCAGGACGACCAGGCCTACCCATTCCTGCACACAAAGGAGGACACTTATGAGAACCTGCATAAGGTGCTGCAAGGCCGCCTGCCCGCCGTGGCCCAGGCCGTGGCCCAGCTCGCAGGGCAGCTCCTCATCCGGCTCAGCCACGATCGCCTGCTGCCCCTCGACTTCGGCCGCTACGGGGACGTCGTCCTCAGGCACATCGGGAACCTCAACGAGTTCTCTGGGGACCTCAAGGTTCAAGAGGCCCACCCCGCTCTTGGTCTCTGGGAGTGGGAGGCACTGCCCAGGCCAGGGGGTCCAGCCCCTTCTCTCTGCATTCCCTGGGGTCTAGGTCCTCTCTGGCAATCCAGCCCATTAACCCCCTGCCTCCAGTCTCCCAGCCCCCAGCATGTGCCATCGCCCAACCTGGCAGGTGCAGGATCTTCTCCCCACTCCCTTCATCCTGCCTCCAGCACTCTGTCCTCGTCTACCTCCTCCCTCCTGCGGCCAGGGGTCCCAGCCCCCTTCCCCATGCTAGGCGGGGGTCCTTGTCCCCATGCTAGGCGGGGGTCCTGGCCCCTGCCGCCAGCCCCAGCCCGCGCCTCCCCACCCCAGGCCCGCGGGCTGACCCTGCAGTGGGTGTACTCGGCGCGGGGGGACTACATCCGGGCGGCGGAAAAGCTGCGGCAGGAGATCTACAGCTCGGAGGAGAGAGACGAGCGACTGACACGCATGTACAACGTGCGCATAATGCGGGTGAGGCCCCGCCCTCCTCGCCCCGCCCCCAGTGTCCCGCCCCTCCCCTGGGGCTCCACCTCCTGGACCTGGCCCCGTCTGCGCGCTCCTCTCTCTCCCCGCCTACACAGTCCCGGTCCTCTGGATGCTCTCTTCCCAGTCCTGGACACGCAGTGCTCATAGATCGGTCAGGCTGGAGGACCCGAGCGATCAAAGTGATGAAATGGACAGGGAGGGCCAGCCTCTTGGCCACAGTCGCCTGGTTTACGCCTGGCAGAACTGGGACAATCCACCCTCCCCCACCCCTCCCCGCTGACTCCCCTCCTATAGCTCCCACTGCCTCCTCGACCCTTCTGGAAAGAAAAAGCATGTCCACACTGGTCCACAATACGAGGTTACAGGCTGGGAAGTGCAGAAGGCTAAAGATATTCAGAGTAAGAGAGCTGTTTTCCTTCTGATAATGAAATGGGTGAAATCCAGAAAGGCTGCCTGGAGGAGGTGTCACGTGAAAGTTAAACAAGAGCTTATTCCCTCACCAATCCCTTCTGCTTAGCTTTGAATCCTTTGCAGCCCACACCCCACCTCCAGTTCCAACTCCTCCACTTCCTTCCATTTTCTTACTCCAAGAACTCAACCCCTCAACCCTTTGATGTCAAGAAATGGGTGAGTAGGGACTGTGGCC
Source organism: Homo sapiens (assembly GCF_000001405.40). Taxonomy (NCBI): domain Eukaryota; kingdom Metazoa; phylum Chordata; class Mammalia; order Primates; family Hominidae; genus Homo; species Homo sapiens. Next base: position 100,626,101 of record NC_000007.14, on the reverse strand, counting down.
ATGGGGAAAGGTCTGCAGGGCAAAATAGTAAACAGGATCATCCTCAATGAGTGTGGGGTGAGCTGGGAACTGCAGTGTACACAGAGCCACTTGTGCACACACACTCACGGTTTTCAGAGCCAGCATGGCTACCCCTTGGAGGCTCATGTTATCTCTCCTCCTTGCATTTTCCTGCTTGTGCCCTCTGCCTGTCCCCCTTGGCCATTTACAAACCTATTGCTCTTGCTCGTTCTCCCTTGCCCAGACTAGAGTGCAGTGGCACCATCTCTGCTCACTGCAACCTCCAACTCCTGGGCTCAAGTGATCCTCCCACCTCAGCCTCCCTAGTAGCTGGGAGTACAGGCACGTGCCATGACGCCCGGCTAAATTTTTCTATTTTTTGTAGAGACAGGGTTTTACCATGTTGCCCAGGCTGGTCTCAAACTCCTGGCCTCAAGTGATCCTCCTGCCTCGGCCTCCCAAATTGCTGGGGTTACAGGCGTGAGCTACTGAACCTGGCCTTCTCCTCTCCTTCTTATATCTCTTTCTCCATTCATTCTTCTTTAACCTTTGCCTCCTCTACTGGAACAGGGGTGACCCTGGGGTGAGGCAATAGGTTGGGTATGGTTCATTCTCATTCACAGATCTTGGTTTAACCTCAGCTGTGTCAGCATGCAGAAGACAAAAACACCCACCTTTCAAAGTTGCCATACCCCTGTCCCCACCAGGGATAAAAGGGACCTGCGTGTAAGATGCATGACTTAGGCCAGGCACGGTGGCTTACGCCTGTAATCTCAGCACTTTGGGAGGCTGAGGTGGGCGGATCACCTGGGGTCAGGAGTTCGAGACCAGCCTGACCAACATGGAGAAACCCCGTCTCTACTAAAAATACAAAATTAGCTGGGCATGGTGGCACACGCCTGTAATCCCAGCTACTCAGGAGGCTGAGGCAGGAGAATCACTTGAGCCTGGGAGATGGAGGTTGCAGTGAGCCGAGAGCACGCCATTGCACTCCAGCCTGGGCAACAAGAGCGAAAATCCATCTCAAAAAAAAAAAAAAAAAGAAAAAGAAAAAGAAAAAGATGCATGACTCAGGCTCAGGGATGGAGAGGGAAGGACTCAGGACTTCAGAGCCTGCAATACAGGATTGGGCCAGACCCAGTGAATTTTATGGCTCTAGACCAGGGGTTGGTGAACTACTGCCCATTGGCCAAATTCAAACTGCCGCTTGTTTTTTTGTTTTTTTTTTTTCTGAGACGGTCTCACTCTGTTGCCCAGGCTGGAGTGCAGTAGCATGATCTGGGCTCACGGCAACCTCCACCTCCCGGGCTCAAGCAATCCTCTCACCTCACCTCAGCCTCCTGAGTAGCTGGGACTACAAGGACACACTACCACACTCCGCTAATTTTTAAAATTTTTTGTAGAGATGGGATCTCACTATATTGTCCAGGCTTGTCTCAAAATCCTGGGCTCAAGCGACTCTCCCACCTCAGCTTCCCAAGGTGCTGGGATTACAGGCGTGAGCCTCTGCTCCCTGTTTTTGTAAATAAAGTTTTATTGAAACAGCCATGCTTATTGGTTTTCACGCTCTCTATGGCTACTTTTGTGTAATAGCAGCAACGTTAAGTAGCTGCAATAAAAGCAGCATGGCCTGCAAAATCTAAAATATTTACTATCTGGCATTTCACAGAAAAAGTTTGCTGACCTTGGCTTTAGACTGTGACTTGGATCTTGAAGAACAGGCAGGATGTGGATTGATGCAAAGTAAAGAGGACATTTCAGGGTGGAGAGACCAGAATTCGGGTGTGGCAGTGAAATCAGTCTGGTTTTACTTGGAAGCGGGGTGTGGACCAGCAGAGCCAGAACAGGGGCCCCATGAAGAGGCAGAGGGGAGGGGACCACCAAATGTGGTGTTATCGATCAACTGTGGGGAGCCTCGAACACCAGGATTAGAAGTTTGGATGTTAAGGGTCTTAGCATCAAGGAAATTAGAGAGGTTTTTGAGCAGAGAGGTGATGTGAGCAAAGGGGAGTTTTTATTTTTATTTATTTTTCTTTCTTTATTTTTTGGAGACAGTGTCTTAATGTCACCCAGACTGGAGTGCAGTGGCGCGATCCCGGCTCACTGTAACCTCTGCCTGTCGGGTTCAAGTGATTCTCCCACTTCTGCCTCCCGAGTAGCTGGGACTACAGGCGCGCACAACCATGCCTAATTTTTTTTTTTTTTTTTTTTTTTGGTAGAGAAGGGGTTTCATCATGTTGGCCAGGCTGGTCTTGAACTCCTGACATCAAGTGATCTGCTCACCTCAGCCTCCCAAAGTGCTAGGATTACAGGCGTGAGCTACTGCGCCCGGCTGGGAGTTTTTGTTTTTGAAATGAGGTCTCACTGTGTTGCCCAGACTGGTATTGAACTCCTGGGCTCAAGTGATCCTCCCACCTTGGCCTCCTGAGTAGCTGGGACTATAGGTGCACACCACCACACCCGACTAATTTTTTATTTTTATTTTTGTAGAGATGAGGGTTTCCATACATTGCCCAAGCTGGTCTCAAACTCCTGAGCTCAAGTAATCCTCCTACCTTGGCCTCCCAAAGTGCTGGGATTACAGGCAGGAGCCACCATGCTGGACAACAAAGTAGAGTTTTTAGGAGTGATTTTGGTCAGATTGCAAATGTCTTGAGAGTGGCAGGTGGGAGCAAATGCTCATAGGTGGGGACTGGACCGATGTCAGGTGTTTAGAAGGAGAAATTGACAGATTTGATGTTGAGGGAAGAGGAGGAGAATAATAATAATAGTTGTCTTAGAATAGAAGAATAATAAAATAGCAGTTGCCATTTGTTTTTGTTTGTTTTTTGAGACGGAGTCTCGCTCTGTCACCAGACTGGAGTGCAGTGGCACGATCTCGGCTCGCTGCAACCTCCGCCTCCCGGGTTAAAGCTATTCTCCTGCCTCAGCCTTCTGAGTAGCTGGGACAACAGGCATGTGCCACCACACCCAGCTAATTTTTGTATTTTTAGTAGAGACGGGGTTTCGCCATGTTGGCCAGGATGGTCTTGATCTCTTGACCTCGTGATCTACCCACCTTGGCCTCCCAAAGTGCTGGGATTACAGGCATCAGCCACTGTGCCCGGCCTGTTTGTTTGTTTGTTTGTTTGGTTTTGTTTTCTGAGACAGAGTCTTGCTCTGTCACCCAGGCTGGAGGGCAGTGGCACGATCTTGGCTCACTGCAACGTCCGCCTCTTGGGTTCAGGCTATTCTTGTGCCTCAGCCTCCTGACTAGATGGGATTACAGGGACACATCAGCATACCTGGCTAAATTTTTTGTATTTGTAGTAGAGACAGGGTTTTGCCATGTTGGCCAGGCTGGTCTCAAACTCCTGACCTCAGATGATCCACCCGCCTCAGCCTCTGAAAGTGCTGGGATTACAGGCATGAGCCACTGTGCCCAGCTGCAGTTACCATAGTAGAAGGTTACCACATGCTAGAGGATTTATTTCATTTGCTTCCCCCAGCGCTGAGGTTGCTAGTATTATATCCAGAAACTGGGGCTAGGAGAGGCTAAGAAACTTACCTGAAATCATATAGTTAGTAAGTGGAAGAGCCGAAATTGGAGGCCAGGTAGTCTACCTTCAAAGCCTGTGCTCACCCCATGCTCACTCCCCTTTGAGGGTGACAGCTTGACACCTGCAGAAAGCCATGGGCCACATGAGTGTGGGCCCAACGCCCAGGTTTGGGAAGAGATCGGTACTGATATGTCCAGGTGCTCCCAAACCCAGTGGGGAGGTCCAGATGGCTGGAGGGCAGGATTCCAGTGGGTCACTGGGTGGGGAGATTTGGCATCTGTCCCCACAGAGGTCCTGGTTGACATCAGGGGCACAGATGAGCTCTGTGAGTGAATGATGGAGGCCTTAAAAAGATGTGAGCATCTGAAAATCAGCTGGGTATGGTGGCACGTGCCTGCACTCCCAACTACTCAGGAGGCTAAGGCGGGAAGATCACTTGACCTCTGGGGTTTGGGTTGCAGTGAGCTGTGATTGCACCACTGCACTCCAGCCTGGGTGACAGTGAGACCCTGTCTCTAAAAATAAAAGATGTGAGCATCTGAGATCACCCCCTAGAGATTCTGATTTTACTGGGGCGGTGCCCAGGCAATGATAATTTAATAGGTACAGAGAAGAGGGAGGTGGAACTTTGAGACCTGCCCACGGGTGGAAGCAGAACAAACCAGAGATGGGGCTAGGAGAGGCTAGGAAACTAGGAGAGGCTGGCAGAAAGGAGGGAGGAGATTAGGTCAGGAGCAAGGCCGTCTCAGGAAAGACGGAACAGCAGCTGCGTCAGAGGGAGGAAAGCCAGGCTTTTCATGAGGACTGGACTGTCCCCTTGACCTTCGTCTCTGGGCTGTGGACATTGGTGGGGGTGGAGAATGACTCGGTGTGGGGAGGTGTGGTGTTAAGAAGGGAACAGCAGGGCGATAGATTGTTCTTTGAGGCTTTGAGCATTCACTGAATGGGTGAGGAAGGAAGACTCGGGAGAACTACATGCAGGCTTAGGGGTTCTAGAGATAGAAGGGGAGGCCTAGCGTGGTGGCTCACACCTGTAATCCCAGCACTTTGGGAGGCCAAGGCGGGCGGATCACTTCAGGTTAGGAGTTCGAGACCAGCCTGGCCAACACGGAGAAACCCCGTCTCTACTCAAAATACAAAAATTAGCCGGGCGTCGTGGCGGGTGCCTGTAATCCCAGCTACTCTGGAGGCTGAGGCAGGAGAATCGCTTGAACGCTGAAGGCGGAGGTTGCAGTGAGCCGAGATCGTGCCACTGCACTCCAGCCTGGGAGACAGAGCGAGACTCCGTCTCAAAACAAACGAACAAACAAAAAACAAACACAAAAAGAAAACAAACAAACAAAAAAACAAAAAGACTGGCTGGCGGGAAGGGTGACTCGGGCCTTTGCTCCCGAGCCAGAGCCCCCAACCCTGACCTGATCCCCCTCTCTGCGCAGGTGGAGTTCTACTTCCTTTCCCAGTACGTGTCGCCAGCCGACTCCCCGTTCCGCCACATCTTCATGGGCCGTGGAGACCACACGCTGGGCGCCCTGCTGGACCACCTGCGGCTGCTGCGCTCCAACAGCTCCGGGACCCCCGGGGCCACCTCCTCCACTGGCTTCCAGGAGAGCCGTTTCCGGCGTCAGCTAGCCCTGCTCACCTGGACGCTGCAAGGGGCAGCCAATGCGCTTAGCGGGGATGTCTGGAACATTGATAACAACTTCTGAGGCCCTGGGGATCCTCACATCCCCGTCCCCCAGTCAAGAGCTCCTCTGCTCCTCGCTTGAATGATTCAGGGTCAGGGAGGTGGCTCAGAGTCCACCTCTCATTGCTGATCAATTTCTCATTACCCCTACACATCTCTCCACGGAGCCCAGACCCCAGCACAGATATCCACACACCCCAGCCCTGCAGTGTAGCTGACCCTAATGTGACGGTCATACTGTCGGTTAATCAGAGAGTAGCATCCCTTCAATCACAGCCCCTTCCCCTTTCTGGGGTCCTCCATACCTAGAGACCACTCTGGGAGGTTTGCTAGGCCCTGGGACCTGGCCAGCTCTGTTAGTGGGAGAGATCGCTGGCACCATAGCCTTATGGCCAACAGGTGGTCTGTGGTGAAAGGGGCGTGGAGTTTCAATATCAATAAACCACCTGATATCAATAAGCCACCTGTTGACATCTGTTATTGATAAGCGCCTTCATGCTTCTTCCTCACCCTCATGCCCATCCCATCCCATCATCCCTTCCTAGAGACCTAGGGAATTGGGCAGAAGGGACCAGAGAGGGTGCACACAGGAATGCTGTCTCCACGGGGAAAACCGAGCTGTTTCTATCACTCAAGGAAAATGCCTAAGGAAATACTGAAGGCCCCTTCTCCAAAGACCACCATAAAGCAGGTGGTCTTTGGAGAAGGGGCCTTCGGTATCTTTTTTTATTTTTGAGACGGAGTCTCACTCTGTAACCCAAGCTGGAGTGCAGTGACACAATCTCGGCCCACTGCAACCTCCACCTCCCGGGCTCAAGCGATTCTCCTGCCTCAGCCTCCTGAGTAGCTGGGACTACAGGTGTGCACCACCACGCCCGGCTAAATGTTTTCGTATTTTAGTAGAGACGGGGGTTTCACCATGTTGCCCAGGGTGGTCTTGAACTCCTGAGCTCGGGCAATCTGCCTACCTCAACCTCCCAAAGTGCTGGGATTACAGGCATGAGCCACCACACCTGGCCAGTATCTTGTCCTGGGATGAGGAATGGTTACATAATTTGCAAGACCTGCTGCAAAATGAAAATGCAGGACCCCTTGTTCAAAAGCAGAAACAAGCTGGGCACGGTGGCTCATGTCTGTAACCCCAGTGCTTTGGGAGGATGAGGCGGGAAGGTCATGTAAAGCCAGGAGTTCAAGACCAGCCTGGACAACACAGGGGAGAACCTGTCTCTACAAAAACTAAAAAACTTTAGTTGGGCATAGTGGTGTGTACTGTACTCCCAGATACTCAGGAGGCTGAGGCAAGGCAGGGATAATTTGAGCCCAGGAATTTCAGGCTGCAGTGAGTTATGATCGAGCCACTACACTCCAGTCTGGGTGACAGAATGAGACCTTGTCTCAAAAAAAAAAAAAAAAAAGGAACAAAGCTTTTTTTTGTTTTTGTTTTCTACAATTTCTCAACCTGTCATGGTATTCTTTTATTTGATATTTAATGTTGCACTCCTTTGGATATGGGGACACACTTTCAAAACATAAATTCATGCTTGAACCCGGGAGGCAGAGGTTGCAGTGAGCCGAGATCATGCCACTGCACTCCAGCCTGGGTGACAGAGCAAGACTCTGTCTCAGGGTAACAAAAATTATTAGGAATTTCAAGGTTGGCACAGTGGCTCACGCCTGTAATCCCAGTACTTTGGGAAGCCAAGGCAGGCAGATTGCTTGAGCATAGGCGTTCCGGAGCAGCCTGGGCAATATGGTGAAATCTTATCTCTACAAAAAGTAAAAAAATTGCTGGGTGCGCTGGCTCACGCCTGTAATCCCAGCACTTTGGGAGGCCGAGGCAGGTGGATCACGAGGTCGGGAGATCGAGACCATCCTGGCTAACACGGTGAAACCCCGTCTCTACTAAAAATACAAAAAATTAGGTGGGCGTGGTGGCGGGCGCCTGTAATCCCAGCTACTCGGGAGGCTAAGGCAGGAGAATGGCGTGAACCCGAGGGGCGGAGCTTGCAGTGAGCCAAGATCGCACCACTGCACTCCAGCCTGGGCAACAGAGCGAGACTCTGTCTCAAAAAAAAAAAAAAAAAAAAATTAGCCAGGTGTGGTGGCGTGCACCTGTAGTCCCACCTACTCTAGGGTGCTGAGGTGGGAGAATTGCTTGAGCTTGGGAGGCGGAGGTGGCAGTGAGCCAAGATCATGCCACTGCACTCCAGCCTGGGCAACAGAGTGGGAGAGTGGAACCCTGTCTCAAAAAAAAAAAAAAAAGAAAAAGAAAAAGAAAAAGAATGTCAACATAACAATCTCAGAGCATTAAACCCCAAGCACAGAACCCCCTTCTGAGCATGGGGCCCTGTAAGACTCCAACAGTGGTTACACACATTAGATGATTGGCCCTGCCTGGAACATCCTCCAGGATCCCCCCGCCTCCTTTTTTTTTAGACGGAGTCTCGCACTGTTGCCCCAGGTAGAGTGCAGTGGCGCGATCTCGGCTCATGGCAACCTCTGCCTCCCAGGTTCAAGCAATTCTCCTGCCTCAGCCTCCCTAGTAGCTAGGATTACAGGTGCCCGCCACCACGCCCAGCTAATTTTTTGTTGTTGTTGTTGTATTTTTAGCAGAGACAGGGTTTCACCATGTTGGCCAGGCTGGCCTCGAACTCCTGACCTCATGATCTGCCCTCCTTGGCCTCCCAAAGTGCTAGGATTACAGGTGTGAGTCACCATGCCTGGCCAGGATCCCCTTTGACCAGTCTTTGTCCAGTGAGGGTGGAGACACTGAAGTGTAAGCTACTGGAGGCAGGGAATTCTAAGTGCTGCTGGCACCGTGTGCCTTTAATCACAGCTTCAGGAGGCTGTGGTCTTGACAGCTCTTCAAGACACTGGGAAGTAAAAGCTTCTTGGTCTAAGGCTTGGGATGCCACAGGGCTCTGGATTTCAGGATGCAACTGTACCCTCCTTAGCCCCCTAAGCTTGACTTGTTGAGTTCTCAGAACCCTGAATTAGGATCAGAAACCTCCTGAGCTATTTGCTTCCCTGAGATACAGTCCAGACAAGTGTCCCAAAGCACCTTCTCAACCCTTCTTCACTTTGTCCATTTCTCCCTGTGGTAGACAGAATAATGATCTGGACAAAAATGTCCATATCGTAATCCCTGAAACCTGTGAATGAAGTCCCTAAAACGGACATTGCACATGTGATCTTGAGATGGGTGAATTAAGGATCTTTTGGTTTGTTTCCTTACTTATCGGAAATTTTTAATTTTAATTCAGCCTCCAGAGTAGCTGGGATTGCAGACATGAGCCACCACGCCCAGCTAAGTTTTTGTTTTGTAGAGATAGAGTCTCACTATGTGGCCCAGGCTGGAGTGCGGTGCTGCAATCATAGCTTATTGCAACCTCAAACTCCTGGGTTCAAGAGATCCTCCCACCTCAGCCTCCTGAGTAGCTGGGACTGCAAGTGTGAGCCACCATGCCTGGCTAATTAAAAAAAAAAAAATGCCAGGTGTGGTGGCTCATGCCTGTAATCCCAGCGCTTTGGGAGGCTGAGGTGGGCCTGAGGTCAGGAGTTTGAGATCAGCCTGGCCAACATGGTGAAGCCCTCTCTATAATTATACAAAAATAAGTCAGGGGTGGTGGCGCACCTCTGTAGTCCTAGCTACAAAGGAGGCTGAGGCAGGAGAGTCACTTGAACCCAGGAGGTGGAGGTTCCAGTGAGCCTTGATTGTACCACTGCACTCCAGCCTGGGCGACAGAGCGAGACTCCATCTCAAAAAAAAAAAATTTTTTTTTAGAGACAGGCTCTTGCTATATTGTCCAGGCTAGTGTTGAACTTCTGGCCTCAAGCTCTTCTCCTGCTCTGGCCTCTCAAAGCACTAGGATTACAGGCGTGAGCCCCTGCCCCCAGCCCCTCAGAAAGCCTTCTTGACCACACCAGTAACAAGGTCTTTTCACAAGTACTCACAAGACCATTAACCTATGTGGCACCTCGAATGCGTTTTGGGGACCTGGGCGCATCCAGACTGGTGTGAACGGATATCTTCCATACACATGTAATTTAGCAAAGGGGTTTCCTGGGCTATGGCAAGAGCTGTCCCCAGACTCCTGGACACAAACGGCACACCCATTCTCCATGCAGTATCAGGGCCACACCCCACTGGAGCCAGTTCTGGGTGTGAGAGGGAGAAGACTCCCAGGGTAGTGGAGCAGGTCCCAATGCCCCTAAAGTAAAGCTGGAACAACTGATCACCTTCCAGTGCTGTGACAGCCTGGGTCTGTCTTAATATCTTGCTGATCTTTGTTCCCAGTCAACCATCTGCCCAGAGTCACTGGCTCTCCCTCCTTTTTATTTTTTTTGTAGAAATGGGGTCTACGCTATGTTGTCCAGGCTGGTCTTGAAACCCTGGGCTCAGGCAATCCTCCCACCTTGGTCTCTCAAAGCACTGGGATTACAGATGTGAGCCACTGAGCCTGGCCATTCTCCCTCTTCCTCTGTTTCTCCTCACCCTGCACCTGAAGGAGGGCAGGTGAGCTGGAAGCTTGCTTTTGTAAATCTTATTCTTTTCCTGTACCCTAGTTTTTTCTTTTTTTTTTTTTTTCCTGGTTAAGGTGAGGTTATGTCAAGCAATACTATTTCCCCCATATTGGTAGGGACTTTGGTGTTTCTGATCCATGGGAGTTGAAGCCTTGTTTCTTTTTTTTAGATGGAGTCTTGCTCTGCTGCCCAGGCTGGAGTGCAATGGCACAATCTTAGCTCACTGCAGCCTCCACCTCTCAGGTTCAAATGATTCTCTTACCTCAGCCTCCTGAGTAGCTGGGATTACAGGCACCTACCACCATGTCCAGCTAATTTTTGTATTTTTAGAGACAAAATTTCACCATGTTGGGTGTATTTTTTGTATTTTTAGAGACAAGAGTTCACCATGTTGGCCAGGCTGGTCTCGAACTCCTGGCCTCAAGTGATCCACTCGCCTCGGCCCTGCAAAGTGCTGGGATTACAGGCATGAGCCACTGTGCCCAGCCAAGGGAGTTGAAGTCTTAAAGGAAAGACCCAGGAAAACAGATATAGGGTCCAAAAGGCAGAAAAGGATTCTAGGGGTTGTAAACACCCAGGTAACCCTGGTGAAAGGCTTTGTTGCCTCCAGATGGTGGGACAGGAGTTCCACCGCAGGCAGGATTAGGTGGTATTTTCATTCATTTCTTTTTAGGTTAATACATTGGCTTAGGGACAGGATCCTATTCCAGGGCTGAAGGGGATCTTGAGAATCAACTTGCCCAATGCTCTCATTTTGTAGGTAGAATCTACAGCTCAGAGAAATTAAATAATTTGCTCATGGTCACATAGTTTTTCAGCGCAAGCACCAGGAGTGACCTAACTCTTCTAAATCCTCGCTGGGCCTCATCACTGCCCCAAGTGCCTGGGTCCCCTGGGAACAGGGGTGGGAGAACTAGAGGATGTCTGAGTACCAAAAAAGAAGTGGGAAGACAGGGGCAAGTACCCTACATTTCTGATTATCATTTTAAAAATGTATTTTATTCAACTTGGAAAATGAGTACAAATCCCTGGGTGTTTTTTGTCAGGGAGGAGTGGGGAGTAGGCAGGAAAGAGAAGAGGGTAGGAGGCAAGGTAAGGTATGAGCATCACAGTGGCTGCCTCAAGACCCTGCCCAGGGAGGGTGGGGTGGGCTGGGGGTTGAGCACGGAGCTCAGGTCCGGAGGAACACCATGGTGAGGAGGCCTGGAGGGGGGACAAAGAAAGAATAGGGTCGCATGGGCAGCCCTGGGGCTCTGTTAGCTCTCCTCCCGTCCCTTCTCCCTTTTTCCTGGGGCCTGGGTCCCTGGCCACTACTGTCCTCACCCAAGACGTAGGCGGCCACCAACTTTTGTCCCAGGGAGACGTGCAGGACTTGAGGCAGCTGGCTGCCGAGTTCGTCCGGGAGTGGGAGCAGCAGGAAGGCCACAGACACAATCCCCGTCAGCAAGAAGAGGAGGAAGGAGCTGGTGGCCAGTTGCTGGCGGGGGTCTGAGAAACAAGACTCATCAGATGCTGCAGCCCCCACTCCTGCCCAGCCCAGGTCCTCCAGGGAGAAGCCTGAACAAGGAAGATGTATCTACTTTTTTTTTTTAATTATCTTTTATTTTTTGTAGAGATGGAGTCTCACTACGTTGTCCAGGCTGGTCTGGAACTCTTGGCCTCAGGTGATCCTCCTGCCTTAGCTTCCTAAGTAGCTGGGACTATGGGTTCATGCTACCATGCCCGGCTAATTTTTAAGTTGTTTGTAGATGGTCTTGCTATGTTGTCCAAGCTGATCTTGAACTCCTGGCCTCGAGCAATTGCAATCCTCCCACCACTTCAGCCTCCCAAAGCACTGGGATTATAGGTGTGAGTCACCACACCCTGTATCTACTTTTTTTTTTTTTTGAGACGGAGTCTCACTCTGTTGCACCCAGGCTGGAGTGCAGCCACACAATCCTGACTCACTGCAGCCTCTGCCTCCTAGGTTCAAGTGATTCTCCTGCCTTAGCCTCCCGACTAGCTGGGATTACAGGTGCGAGCCACCACTCCCAGCTAATTTTTGTGTGTTTTTAGTAGAGACGGGGTTCCATCATGTTGGTCAGGCTGGTATTGAACTCCTGGCCTCAGGTTATCAGCCCACCTCAGCCTCCCAAAGCACTGGGATTATAGGCGTGAGCCATCACACCCTGTATCTACTTTTTACTGCCCTCCAGGGGTACACTGCAAGTGTCCTCTCCTTCCTACAGCCTCTGTCCCCACCACCACAAGAACTCTCTCCTCCAGTCCCTCAGCATTCATTTTCTCTCTTCTGTGGACCTATCCGACAGGCAGGGACCTCTCTTGATCTCATACCCAGCACACAACTTGGTACAGGGTTAATTGCTCAATACAGGTTTCTTATTGAACTGAACTGAGCTACCACATGATAGGAAGTACTGCGGTTACAGTCAAGGAAGAACTTTTTCCTCTAAGTAGAAGTCAGAAACCAGGGAAGCTGTAAGTCTTTTCCCCCTCACCTGATATAAAATCTCAACTCGGAGGAATGTTTCCACCAAAAGACAAAAGACTGAACCAGGAGACTTCTTCAAATCCAATTTATCTCATCTCTAGGGAAATGCTAGTTCCTCCCTCCCTACAGAACTCAAGATCCCAGTCTCCCAACTCACGCTCCTGGAAGTGTCTGGCCGTGGGTGGTGGTGTCCCAGCAGGAGGCCCTGGGCGAGGCGCTGGATCTGGCTGTCCCTGAAGCTCAAGGGGGTACGCTGGGGCTCTCAGAATGGAGGTAATGTCCTTGCGTCCCACCACTCGGCCCTCAGCTCCTTCCTCAGACAGCTCAATGCGGAAGCGGTCCTGGACATCATAGTGGCTGGGAATGGGTGCCACATGGCGAATCACACTGGTCCCAAGGTAGGAGAGAAGCCCATTGGGGTGAATGAGGCAGTAATCCAAGGAAATCTGGGCCTCCCCCCAGAAGTCTCTCCCTTAGGGGCACAGGCAGAGGATAGGGCAAATAGGTTAAAGGGGGCAAGGTCTCAGACCTCAGACAACAGGTGGCAGCGACCCCTGGCTTCCACAAGCCTCCCCACCCTCCCAGCTCACTCACATGTCAATGCAAGACTGGGGCTTCACATATCCCTCTGCGTCAAACACCGTGTATTTGGCAGGTGCTGTGCACAGGACTGGGGGATAGAGACACACACAGACAAGCCCTGCCATGTGGGTCATTTAAGTCCCCTCTGCCTTCTGCCCCGGAGGCTGGACATGACTTTCCCAGTCCACCAAAGCTGGACGTGCAACCCTACCCATCTGACTCCTCCAGCCAACACAACCCCCCAGTGTCCGGCCACCAGCCCCCACGAGGCGCCGATCCCTTTACCTCGGAAGCGAAGCGCAGTTCCTGTGGGGTTATAGAGGGTCAGCAGCTGTCGGGGTCCGCTCCGCTGGTCCGCCCTGAATACTAGATCCGGGGGAAAGACCAGGACCGGGACAACGGGTCCCAAGGGAGGAGGGGCGCCCCGGGACCCCCGCCCAGGGGGCCCCGGACCCACCAGCTCCTGGTCCTGGGGCGCCCCACGGCGCATGCAGGCTCTGGGCGGTCGGACATCCGAGGGCAGAGCTCAGGGGACAGGGCCTGGAGTCAGAGCTGGGGGGCGTGAGGGGCGAAAGGGGACAAGATGAGCTCCCGGAGCAGGGCCTCGACTGATGCCGCCGCCGCCTTGGAACCCCGCTAGATGGGGCTCCCGCAGACCCAGGCCCAGGGCCCCCAAGACCTTTCCTCTTCCAGCTCTGCCCCAGGTTCCTTCGGACCCGCCGAGCCCCACCTCGACGGCCACGCCCACCCCGCTAAACCCGGCCCCTCGCAGCTCCCAACCCGGCCTTCTCCTCACGCCCAGCTCACGATCTCCATAAGCCCCGCCCCGCCGCTGGCCTCGCCCCTTCCGGGCGTTCCCGGACGCCCGCCTCCTCTCTCCAGCCAGACTCCGCCCGCTGCAGCGGGCGCCTGCAGAGCGACCTGTGACGCCGCCTGCTTCCTGGGAGACCTGTGTTTGCGTCTCCGGCCCCTCCCTAAGCTCGGACACGGGCCCCATCGGGCTTCTGCCTCAAAACGGTCGCTCGCGTTAGGATGCCCACCTTGTGGTTAAAGCACCTGCCAGTCAGCTTGTGGTCAGATTAATGTTGCCATGTTCCAGAGAGTCCTTTTCTATACTTCCGCCGTACGGCCTCTGTCATTGGCTAGGACGTCTTTGTTTCTGCCGTAACTATACGCCGATTGGTGTGCTGAAAGACCAAACAACGCCCTCCTTCTGTCGTCTGCGATTGGCTGGATTCCGGTGACGTAACAGTTGTACTGGCTCGAACTCGAGCCCTGAAGTAACTCAGAGAACCGGGGGCGGGGTTTCGAACTGGGCTTTGTTCTTTCCTCCCTATTCTTGAGATGGTCCAAGTCAATCTCCCACCGGGAAGCCCTTTTCCTCCTCTTCATTCCAGGCTCTAGAAGCCTCTGCAGGAACCAAGCCTGTTTTCTTTGCTTTTTTTTTTTTTTTTTTGAGACGAAGTCTCGCTCTGTCACCCAGGCTGGAGTGCAATGGCACGATCTCGGCTCACTGCAACCACCGCCTCCAGGGTTCAAGCGATTCTCCTGTCTCAGCCTCCCGAGTAGCTGGGATTATAGGCGTGCGCCATCACGCCCGGGTAATTCTTTGTATTTTTAGTAGAGACGGGGTTTCACCATGTTGGTCAGGCTGGTCTCGAACTCCTGACCTCAGGCGATCCACTTGCCTCAGCCTCCCAAAGTCCTGTAATTACAGGCGTGAGCCACCGTGCCCGCCCTCTTTTTTGCTTTTTTAGAGACAGAGTCTCACTCTGTCGCCCAGGCTGGAGTGCAGTGGCGCTATCATTGCTCACTGCAGCCTCCAACTCCTGGGTTCAAGCGATTCTCCTGCCTCAGCCTCCCGAGTAGCTGGGATTACAGGCGTGCATCACCATGCCTGGCTTTTTGTAATTTTTTGTAGAGACGATCTCGCTATGTTCTGCAGGCTGTTCTCGAACTCCTGGGCCCAAGCGATCCTCCCACTTAAGCCTCCCAAAGTGCATGAGAGCCACTGTTCCTTCCCCAGGCTCAAAGTCTGTTTTCTATGGGTTGGAGGTTCCTCCCATCTGGGACTCCAGACTAAGTCTTGCCTCCTGTTTCTCACCTTCCTGTGAGGGACGTGGGAAATCACTCACATTTGCACAGGGAATTAAGATTTGCTGATTTCAAACCCATGTTGTTTGAGTAATTATATATTTTAAAAAAGGATTTGCTAAACCCTGCCACTTTAATTGCATCGAATCTTCAACTCCTTTTACAGCCTGGATAAGGTGAAGAATCTGGGTCTCTGAGGGCACCCAGTTAGCAATGGAGCAAAGACAAAGTTGATCTTATCTGAAAGTCTCCTCTGAACATCTTGTGTAGAATCCCCGTGTTCTCTTTTACATTTTCTTTTTCTTTTTCTTTTTTTTTTTTTTTTTTTTTGAGACAGTCTTGTGCTGTCACACAGGCTGGAGGGCAGTGGTACAATCATAGCTCACTGCAGTCTCCACCTGCTTGGTTGCGCTCAACCAATCCTCCCACCTCAGCCTTCTGAGTAGCTGGGACTACAGGCGCGCGACTTCACACCCGGCTAATTGTATTTGTTTTTTTTGTTTTGTTTGGTTTGGTTTATTTTTTGAGATGGAGTCTCGCTCTTTCACCCAGGCCAGACTGCAGTGGCGCAATCTCGGACTGCAGTGGCGCGATCTCAGCTCACTGCAAGCTCCACCTCCCGGGTTCACACCATTCTCCTGCCTCAGCCTCCCGAGTAGCTGGGACTACAGGCACCCACCACCAAACCCGGCTAATTTTTTGTATTTTTAGTAGAGATGATGTTTCACCATGTTAGCCAGGATGGTCTGGATCTCCTGACCTTGTGATCCGCCCGCCTCAGCCTCCCAAAGTGCTGGGATTACAGGCGTGAGCCACCGCTCCCTGCCCTGTATTTGTTTTTTTAATAGCACTTATAGTGATACATGACCTCCTATTTTATTGTTTCTCTCTCCTCCAGTAGAATGTTTTTTCCTTTTCACAAGAGCAGGGACTTTGTTTAGTTTTCTGTTGTATCTTTAGGACTTATGACAGTGCCTACCATTTGGAATGAACAAATGAATGAGTGACTAGGATGAACTTTGAGCAGAGATCTGACTGGATTTAGGAAGTGAACCATGAGATATGTCTATGGGAGAGAATTCTGGATAGAGGAAATAGCAAAGGCCTAAAACAGAAGTGTACTAGAAATGGGCAACAAGGCCGGGTGCGGTGGTTCACCCCTGTAATTCCAGCACTTTGGGAGGCCGAGGCGGGCAGATCACAAGGTCAGGAATTCGAGACCAGCCTGACCAACATGGTGAAACCCCGTCTCTACTAAAAATACAAAATTAGCCGGGCGTGGTGGCACATGCCTGTAGTCCCACCTACTCGGGAGGCTGAGGCAGGAGAATCGCTTGAATCTGGGAGGCGGAGGTTGCAGGGAGCCGAGATATCGCCACTGCACTGCAGTCCAGCCAGATCATGCCACTGTGCTCCAGCCTGGGTGACAGAGCGAGACTCCATCTCAAAAAAAAAAAAAAAAAAAAAGAAATGGGCAACAAACTGAAGTTGCCAATGTGACTGGAACAGATGATACATAGGAGATAATAGACATGAAGCTACGAGGCAGGAGAGAGAATGCAGATGATATAGGGCCTTGAACCCTTGGTAAGACTTAGGAAACTACAGGAAAGTTTTGAGTAAAGGAGGGACAAGATGTGACATAATCGGCCGGGCATGGTGGCTCACGCCTGCAATCCCAGCACTTTGGGAGGCCAAGGGGTGTGCATCACCTGAGATTGGGAGTTCGAGAGCAGCATGACCAACATGGAGAAACCCCATCTCTACTAAAAATACAAAATTAGCTGGGTGTGGTGGTGCGCACCTGTAATTCCAGCTAATCGGGAGGCTGAGGCAGGAGAATCATTTGAACCCAGGAGGCGGAGTTTGCAGTGAGCCGAGATTGCGCCATTGCACCCCAGCCTGGGCAACAAGAGTGAAACTCCGTCTCAAAAAAAAAAAAAAAAAAAAAAAAAAAAAAAAAAAGATGTGACATATTTTCTTTTCTTTTTTATTTTATGTTATTTTTTTCAGACGGAGTCTCACTCTGTTGCCCAGGCTGAAGTGCAGTGGCACAATCTCAGCTCACTGCAATCTCCACCTCTTGAGTTCAAGCAATTCTTTTGCCTCAGCCTCCTGAGTAACAGGTGCCCGCCACCACGCCCAGCTAATTTTTTTGTATTTTTAGTAGAGACGGGGTTTCACCATGTTGGCCAGGCTGGTCTCAAACTCCTGACCTCAAGTAATCTGCCTGCCTTGGCGTCTCAAAGTGCTGGGATTACAGGCATGAGCCACCGCGCCCCGCCAAGACATGACATCTTTTCTTTTTACTTTTTTAGAGACAGAGTCTTACTCTTTTGCCCAGGCTGGAGTACAGTGGTGTGATCATAGCTCACTGCAGCCTCAGAGTCCTGGGCTCAAGCAAGCCTCCCACATCAGCCTCCTGAGTAGCTGGGACCACAGATGAGTACCACCATGCCCAGCTAATTATTTTTTGTAAAGACAGAATCTGGCCATGTTGCCCAGACTGATCTCAAACTTCTGACCTCAAGTGATCCTCCCACCTTAGCCTCTCAAAGTGCTGGGATTACAGGCATCAGCCACTGCACCTGGCCTGTGACTTACATTCTTTTTTTTTTTTTTGAGACAGGGTCTCACTGTGTTCCCCCAGGTGGAGTACAGTGGCATAGTCACAGCTCACCGCAGTCTTACCTCCCCGGGATCAAGCGATCCTCACACCTCAACCTGAGTAGCTGGGACTACAGGTGTGCACCACCACGCCTGGCTAATTTTTGTATTTTTTTTTGTGGAGAGGGGGTTTTGCCATGTTGCCCAGGCTGGTCTTAAACTCTTGGCCTCAGCAATCCTCCTGACTCAGCCTCCCATAGTGCTGGGATTACAGCTGTGAGCAGCCACCCCTGGCCACATTCTTAAACGATTATTCTGTATAGTAAATATGTGTTGAGTTAATTAATTAATGAAAAGAAATCCTCAAGATGGACCCCAATACCATAAGCATGGAGATCTGACCCATTCCTCATTAAGAAACATTTATTTGGATAAGAAAGAAGGCCTGAGGGCTAGGGGCCGGGGCTGGCCTGCGTCTCAGTCCTGGGACGCAGCAGCCCGCACAGGTTGAGAGGGGCACTTCCTCTTGCTTAGGTTGGTGAGGATCTGGTCCTGGTTGGGCCGGTGGAGAACCACAAAGCTCTCTGGAGGAAGGACGGGGCCTCTGTTCTCTTCTACCTGGCCCATCAGCAGATAACTGACTCCTGGAAGAAGGAGGGAGGGGTTGAGATCTCTTATTCTTGAGACCTGTCAGCAGGTCTCAAGATTCCACACCTTGATCATTTCTGTGTGGCTTAGCTTGACCCATCCCCATTTCCCCACATCTCTGTTACCTTTCTTCATGGGGGGGCACTGCTTGCAAGGCACGTAAAACTTCAGGGAGGCACCAGTGGGTGGAGAAGGCAGGTCCAGTCCTCCAGTTTTATAAGCACCAATAAGACTGACAGTCACGGCAAGGCCCTCCCCTGGCTCCCGAACCATGGACTTCACTGTCGCAGTCACCACTGTGGGAGAATGGGAGTGAGAGATGAGGAGATGGGAGGTTCCAGATGGCAGGACTGGAAACAGAAGCAGGAGGTGGTTCGAGGAGCTGGAATGGGGTTGGGGGTATTCTTACCAAGGCTGCTGGCACAGAAGTTGCTCTGCAAGGTGCCTGTCCGGCGGCACTGCTTTGGGCAGGTGGGTGCATCTAGGAGGGAGGAGGGTGGAGGGTGACCTGCTCAGCAGGTAGGAGGGAGCACTGTCCCCATAACAGCCTCATTGACTTGAACTGTTCAGAGCTCTGTCAGGCTTCCGGTCCTAGCACCCAGTAGGGGTCATCGGCAGGAAGGAGGCACCAGTGAGTACCAGATGAATCAATGAGTGAATGTAGCCAAGGAAGAACTTTTTTGTTTGTTTAAGATGGAGTTTTGCTCTGTTGCCCAGGCTGGAGTGTAGCGGCACAGTCATGGCTCACTGAAGCCTCGACCTTCCCAGCTCAAGCAATCCTCCCACCTCAGCCTCCGGAGTAGCTATGACCACACGCCTGGCTAAGTTTTTTTTTTTTTTTTGAGACAGAATCTCACTCTGTAACCCAAGTTGGAGTGCAGTGGCACAATCTCGGCTCACTACAATCTCCACCTCCCAGGTTCAAGCGACTCTCCTGCCTCAGCCTCCCGAGTAGCTGGGATTACAGGTGTGTACCACCACACCTGGCTAATTTTTGTATTTTTAGTAGAGATGTGGTGTTGCCATGTTAGCCGGGGTGGTCTTGAACTCCTGACCTCAGGTGATCTGCCTGCCTTGGCCTCCCAAAGTGCTGGGATTACAGGCGTGAGCCACCAGCCCAGCCTAATTTTTTATTTTTGAAAAGACAGGGTCTTGCTATGGTAAACTCCTAGGCTTAAGCGATCCTGCTGTCTGGACCTCCCAAAATGCTGGGATTACAGGTGTGAGCCACAGCCCAGGTCAGAACTTTTTGAAATGGCCCCCTTCAGTCTGTTTCCCCTTCCTCCCCTATCCCAGACTCACCAGGGGCTGAAGGAGATTCCTCTGTTTTCTCCGGAGGTTGGGACTTGGGGGGCAGCTTGACTTTAGGCTCAGTTCCCCGTTTGGGGCCGGGCCCTTGCCCTTCTTTGGCAGTGCCCCGCGGCAGGGTCTTGTAGGAGGCTGAGAAGCCATCAGCGGTGACACTGAGATCTGAGACGAACTGGACGAGGAGTTCATTCCCTTCGGAGGAGATGGAGCTGCAGGTGGCCACCGAGCATTGGGGGAAGTGTCAGGGCGGGCGTGCACCACACTCTTCTCAGCCCCATGACCTTTTTTGTTTGTTTGAGACAGGGTCTCACTTTGTCTCCCAGGCTTGAGTGCAGTGGCTCCATCTAGGCTTACTGCAGCCTTGACCTTCTGGGTTCAAGTAATCCTCCTGCCTCAGCCCCGCAAGTTGCTGGGACTACAGGCACGCCACCATGCCCAGCTAATTATTTTGTATTTTTGGTACAGACAAGGTTGCGCCATGTTGCCCAGGCTGGTCTCGAATTCCTAAGCTCAGGTGATCCTCCCGCTTCAGCCTCCCAAAGTGCTATGATTACAGGCATGAGCCACTACCCCTGGCCAGGTGGCCTTTTAACTTCGTCCCAACTTCGCAGAGCCCCAGTCGCCTCTCTATCCGCGGACCCCAGACCCGGGGCCAAATCTCCTCTTTGCCTGGCCTCCAACCTGCTCCCCTCGCCGGTTTGGAGCCCTGGGGTTCAGATCCCGTCCCTTTAGCTGAACCCCGCCCCTCCAAACAGCCGCGTGCGTGCGGTCCGCCGACTCTCTCCCGGACTCGCCCAGGTCCCGCCCCTCACCCCGGGACTGCGTCGCCGCAGAACTTCCCCAGCCTCCGGGAGTCGTCGCTCACGGCTCCGTTGAACACGCTGACCGAGTCATAGCGGCAGTAGGTGTCCGGCTCCAGGTCAAACTTCTCGAAGGTCAGCGCGATGACCTGGCGGCGGGCGGAGGCGGGGACTGCGCGGCGGGACACCCCTGGGCGCCTGCACCTCATCTCCTACTGGGTGCCTGCAGCAGCTCCCACTCCCACCTCCCGCGTCCTCTGGGCCCCCCTCCTGAAGGCGTTCACACCACAGCACGGAGGACCACACACACCCATGGGACCCTGCAGGGGTGTCGGTCGTCGTGGTTGGCAAGGTCAAGTCCTGGCGCACTCACAAGTGACAGGCCCGCGTGTTATACCAGGACCCTGTACCTCGCTCTCCTGAGACTTGTCTCAGTTGTAATTTTTACATTTTTGTTTGCGTGCATGCAGGGGTTGGGGCTGTTTTGGGTGCCCACCAGCGCAAGCGCAGTGCTCGGGACACAGCAGATCTTCAATAAATCTCTGCTGGCTGCAAGCTGGAGGGCGCCGCCTGGGTCCCCTAGGGCAGCCCGGGGAGGAGGGTCGGTACCTGGTCCGGGGGCGCGATGATGTGCCAGGAACAGCTGATGCCCGGGGGGTAATCGGACTCGGGCCAGTTGGGCGTGGTCAGGGTTCCCTGGGCCTTCTCCAGCCGCCCCCCGCAAAATTGGTGCTCTGGGGAGGGGAGAGAGGAGCGGGGGTGGGGGGCGGTGGAGACCCTCGGTCAGCTTCAGGAGAACTCTAGGCTGGGAGCCCCGGCAGGCAGCTCGGATGTCTGGGGCTCAGGATGAGGGGACGAGAAGAAGGGGAGGTAAGATGGGGGCAGGTTAACAGAGAGCGGCCGGGAGGAGCGCGGCTCGGGGAAGTCTGGGGCCGCAGGGCGCACTGGCGGGCGGTGGAAGCGGGAGGAGGAACTGGCTGGACGCCCCCTTCTGGCCCCTCCCCGACCCGCGGCCGCACCGCGCCTCTTCCCCTAGGAGATCCCATCTCCCCGGCCCTGCAGCAGAGTCCCCTTTCAGGCTGGAGAGGGTGTCCTCGACTTGGGGCACAGCCCCCGAGGACCCCTTTAGGGAGGTCCCCGCCTGAAACATTGCAAGGGAGACTTCTGCCGCCAGGAGGGGGTGATGGGACCGCAATCGGGAGCCCAGGGCTGGGTGTAGGGGCCCCCCGGGGTTGGAGGAACCTAGTCCCCCCAGCCCTGGGGTGCCCCCTCGCGCCCGACGGAGGGAGCCCGATTGCGGACGGGGGCCGGCAGTTACTCACCGTCCCAGTAACCCCAGGCCGCCCATTCCACCCGCGGGTCGGTGACCCATTTCCGCCTCGCGCCTGGGGGGGGCCCTGGAAGAGGGATGGGTGGGTGCGGGAGGAGGGGAGAGAAGACGGGGAGGAGGGACTGAAGGGGCGGTTAGTGAGGAAAATGGGTCAGGGAGGTAGGGGGCCCTAGGCACTGGGGCGCGGGGTGGGCGGGGCGGAGGTTAGGGCTGGGGGCGGGGCTGCGGCCGGGGCGGGGCCTGGAGGGGGGGAAGGCGGAGGTGAGGGAGTTCTCACCAGTGCCCGAGGTGGCCCGCCCGCTGTACCAGAGCAGGAAGCCTCGTCCTCCTGTGCCCTCATCCGTCGTCATCCTCAGGGTCACCTGGTTGCCGGGGGCGACTAGGGGCGCAGGCCGGAAGGTCCCACAAAAGCGTCCGAGCCGCTGGCCGGAAGTCCCAGACCCAGCGAAGACCTCCAGAGCATCGTAGCGGCAGGCGGGGTGCAGCTCCAGGTCGAAGACTCGGAATGAGAGGGACACAGTCTGGCCCTCGGGGACCTGATAGCGGGGACAGAGGCGGGGACCCACAGAGTCAGGCCCCACACAACCCAGCCAGAGGGCAGCTCCCCTGCCCCAAGCGTTTCTTGCAG
Organism: Homo sapiens; assembly: GCF_000001405.40. Classification (NCBI taxonomy): domain Eukaryota; kingdom Metazoa; phylum Chordata; class Mammalia; order Primates; family Hominidae; genus Homo; species Homo sapiens. The sequence goes on along the minus strand of NC_000007.14, from coordinate 100,603,866 downwards.
AAACGGACTGAATGGGAAGGGGCCTCCATGTGAGTGCAGAGCAGAGGGCCTGGTCTCTGCAGCTCTGCTGGTAGCCTGTGCAGGGGACAAGAGCTGAGGCTTTGGAAGAGGAGGGAGGGCCGGGGACTGGAGAATGAAGATTTGAGGGAAGGGTTAAGATGATGCGTGTTACGGTGGGAATGATGCCTTCAGTGACAGAGGGAAGACACTTGGAGCTGCCCCAGGTTGAGAAGGTGGTGCGGGGGGGACGGGGGGGGGGTCCCTTCGCAGTCAGGCCTTTTTGCCTCTGAGACTTTAACAAGGGGTAGTGCCCAGAGGGGTTTCTCACCGTTATGGTCCAGATGCACTCCTTATTAGGGGGGTAGAGGTTGGGGAACCCCTCACTTGCCACGTAACCTGATTCCCCCTTCACATCCCCTCCGCACAGGAACACGGGTCTGGAGAACAGAAAAGGGGTCAGGAAAGAGCAGGGACGGGTGGGACGGGGGAGCACTGGCAAGATGGGGATGAGGTGATGAGGATGAAACTCCAAGGAGGGAAGCTGGGGGATGAAATGGAAAGGCCTTGAGAGACCTGGGGCAGCTTCCACCAGCCAGGACAGGGCTGGGGTGTCCCAGACTCCCACAAAGATAAGGGAAAAGTGGGCCTGGCAACTCGACCATCCCTCCAACCCCAAGAGTCCCCACCCCCACCCCAACAGGAATTCCCGGAATCCTCCTCGGCCCCCCTTCCAGACTCCCGCCTCACTCTGCCTGGCAGTCCAGGGACAGGAGCCGCCTAACTACTTCCAGATGTGGACACAGCCACGAGGCGGTGGGGGGGAGGGGGTGGAGAGATGGAGGGAGCTGCAGTGGCGATGGCCCTCTGATTGAACCTGGAGGCCAGGCTCCGCGAGCTCCACACCTTAGCCCTGCCCCTGTTCCAAACTACTTCAGATTCTGACTCCCAAGTCTCCACTCACTGCCCCCTCCTCCCCCTACAATCCCTCTCGAATTCCTTCCTGGAATCCAGCTACCAGGCAAGTTCAGGAGCTTGGCTCTCTCTTGGGTTCTATGGGGGGTCAAGGATCTGGGTGGGTGGGGAGACTTAAGAGACCAGAGGACGAAGGTGGGGGAATGGGAGCAGTGGTGGCCTGCAGGAGACCAAGGTCTTGCAGCAGATGGGGAGGATTTGGGGGCCAGAGAAGGGTGAGGCGGTGGGGAATCTGGGGAGTGGTGTGTCAGCAAGGGAACCCAAAATATCTCCAGGCATAACCCCAAAGGAATCGGGGGTCTGAAGTTCACTGGAGCTGTCTGGAAGATGCCAAGAGACCTACCTGGTGTAGTTGGGGGTCTGGCCCTGGGCAAAAGGCAGCAGGGCGCAGGCAGTGAGGAGGGGCCCCAGGAGGGAGGCTGTGGCTGCAGGCAGCATGGCCCCGGGGGAAAGGCGCTGGGGTCCTCAAGACAGAGGCAGCAGCTGAATTTTGCAGAGCAGCAGCAGCGGTGGCGGCAGCAGCAGGATAATCAGCGCCAGATGGGGCAGCCTTGGGTGTGTGGGCGTGGGGACTGGCCAGTGGGGCGGGCAATGGGGAAGGCGGGACAGTGGCGTGTCCTGGGACCTCTCTAGGTCTAGGACACATAAATGTTGACCTTAGGAGGGGGAGGAGCAGTGAGGGGCAGAGGCCGTCTCCCAGGCCTCAAGTAACGTCATCGGGAACCCCACTCTGTCCAGTGAGGGAGTATCTCCGGGAACTTCTGAGGACTCCCTAGCCCCCATCCTCCCCCCGCCCCTGCTTCCTCAGCTCAGGAGCCCTCATTGCTCACCCCCTGCCTGACCACCCCTGCCAGCTCATTTTCCACTTCAATTTCTTTTTTTTTTTTTTTTTTTTTTTGAGACAGAGTCTCATTCTGTGACCCAGGCTGGAGTGCAGTGGCGCGATCTCTGCTCACTGCAACCTCCGCCTCCCGGGTTCAAGCAATTCTTGTGCCTTAGCCTCCCGAGTAGCTGGGACTGCAGGTGCATGCCTCCACACCTGGCTAATTTTTGTATTTTTAGTAGAGGCAGGGTTTCAGCATGCTGTCCAGGCTGGTCTCAAATTCCTAGCCTCAGGTGATCCGCCCACCTCGGACTCCCAAAGTGCTGGGATTATAGGCGTAGCCACCACACCTGGCCTCCACTTCACATCTCCATTGCCTTCTCTCCAGACCTGGGCCAGACTAGGCCAAGGAGAAGGAATTCTCACCCATGACCTCTTCCAACTACTTGAAGGTACAGGAAGCAAGGCAGGAGGCATGGGGTGTGGATGAAGGGAGTGTCCTTGTTACTCAGGAAGAGGTGGAAGGAGTAGAAAATAGAGCCCAAACCTGGGAGGTAAACAGAAGGGAGAGAGGAGGGGGGCTGGCTTCAGGCCGAAGGGAGATGGGTGGGAAGCTTTCGGGGGTCAGGAGGAACAGGCTGCCTCAGGATGGGGACAAGTCTAGTGGGCAGGGGATCCCAGTGGGGTAGCCAAGAGCATCTGTGCATAGAGTTGTTCCAGAAGGTAGGGCCAGAACTTCCCAGTCCAAACGACCAGGTGTGCTCTTGGGAGCAGGGAGTGGACAACAATGTGAAGGGTTCAGGCAGCATCAGCTCTGCTGCACCTGAGACCTGGAGCTGCTTGTGCTGCCTGCCCCTGCCTGGGCTCCTGCCCTCCTGCACCCACCAAGCCGGGCACCCACCCACCCCATCCCTGCCCCTGTCCCTCCCAGCCCCCAAGGCTTCCACACCAGGCCTCGCTGCAGCCTTTTATTCTATCCATCAAATCTCTTGTCCATGATAGTCAGGTTGGGGGCCCCTCCTGGGCAGCCCCCTGAACATTCTTACCCTGGTTAGCCGTCCCCACCCCCTAGCAACCCCTTCCCACACGCATGTGCACAATGGTCATTGCTCCTTAGTCCCTGGCCTGGGGCCGGACTCCCTCCTCCAGGGACTAGGCTAGCATGAGGGGGATTAGGTCTCAGGGGCTGGGGGCCCTACACCACCCCCGCCTCCTTCAGCCCTCTGCAGCATGTCCAGGGCCTCCCAGAAGAAGTCCTTCTGTGCGGCCATCAGGGGCATCCACCCTACGATCTCCTTCATCTTCTCCGTGCGGTCCTGCAACGTTTGGCAACTGTGGATCTGGCTGAGGTACTCCTCGCAGGCCTGGGCCATCCCCCCGGGGTCCTGGGGTGCTCTGGCCCCCAGGCTGGGCTCAGGAGTCCCCACCACCCTGCTGGCTGGCAGGTGGCGATAGGGGGCGTGCTGCTCAATGTCGTGGCTGGACAGGATGTATAGGCACTCCCTGGTGGCACAGAGGGCACAGGCACACAGAGGGACCTTGGAGGAGGAGAGAAAGGGGGCATGGCTGAGTGGTGCTTTCCTTGCAGGGTTTCCCAGGGTGCCCGGGCTAATCTGCCTATTGCATTCTTCCCTCTCACACCAGCCCTGAGCCGGCTAAGTCCCAGGGGTGTGTGAGGTTGGGCAAGGCCAGCACAGTCTGCTAAGGGAGAAAGCAGAGAGCGTGGTGTGCGGCAGAGGAGGGAGGTGGGGTGGTGCTAGGGAAATGGGACCCCCTGGGTCCCTGCAGGAGCCCCAGCTACAGCCTGTGGGCTTCCTGGTTCATGGCTCTCATCCTCCCTGGGTGCCCACTCTCCTGACCCCGCTCTGACCTTGACTTGGAGCTTGACGAAGGAGGCACTCCCCTTGGGCCAGCCTGGGAGGCGGCCCCCAGCCCCACAGCCGCAGCCCAGCAGCTCCTTGCTGAACTCTGAGCTCTGGCTCAGCACCAGGGAGTGGTTGAGGCCGCACCACAGGGTGATGGGCCGCTGCAGGTAACAAACCTGGGGACACACGGCCAGGGTCCCTGAGCAGGGAGCACCAAGGGACGGGGGGGCTGGGGTGGGAAAAGGTTGACTGGAAGGCTCGGGGCAGAATGAACTGGGGAGGAGGAAATGGGAGCCAGCACTGTCCCACGCCCCAGGTCTGCCCTGCTGACCCCTGCAGCCCCCATACTCTAACTGGTCACATAGGGTCTTGCACTTCTGTTGGTATCTCATCTATGCCCCCAGAAAATCAGCTCCTTGCCTGAGCCCAGGGCCTGCTGTGGTGTACCCCTCATTCTCAGCCCACCCGTCTATGCCAGTCCAGCCTCTCATCCTGCCTGCCAGCCTCGGGGAGACTTGCTTCTTGTGCAATTCCAGGTTAGACCCCAACACCACCCTGAGGAAGGACTTTCCCTTCCACTATCCCTCCCTTCCTGCTCTAGTATTATCTTTTCTTTCTTTCTTTCTTTTTTTTTTTTTTGTTTGAGACAGAGTCGGAAGGCTGGAGTGCAGCAGTGCGATCTCGGCTCACTGCAACCTCTGCCTTCCTGGGTTCAAGTGATTCTCCCACCTCAGCCTCCCAAGTAGCTAGGACTACAGGTCCTTGCCACCACACCCATCTAATTTTTGTATTTTTAGTAGAGAAGGGGTTTTGCCATGTTGACCAGGCTGGTCTCGAACTCCTGACCTCAGGTGATCTGCCTGCCTTGGCCTCCCAAAGTGCTGGGATTACAGGCATGAACCACTGAGCCCAGCCTCCACTCTAGCATTTTTATTTTCTCTTTTCTTTTTTTAGAGATGGGGTCTCATTCTGTTGCCCAGGCTGAAATGCAGTGGTGCAATCATAGCTCACTGCAGCCTTGACCTCCTGGGCTCAAGCCATTCTTCTGCCTCAGCCTCCTGAGTAGTTGGGAATACAGGCATGTGCCACCACACCCGGCATGTGCCTATAATTTTTAAATTTTAAATTTTTAAATTTTCTATAGAGATAGTGTCTCACTATGTTGCTCATGGTGATCTCGAACTCCGGGCCTCCCACCTCAGCCTCTAGCATTTTTTTTTTTTTTGTAGAGACGGAGTCTCGCTCTGTTGCCCAAGCTGAAGTGCAGTGGCACGATTTCAGTTCACTGCAACCTCCGCCTCTCCAGTTCAAGCAATTCTCCTTCCTCAGCCTCCCGAGTAGCTGGGACTATGGGTGCACACCGCCACACCTGGCTAATTTCTTTTGTATTTTAGTAGAGACGGGGTTTCACCATGTTGCCCAGGCTGGTCCCGAACTCCTGGGCTCAGGCAATCCACCTGCCTTGGCCTCCCAAAGTGCTAGGATTACAGGTGTGAGCTAGTTGAAATGCTTAGCCTAGCATTTTCAACTTATCACATAATTCTTTTCCAAAATGGCCACCCTGTTTTTGAAAAAAAAGCTTCTACTTGCTTCCTGCCGCTTCCTGCCTCTCTCTCTTAAGCAGCAGAGTTGGTTACATGACCAATCTGAGGCTGACCACATTACTGTTCCTTCCCACAGCCAGTCTATCCAGCACCTCCCTGGGATCTCGCTTTTCTCTCTATTACATTACTGACATGCTCTCTCTAGAGGCACTTGGCCTCTCAGTGGCTAAATCCCAGGGCGTCTTCTGCCCCCTCATTCTCCTGAGCCTGTTAGCGCTTTAATTCTGAAGACACTGATAAGTAATTTATGGTCATTCTAGAAAAATTATGAAACATTGGCAAGCAAAAAATTAATTTTAAAATCATTGGAAATCCCACCATCTACTATTAACATCTTGCTAGATATTCTTCACTGTTGGCTAAACAAACAAATACACATAAATTGTATATTTTTTATTTTTTAGAGATAGGGTCTCAGTGTCACCCAGGCTGGAGTGCAGTGGTGATCACAGCTCACTGCAGCCTTCAACTCCTGGCCTCAAGCAATCCTCCTGTCTCAGCCTCCTGAGTAGTTGGGATTACAGATGTCAGCCACCATGATGGGCAAGTTGTGTATTTTTAAACAAAAAATGGGATGGGGCCAGGTGTGGTGGCTCACACCTGTAATCCCAGCACTTTAGGAGTCTGAGGTGGGAGGATTGCTTAAAGCCATGAGTTCAATATAAGCTTGGGCAACATAGCAAGACCCTGTCTCTAAAAAAAAAAAAAACAAAAAAAACAAAAAAAACAAAAACTTATCTGGGCGTAGTGGCGCATTCCTGTAGTCCTAGCTGCTTGGGAGGTTGAGGCGGGAGGATCTCTTGAGCCCTGGAGTTGAAAGCTGCAGCAAGCTACGATTGTGTCACTGCACTCCAGCTTGGGAAGCAGTGGAGACCATGTCTCAAAAAAGTAATAATAAAAATAAAAAGAGGCTGGGTGCGGTGGCTCACACCTGTAATCCCAGCACTTTGGGAGGCCAAGGTGTGCAGATCACCTGAGGTCAGGAGTTTGAGACCAGCCTGGCCAACATGGTAAAACTCCGTCTCTACTAAAAATACAAAAATTAGCCGGGCATGGTGGTGGGCGCTGTAATCCCATCTTGGCAGGCTGAGGCAGGAGAATCACTTGAACCTGGGAGGCAGAGGTTGCAGTGAGCCGAGATCGCGCCATTGCACTCCAGCCTGGGAGACAGAGCAAGACTCTATCTTGAAAATAAAATAAAAATAAAAATAAAAATAAATGGTACTATGTAAACCATTTCATAAAAGTCTTTTTCACCTAAAAATATGGCATGACTATCTTTTCCATGTCAGTAGTAAATGTATCTTACATTGTCACACCATCAATTAACCCTACCACCCACCCCATTTGGAACTTCCTTCTCATGTGGCTTCTGGGACAGTGTTAGAGGGGTGCACGGCCTGTCTTAGAGGCACCTCTTCATCCCCTGTCTACCACAGGGCCTACTTCTCAGAGTTGCTTTTCAGTCTCTACTTCTGTTTGTTCAACCATGTTCCCAGGTAGAATCTAATTGCCAGCTAGACGTTTCCAATTGAGTGTGGTTTTTGTTTTGTTTTGTTTTGAGACAGAGTCTCTCTCCGTTGCCCAGGCTGGAATGTTGTGGCACGATCTCGGCTCACCGCAACCTCTGCCTCCCAGGCTCAAGCAATTCTCGTGCCTCAGACTCCCGAGTAGCTGGGACTAAAAGCACCCACCACCACACCTGGCTAATTTTTTATTTTTTCTAGAGACAGGGTTTCACCATGTTGTCCAGGCTGATCTCATGCTCCTGGGCTCACGTGATCCACCCACCTTGGTCTCCCAAAGTGCTGGGATTACAGGTGTGAGATATCTTTCTTCCAGAGCCACCTCTGTCTTATACCCCTCTCTTCTACATCTAATCAGTTTTGAGGCCCTATTCATTTTCTTCCCAAATAGCTCCTGTATCCATTCCTTCCCATTCTCGCTGCAGCACCAGGCGCTTGTCTCAAGTGCTGTCATCACTCAACAGCCTCCTGGCGGGCTCCCCTCCTTGGCCTCCTCTGCACAAGGCTCCTGACACATTCTCAGTCACCTCTTGGGGGTTGCCTTCTCCTATTCCAGAACCTGCAGTGACTCTTCCCCAAATCTACACCTCTCTAAGCTTGTGCCCACCTGTACCACCTCATACCTCAGTGATTCCCAAGATGCCTTCTGTGCTTTAGTGAGACCCGTCTTGTCACTGTCCCAGGTATGTGCAAGTTTCGTGCCTATCCCCCTCCTCATCACACAGAATGCCTTCTCTATCCCTACCTAAGTCTTATGTAACCCACGATGCCCTGCTCACATCTTTTTTCTTTTTCTTTGAGACGGAGTCTCGCTCTGTGGCCCAGGCTGGAGTAGGGTGGCACGATCTCAGCTCACTGCAACCTCAGCCTCCCAGGTTCAAGAGAATCTCCTGCCTCAACCTCCTGAGTAGCTGGGATTGCAGGCATGTGCCACCACAGCCAGCTAATTTTTTATATTTTTGGTAGAGACGGGGTTTCACCATGTTGCCCAGGCTGGTCTAGAACTCCTGACCTCAAGTGATCTGTCCACCTCGGCCTCCCAAAGTGTCGGGATTACAGGCGTGAGGCTCTGCACCTGGCCCCTGCTCACATCTTACCTCTTCTAGAAGTCTCTAGCCTGCCCAGGTCACCCACCCTACCCCTTCACTAAATTCCTATTGCATTTACAGTGTGCACTGCACAGAATGGACCTCGTAGTGCCAACCCTGGGTAAGACATGGGGTAGTACCACTGGCATTACATACTGAGTGGCTTAACTTCCCAAAGGAACAGAAATTGGATTCTGTGGAATCTGGAGAAGTGGACAGATCTGGGGGTTAGGGAATTGGAGGAAAGGGGTTGGGATGAGAGTTGCTGGGAAATAGTCTCACCTGTGTGGGTTCCCCTCGGTCCATTTTGTCCCCTGTTCCTAGCTGCCCGTATCTGTTATTTCCTTGCATGAAGATTCGGCCAAATTCATCCACCAGGCCAAGGTGGTTGTAGCCAAGAGCACAGAATAGGATCTAGCGTGCAAGATAGAAAGGGGATAGGGATTCCATTCCCTCCAGAGGAACTCTGAGTTCCAGAGTCTCCAAGCCACTAACCTGCCATCCCCAGCTGATCTCTTTCTATATATATATTTTAGAGATGGGATCTCACTATGTTGCCCAGGCTGGTCTAGAGCTCCTGGGCTCAAGCGATACTCCCTCCTCAGCCTCCCTCCGCACCGAGCCCCCAGCTGATCTCTTTTGGCATACCTCTCCCTGGGGATCCCCTGCCCCTCTGGATCAATAATCTGATTCCTATAATACTTCAGACCTTCCAATCCCTACAGCGCCACCCCTCTGGTTTGCCCCGTCCCTCCAGGAGCCTACCTTGGCAGGCAGTGAGAGAGCAAGCGGCATCTGCTGGTCCAGGGGGTCAAAGGCTTGAAGGGTCCCAAAGAGATCGCGATACACCCCTGGGGTATGCACCTCAAAATACACTCCCCCCTGGTCTGGGGGGTCAGGAGCCCTCAGCTCAGCAGCTTTGGGCACCCATTTCCTAGGGATAAGGCCCCACCTGGGATGAAAGCTACAAGATCCAAGGAGTCTCATACCCACTAGGAATGCATCAACTATGATGCCTGGGAACTGAAAACACATCTTTTGAGACCGAGTCTCCCTCGGTCACCCAGGCTGGAGCGAAGTGGCACGATCTCAGTTCACTGCAACCTCTACCTCCTGGTTCAAGTGATTCTCCTGTCTCGGCCTCTGGTGTAGCTGGGATTACAGGCGCCTGCCATCACACCCAGCTAATTTTTGTATTTTAGTAGAGATGGGGTTTCGCCATGTTGGCCAGGCTGGTCTTGAACTCCTGACCTCAGGTGATTCACCTGCCTCGGTTTCCCAAAGTGATGGGATTACAGGCATGAGTCACCATGCCGGCCCTAAACACATCTTTTCACTAGGATGCCCTCAGGGGTTCACCATGCAGCTGGAGTAAGGGTGAAGGGTGTTGATGTTTAGAGGGTCTAACCAAGGCTGCGGGCTTGAGCCGGGGGGAGGTGGTCCATACCTGTGACGTAGAGGGTGCTGCTCTGGTTGGAAGTCATGCAGGCCACGCGCAGGTGAGGCAGGTAGTGGGACACCTTCCTCAGGGCCAGCTGAACCGTGTAGGAGCGTGGCTGGTCAAGCTGGGTCTCATTCACTACCAAAGAGTAGATCTTTCCTTCCTCTGGGGGTAGGGGAAGCAATTAGTTGGGGAGGGGATTCTCCAATATCCACATAAACATCCCAAGAGACTCCCTAGGCCATATGGGTGACACATTTACTGCCCTAGAGTGGGGCTGAGAAAGAAATAAGGGAAGAGTGACCCCAAGTCCCCCAGACTCCAGTTCCCACCATAAATCAGGGAAGTACTTCAGCATGAGAGATGAGCAGAGAGAAAAATCTAGCAGATTTGTTAGAATCCGATTTGAGTGAGAGGTCTGGGGATTGAGGGCCCTGCCTGGCATTCAGAAGTTTAGAGGTGGTCAAGTGTGGTGGCTCACACCTGTAATCCCAGCACTTTGGGAGGCCAAGGCAGGAGGATCACTTGAGGCAGGGAGTTCGAGACCAGCCTGGGCAACATAGCAAGACCCCATCTCTACCTTGCTCCAAAAAAGAAAAAAATATTTTAAGAAAAAGCCTAAAGGGTCTCAGGCCTGGGGATGTGGTTGAGTATAAAGGACATTGGGAAAGTAGGGAGCAGTTTGGAGTATAGTGAGGTGGTTGGCATGGAAGCTGGGGACATCTGATTTTTTTTTTTTTTTTTTTTTTTGGAGATGGAGTCTCACTCTGTCACCCAGGCTGGAGTGCAGTGGCATAATCTCGGCTCACTGAAACCTCCACCTCCTGGGTTCAAGCGATTCTCCTGCCTCAGGCTCCCAAGTAGCTGGGACTACAGGTCCATGCCACCACGTCCGGCTAATTTTTTTTTTTTTTTTTTTTTGAGACGGAGTCTCGCTCTGTCACCAGGCTGGAGTGCAGTGGCGTGATCTCGGCTCACTGCAACCTCTGCCTCCTGGGTTCAAGGGATTCTCCTGCCTCAGCCTCCCAGGTAGCTTAGACTACAGGCACGCGCCACCACGCTTGGCTAATTTTTGTATTTTTTTTTAGTAGAGTCAGGCAGGGTTTCACCATGTTGGTCTCGATCTCTTGACCTCGTGATCCACCCGCCTTGGCCTCCCAAAAACTGGGATTACAGGTGTGAGCCGCCGCACCCGACCTAATTTTTGTATTTTTTAGTAGAGATGGGGTTTCGCCATGTTGGCCAGGCTGGTCTCAAACTCCAGATCTCAGGTGATCTGCTCACCTCGGCCTCCCAAAGTGCTGGGGTTACAGGTGTGAGCCACCACACCTGGACAGGGCCTTTTATTCATATAAAATATTAAGCAGAATCCTAGACTAGGAGACAGAGAAGGGCAGAGCTGTTTAGATGGAGACTAGGATAAGGTGGCATATGGAACCCAGTCTGAGGGGCCTCCCTCCCCCTCCTCTGCAGCAGGGTCTGAGGAATCTGCAGGAAACAGTTTGCAAAAGCCATTGCTTTGGGCCACACCTGTGAGGAGCAGTAGAGCCCGCTGGGTCTCCTGACCAACCAGCACGATCTGCTTGAAGGTCATTGAGTGGTGGAATGTCATCTTGAAGACCCGCTGCCCACTAGACTGCAGATAGACCTCAACACAGTCACAGGCCCGGCTGCTGGTGGTACCCACCACTTCCTGCGGCTCCCGAGTGGCCAAGACGTAGAGGTATTTACGGTAAACTGTGTCACACCTTGGGTCCGAGGCAAACTGGGGGAAAAGATGAGGGCGTCTGGGATCTAGAGTTTCAAAATGGGATGGGGCTGGGGCAGCTGGATCCTGGGGTGGGAAGTGAAATGCTTGGGTCCAGAGTTGGGAAATGAGCCCTTGATTTCAGGTTCCTATGTGGGAGGGCAGAAGTCATAGGAAAGACACCTCAAGACTGATGGGGGCCTGGGTCCTCAAAAGAGAGGTGGTGATATGGTTAGGCTCTGTGCCCCCACCCAAATCTCATCTCGAATTGTAATACCCAGTGGGAGGTGATTGGCTCACGGGGGCAATTTCCCCCATGTTGTTTTCGTGATAGTGGGTTCTCACGAGGTCTGACGGATTTATAAGGCAGTTTTCCCTGCTCTTGCTTGTGTGCTCTCGCCTGCTGCCATGTAAGACGTGCCTCTTTCCCTTCTGCCATGATTGTAAGTTTCCTGAGGCCTCCCCAGTCATGTGGAACTATGAGTCAATTAAACCTCTTTGCCTTATAAATTACCCGGTCTCAGGTATGTCTTTTTTTTTCGAGACGGAGTCTCCCTCTTGTTGCCCAGGCTGGAGTGCAAGGGTGCGATCTCAGCTCACTGCAGCCTCTGCCTCCCAAGTTCAAGCAATTCTCCTGCCTCAGCCTCCCAAGTAGCTGGAATTATAGGCACCCACCACCACACCCAGCTAATTTTTGTATTTTTAGTAGAGACGGGTTTCGCCATTTGGCCAGGCTGGTCTCGAACTCCTGGTCTCAGCTGATCCGCCTGCCTCAGCCTCCCAAAGTGCTAGGATTACAGGTGTAAGCCACTGCACCCGGCCTCTGGTACGTCTTTATAGCAGTGTGAAAATGGACTAATACAGGTGGGCTCTCAGCTGCCAGGGTTCTGCTACTCACATCCTTGGCTCCACGACACAACACAACATAGCGACAGGCCCGCTTCCACTGCATCTGGCCGAGGGTGGAGACCAGGGCATTTTTGAGGAAGAAGAGGGTCCCCACGTAGTCAAGAATGAAGACGTGATCCTTGGTGGGCAAGAAGCGGCGGTAGCCGTGGGCTAGCAAGGGGGCCACGCTCTTGCTGAGACATCGGCGGCGGCCTCCAAATGCCTGGAAATACAGGCCCTTCGTGTCTGGAGGAAGGAAGGAGATGGAAGGTTCAAGGGATGAGATGACACGAGGGAGATGAGTTGGAGCTTGGGTAGATTTCTTAGACACGCTGGTTTGTAGTTCCTCCCCATCCCCAGGACAGGGGAACAAACAGACCCCTTATGAAGGAGATGTGGAAAATAAGCTTAGATTATACTCGACATGTGAACTTTAGTCTCCACCCCACCTCAGCCCAGGGTCAAACATTTGCTTCTTAGTGAGCAGTTCTTTGGTGCAACCTTGCATCAGTGATGTTGAGGAAAACTCTAAGAATAAAGACACAGAGGCTGCGTGCGGCATCCACCCCCCTCACCCTGAGCCCCTCCTCCCATCCTCACAGCTCAGTGAATTTTTGCACGCCTGTAATCCCAGCACTTTGGGAGCCCAGGAGTTTGAGACCAGCCTGGGCAACGTGGCAAAACCCCATCTCTACTAAAAATACAAAAATTATCCGGGTGTGGTGGCGGGAGCCTGTAATCCCAGCTACTCAGGAGGCTGAGGCACGAGAATACTTGAACCCGGGAGGTGGAGGTTGCATTGAGCCAAGATTGCACCACTGTGCTCCAGCCTGGGTGACAGAGCAAGACCCTGTCTCAAAAAAAAAAAAAAAAAAAAAAAATCAAAGAAAAAGAAAGAAAAGAGAAGAGACAGAAACAGGAGTGAAAAGGAATGATTGATGAAGGCCGGTCATCCTCCCTCACCCCTAGCTTTGGATCTGTTTTCTGGGTCCCCCTTCTCTTTTAATCTCCCAGTGAGTGTAAGAAGTACACCCTGGGGGATCCCTGGAGGGGAAGAGGGTTTATGGCATGGTTCTCAGGCTAGGGGTGATTTTGTCCTTCAAGGGCATTGGTTGTCACAATTAAGGGGGATGCTGCTGGCCATCTGGTGGGTGGAGGCCAGGGTTGCTGCTTAAACATCCCACCATGCAGAGGACAGCTCCCCACATCAAGGAATTATTTTGCCCAGAATATCAACAGTGAGTTCAGAAGCCTTGGGTTAGAGGAGGGAAAACTCCAGGTTTGGGGAGTGAGGGATGCCTCTAGGGAAAAAGCGGGAAGTGTCTGTGTACAGAGGGAGACTTGGCAGGGAGGCCGCTAACGGGGGCTGTGGGTGGATTCCGAAGACTTGGAGGAAGTACTCAAGGGAGAATGTTTGAACTGGACCCGTTTCTTCCGGAGAAAGGGGCCCTGGAAGCACTGTTGGGAGTGTGGGGGTCATCAGGGGACTTTAGAGAGCAGGAAGGCTAAGGCGGGACAGAGGCAAGGAGAACGGGAGGTTCTGGGGAAGGTGTACAGTTCAGAATGGCAGCTCTCTTCCAGGGCCGGACTCCAGAACCCTGATCTTGGAGGCGCGGACTGAGTCTGCGACAGATGCGTCTCCACACGCCTTCCCCATCGCACACTTCGTGGAAGTAGCGGCAGGTCTGGCCGAGGGCAACAAGGTCTCTGACTGGGAGGAATGAGATGATATGCTCCACCTGGGAGGGAGGAGGGAAGAAGCGGGGAGTCTTTGGTGGCCCCTCGGTGATCTGGCCCCCAATCCTATTATTCTCAATCCCCCTCCCCAAGGACTCACCAGCTCTGGGGGGAACAACTGGATGGAAATCGGATTTCCTTTCCCCCTCTTCTCTTCAACCCCAAGCTCCGAGCCACAAGAAGGGCAGCTTCTCTTCACCTACCCAAGAAGGGGTGCATAGGGTCCCATGAGGGTCCCACATCCTTTTTTCCCTTCTCTCCGCCTACCTTGGGGCTCATCTGACTCTAGCTGGGCACAGTTATTTCCTCCCCTCTCTCTCCAGACCCATCCCTAACTTCTCCAAATAACTCCTCCCGATCTCCTGCGGCCAATCCCCCTCACCCGGAGCCCCTCCTCCCGTCCACACAGCCTGGTGAATTTTTGCAGCTTCCGTCTCTGGCTTCCCCTGACCATCCTGATTGCCCCCTCCCTGCTCCTGCCCTCCTGTCTCCTAGGCCCTTGGCCCCCCCGTTCCTGCTGGCTTTCCCACACCATGTCCCCAGCCTAGGCTTGGGGGACCTCTGAGGCCCCTCTGCCTCCTAGGCCCCTCCCCCATGGAGTCTGGGGCTAACAAACCTCTCTGTGACCTCACTGTTTGGCCACTGTGACCTGTTCCCTTTAATCTTGCCCAGGACCCATCTCTTAGACAGCTCCTGGGTTCTAGCTCAGTTCTAGCCATCACATGGCTCAAGGGATATGCATTTTACTGGAGAAATAAAGTGTGAATTACTGGTAGGTGACATCTTTATTTCAGGGAGCAGGAGGAAGTTTTCCTATTTGAGGCCCTTTTAGCACTAACTCTGTAGAGAAACACTAGTGAATTCCTCACATTTCAGCAGGCCAAGGCCTCTAGGGATTGGTAGCTCAAGAGTATAGACTCAAAAAACTATAAACTCAGTTTGACAGGTGAGATGGAGAGGTGACTGTGCTAATAATCGTTTAGCTCACAAATGATTCAGCAAACTCTTTAGACTTGTGAAAAAACACATCCAAAAGGAGACTGCAGCCTGGTGCCGGTGGCTAACGCCCGAAATCCCAGCACTTTTGGGTGGCCATGGTGCAAGGATGGCTTGAGGCCATGGGTTTCAAGACCAGCCTGGTCAACATAGACCCTGCGTCTATTAAAAAAAAAAAAAAACTTAAAAATTACCCAGGCGTGGTGATGCACCCCTGTAGTCCCAGCTACACAGGAGGCTGAGGCAGGAGGATTGCTTGAGCCCAGTTTGAGGCAGCAGTGAGCTATGATCGTGCCACTGCACTCCAGCCCGGGCGAGAATGATACCCAGTTTCAAAAAAAACAAACAAAAAAGAAGACTGCTTTTGCTTTCCTGAGGGACAGTAACATCATTGCATGTATAAAGGACAACCTATTAAGGTGGGAGAAAGGGATGGATTTCCTCTGAAAGCTTAGGATTTCTCCCAGGGTCTCTGATATTAGCTTTGTCTTATGTGGGGTGACATTTATCAGGAGAAACAGCAGGGGTCAGGGTTGTGTCTGTCCCACTCAGGCCAGATCTACACCAATAAATCCAAGGAGTGGCTGGCTCTTGCAGGGGCTCAAAGGAGTCCCATCCTGCCAGACCACCAGCCCTCACCACACAGTGTCACAGATCCGTTCATTGACTGCACCAGACTGACCACCCAAATTCCCTTATGTATGGTGCCTAGCCATGGCTAGGCTGGGATGCCTGAGATGGAATTTTAATTCTTCAGCAACTACTCAGGAATATCAACCTCTGAGATGTGAACTAAGGAGAAAGCAACTTCAGTGACTTATTTCTGGGCAACCTACCACATAGGGAGGGGACTGCATTAGGGACTCATGCCACTTAGAAAGGAAGATCTCCAAGTAGACAGAAAGGTATTTTCCATTCCTCTTGCATTTGGGTCCCCTTTATCCACTCCATTTCACCCCAGGAGGCAAACGAGAGGTTGTGAATAGAAAAAGTCCACTGTGGGCCAGGCTTTGTGGCTCACGCTTATAATCCCAGCACTTCGGGAGGCCGAGGTGGGAGCATTGCTTGAGCCCAGGAGTTTGAGATCAGCCTGGGCAACATAGTAGGACCCTGTCTCTACAAAAAATACAATTAGCTGGCATGGTGGTGCGTGCTTGTAGTCCCAGTTACTCGGGAGGCTGAGGTGGGAGGTTGAGGCTGCAGTGAGCTGCGATCAAGCCACTGCACTCCAGCCTGGGCAACAGAGCGACTCTGTCTCAAAAGAAAGAAAAAGTCCACTGTGGGCCGGGTGCGGTGGCTCACGCCTGTGATCCCAGTACTTTGGGAGGCAGAGGCAGGATCGCTTGAGGTCAAAAGTTTGAGACCAGCCTGGGCAACATAGCAAAACCCCATCTCTACAAAAATTGAAAATAAATTAGCCAGGTGCAGTGGTGCCGCCCGTGGTCCCAGCTACTTGGGAGGCTGAGGCAGGAGGATCACTTGAGCCCAGGCATTCAAGGCTGCAGTGAGCCATGACTGCACCACTGCACTCCAGCCTGGGCGACAGAATCAGACCTTCTTAAAAAAAAAAAAAAAAAGGCCGGGCGCGGTGGCTCACGCCTGTAATGCCAGCACTTTGGGAGGCCGAGGAGGGCATATTGCCTGAGCTCCTGAGTTTGCGACCAGCCTGGGCAACACGGTGAAACCCCGTCTCTACTAAAATACAAAAAATTAGCCGGGTGTGGTGGCGGGCGCCTGTAGTCCCAGCTACTCGGGAGGCTGAGGCAGGAGAATTGCTTGAACCCGGACAGTGGAGGTTGCTGTGAGCCGAGATCGCGCCACTGCACTCCAGCCTGGGCGACTGAGCGAGACTCCATCTCAAAAAATAAAAAAATAAAAAGAGGAAGGGAACGGAAGGGAGAGGGAGGGAGGGAGGAAGAGAGGAAGGGAGTGAAAACATCCACTGTGAAAACTGAGGGAGCGGGAAAGGGCTGTGCGTGGAGGATCCAGAGACCTGGTTTCTAGAGCAAGCCAGCTGTCAGGAACTTGCTGTTCGCTCTTGCTAACGCATCAACTTCCCTCTGCCTCAGTTTCTGCATTCGTAGCACCAAGGGCGTGTTCTAGGCGGTGAGATCCTTTCTAAGCCTCTAAAACCCCGTGGTCTGGTCCCCTCTCCATTCCTGTCCAGGGGAGCTCCTCGGGTGAGACGGCAGACCGTGCAACGCTGCACCTACACCCTCCCTCCTCGAGCTGGGCATCTCCAGGCTCTGGGAAGCCCCCCGCCCGCCCCCAGCCCGGGGGTCCCGAGACCCCTGCCAGAGGCTTCACAGTCGGAGGTCCCCCCGCTGCCCCTTCAGCTGCGACAACCGCCAGTGCACTGGCCTCAAGCAGTCGCCCGAATCCCCTCAAGCCCTGGACGCCGGCTAGCCCCCTAACACGTCCAGCTCGCACTCGCCACTGCAGCGGCGAACTGCGTTCCCGGCCGGCCAGGGGCTCCGCGTTCATTCTTAACCTCAGTCTTAAAGTTCTAGCTCACCCGCCTCCTCCTTAGCAAAGGGACCGCCTTCTCGCCCATGCTATTGGTAGGTAGAGCCGTCCCTCAGAGAAGAGGCAGGTCCAGATTCCCTTCGGAGGCTCTAATTGGCCTTCTTGACAGTCACTCGCCTGTATCTGGCTTACGATTGGTCTTTGGGGGACGAGGACTAGGCACCCCCTGCTTGCGGTCCCTCGGCCCGTTTTCCTGCTAGTGGAGTGCCGGTGTCCCCTCCTCTTGGTTGGACCTGATTGGCTCCACCTCCCGATCTGAGCATTGTGATTGGGTGCAGCTGCGCTGGGCGGGACGGCCTGGAGCGTCGGCCGTTGGCGAGCGCTCTATCCTTGTTCCCCTCCCTTCTCTCGTCAGACTCCGGCGCCGGAGCTCCACCCCCACTGACGGGTTCTGATTGGCCGCTTCTGACGCGTCTCGGGGCCACGATTGGTCCGTCCGGTCCCGGACACCGCTCCCTCCCCCTTGAGGCAACTACGGCGGCTCCAAGGAGGGGGTGGGGGAAGGAGGGACGGCCGGTCCCGTCAGTCAGGCAGCGGGAGCCGCCGGGAGCGGATGGCGGCGGCCGTAGCGGCTCCACTCGCCGCCGGGGGTGAGGAGGCGGCAGCCACGACCTCCGTGCCCGGGTCTCCAGGTCTGCCGGGGAGACGCAGTGCAGAGCGGGCCCTAGAGGAGGCCGTGGCCACCGGGACCCTGAACCTGTCTAACCGGCGCTTGAAGCACTTCCCCCGGGGCGCGGCCCGTAGCTACGACCTGTCAGACATCACCCAGGCTGGTGAGTGCAGCCGGGCCCCGGGCCCAACCGGGTCCCTCATTTGCATAGCCCCACCCCGGGCCCCGCCCGGCCCGGGAGTCGGGCCCGCCCCTTCACCTGGCGGCCAGGGTTGCTGCCCCTCCTGATTGCCCTAAACCTGCAGCCATCCTCTCCCATCTTTGAGAACCCCCTAGACAATGAACGTGCTTCTCGTTTGCACAGAACGCCCTGCGCCTCCGAGCGTTGGGAGAGATTCCTCCTTTCTCTTTATTTGCATATCTGCGCACCTGTAGGATGGTCCCGCCCCTCACCTGGTTGGCTTATTTACATGATCTCTTAACCTCAGCTCCAATCGGTCTATGAAGCAGTCCCCACGAGCTCCTCTAATAACTGCTTTCTCTCCCTCTTCATCTACACCTCTTAACCCCCGTCCCACCGAGATCCGAGCAGCCCCGGGCACCCCCTTCCCAGTGACTGGCCCCTAAGCCCGAGGTTTCTGCTTTCTGTGCCGCAACCCCGCCCCCTAAGGTCCTGGCCCTCTCCACTGTCCACGCAGCTCTCCAGCCTATGGGAAAGAAACAAATCTCTACCTCCCCTCACTCTTTTCTCCCTGAGCTCTTCCGCCTATTATCCCCAACCGGCTTATCTGAGATTCCTCCTCCTCCTTCCTAAGCCTGTGAGGTCACTGTGGAGCCTGTGACCTCATAGGGATCTTAGAATTCCCATTTCAGTTTCTGCTTTCCCCCGGGGGAGGGACTTGAGGCCGTTGCTGGAGGGAAGGAAATCTTATCTCCTAGCTGGGAGTGCTGGCCAGCTAGAGACTGTCCTTCCACGCCTCCACCCGCAGGATCTGTCCAACCATGCACCCTCCACCCTGGTGTCTGTGGATGGTAGGGGGTGGGGGACTTAACTGTGACAGGTGAGTCAAGCCTCAGCTACTCAGGAGGCAGCCTATGACCTTGGGCCGGCAGCTGGGGGTGGGGATCAGGATCAGGGAGGAGGACTGCATTCCCGAAGCCTCACCCCAGCCCAGGCCTCTTCCTCCTCTCATCTGCACGGTGGGGGACCAGAGCTGGAGGATAGTGCTTACTTCTCCCTAAGCAGGTGCCTGCTCACCTGGGAACACTCAGGCCGGCACTGGCACACATCCTCTTCCCTCTTCTGGGGAGAACCAGTCGAAACCTCCCCACTGATCTCGCCTGCTCTGCAACACTTGAGATGGGGAATGAGTGAGCTCCAGGAGCCATTCCTGCCCCTTACAGCCCTGTTCCCTCCCACCCCCACCTAACCCCACACTCCAGATTGACCTCAGCAGCTGTGTGACACTCACTGTCTGTTCCCTTCCCCTCCCCCTTGGTTGTTTTTTGACAAAGACCAAATGTTATTCTTTACTTCCTTAGGCTGTCTCTCCCTGTGTGGACTCTTGGGGAAAACTACCCGGAGCTCCCCGGCCCCTCCCAGCTCCCGCCCCCGGCCCCCTCCTCCCCCAGCATTCCGGCTCAGGGTGCAGCCGTGCTCCTGTGAGCTTGGGGGGGGGTCGGAAATCCCAGCTTCCCAAGAACCCTCCTCTGCCCCACTCTCTACACAGGGCCCAGGTTCTAGGCCAAGTGGGGTCCCTCTTGTCCAGAATTCTCTCCTCTGTCCCCTCTCCGCAAGCAGGGACAGAAAGGGGAAGTGACAAAAACATACAGTTGCCCATACCCTGCCCTCCATCTCTCCTCGCCCTCCAAGCAGACGAAAAGCATCAGTGCCTTGCTGCCCGGACTGCCTTGAGCCTTCCCCTCCCGTCTCCCATCTCTTTCTGAGTGTCTTCGCTGCGTGTCGCCTAGTCTTGGGTCCCTGATCTCCCTTGGACTAGGCTCCCTGGGGTGATAGTAGGAAGAATCCTGAGGTGGCGGGGAGGGGCCATCTTGCAAAGGAGAAGTGCAGCTCATTCTCTCCCAGACCACATCCTGTGCCCCCAGTGCCCTGCCTCCTGCCTGAGCTCCCTTCCGCTCCTAGCTTTTGTCCCCGCCACCGCCTACCCCATCAGAACTCTGAGAACTCGGTCTCCACCCCCTTCGTCCACATGCACACACACAAACACATTTGCAGAGAAAGCGGGCAGGTGGAGGCGAGGCTGGGAGGGGCAAATGCCATCCCCCCACCCTCTCCAGAACGGTCATCTCTGAGGCCAGGGCTTCTGTCTGTGCACCAGGGCTGGGCAGAGAGGAAGAGAAAGGGGTCCCGGGGCATCAGGCTGTCATCCACCCTGGTAAACACGGGGCCTACCAGAGCCAGAACCTGACAGATTGTTTCTACTTCATTTCCTGTCACAAGACTCATTTCCTTGGGGGATATACCCGGCTTCTCTCCTCTGCTTGCTTTTGCTGGCCTGCCCTTCCCTGAGAAGGGCCCTTGGAGAAGCTCACCAGGTCTGTGGCCTGGGACTCCGCCTCGCGGGCCCTGGGCCCCTCCCAGGACAGGCTGGGCCGAGGAAACAGAAAGGCAGGCTTCTCCAGGTCTAAGCCGTTAGTGGGTCCGTGCTACAGGGAATCCCAAGGCTGCCAGCCTCCGCATAGCAAGGCAGTGCTCCAGATAAGAGGGCGATTGTAGACCCCAGGCCCTCCCACACTCTCCACCCTCGCCGTGCCTGAGATGCTCACACAGTTGCTGATCTCTTGAAGTCTGTGTCAGTAAGAGAGGAAGCAGAGCCGGGCTGCTAGGGCTAGCAGAGGGTAGGAAGGATGCCTGCCCTGGGCCAGAGAAGCCCAGATGGGAGGGACCTGGGAACTCCAGCTCCCATCTCCAACCAGGTCTTCTTGCCCTTCCCTCCCAGCCCTTGGGAATCAGTAACTTTATGATTCTTTGGACCTGGCTTGCTGGTCCTTGGGGCTGGCGAAAAACTCGTCCGGTGTCGGGGACTTTATCTCTAGAACCAAGATAGAGTGACCTGTGGTTTTTCCCGTGTTGAAAACACACTGGAGTAGGGAAGAAGGGCCCCGAGGAGGGATGGGCACTCCCTGTGGTTTGCCCCAGGGGTTTCCCATCTTCCCTCCGGGAGCCCCCCAGCCCCTCGCCTTACTGTTTTCCCATGAGCACTGACCCCTCCTCTCACCTTCGGTCCTCCGCCTCACCTGGCATCTCTGAACAGGAACCACAGGAGTTAGAGATTCCAGCTGCTCTCCAGGATAGCCCTCCATTGACATTCCCCAACCCCCAAGTCTGAGGCTTCTCTAGCCCAGTGACGCTAAGGCCTTTGCCTTCCCTGTGCCATTCTGGTCACGCCTGGAATGTGCTCCCGTTGGCAGAAGGCTTTGTTATCTCTCCTGGGAGGCCACATTGATGGCCTTGAATCTTTAGGTGTGGAGGTGAGGGAGTGGGCAGCCGGCTCTGGGGGGACTGAAGGTCCTGTCCGGGCTGGGCCTTTCCGCAACTCTCCCCGACACCTCCTTTTCCCCAGACCTGTCCCGGAACCGGTTTCCCGAGGTGCCCGAGGCGGCGTGCCAGCTGGTGTCCCTGGAGGGCCTGAGCCTCTACCACAATTGCCTGAGATGCCTGAACCCAGCCTTGGGGAATCTCACAGCCCTCACCTACCTCAACCTCAGGTAGGGAGGCCGAGCCAGGGCCACGTGGGAGCGTGTGCTTCTCAGTCTCAAGTACTACTGAGTGACCCACCCAGTGACCCCGAGAGGATGGCAGTGCTGGGATGCCATGCCTGGGGAGCCAGTCCGCTGCCTTTCTCCCTTCCACAGCCGAAACCAGCTGTCGCTGCTGCCACCCTACATCTGCCAGCTGCCCCTGAGGGTCCTCATCGTCAGCAACAACAAGCTGGGAGCCCTGCCCCCTGACATCGGCACCCTGGGAAGCCTGCGACAGCTTGTGAGGATGGGGACGGGACCAGGAAAGGGACCCCTGAGCCAGGCAGCGGGACCTTCTAGGGGGAGGTTGGGGAGGGCCTGGAGCAAAGACAGAGATGGGAGGGTGGGTTCTGCTGGGCCTGGTCTCATGGCCCCTTCCCACTGCCTTCCTGATACCAGGACGTGAGCAGCAACGAGCTCCAATCCCTGCCCTCGGAACTGTGTGGCCTCTCTTCCCTGCGGGACCTCAATGTCCGGAGGAACCAGCTCAGTACGCTGCCCGAAGGTGAGAAGAATGAAGAACTGGAGAGGAGGTGTTTGTATGTGCGTCCCAGTTGGCTCAGGCTGCGGTAACGAAAACACTGCAGACCGGGTAGCTTATACATGGCAGGCATTCATTTTTCACAGTTCTGGAAGCTGAAGTTCAGGATCTGGGTGCTTCCATGGTCAGCTTCTGGCAGGGTGCTTTTCCTGGCTGCAGACTGCCGGCTCCTTGTGGTACTCTCCGATGGCGGAGAGCAGAGACAGCCCTCTGGGGCCTCTTTGATAAAGGAGCACAAATCTCACTGATGAGGGCTCCACCCTCATGATCTCAATTACTTCCCTAAGGCCTCGCTTCCTAATCCCATCACTTTGGGGGTTAGGATTTCAGCAGAGGACTTTTTGGGTGACACATTTCAGTCCATAACAGTGTATGTGCTTTGAAGAAGTTACAGGCCAGGAATCTTCAGAGGAGAATTACACCTTCATTGTCCAGGCTTTTGCAGTATATAAAACAAACTGTAAACGATCTGATTTGATCTTGACCTAGCAACCCTCTGATGCTGGCAGGGCGCAGATGAGCAGCTGTGTTAGAAACGTGGACACAGGCACAGAAGGGGAGCTGGTGGGTGCATCAGCTCTAGGTAGACTGGCAAGGTCAGAAGGGGCCTTCAAGGTCACCCAGCAGCCCTGCTCACCCCAGCAGGGGCTCTCAAACACCTGAGTCGGGATGCTCCGCCACTCCTCCCGGAGATGCCAGGGCCAGTGCCAGAGCCCAGGTGGCCCATCTAATGTGCTTGTTGTGATGCACTGATAGCCTCTGCCCCAAAGCAGGCATGCCTTTTGTTCAGCAGGCAGCAGCATGTGTGTGTGTCTGTGTGTGTTATGTCTTGTGTCTGCGTGCATGTGTGTGTCTGTGTGTATGTATGTGTTTGTGTATGTGTGTGTTGTGTCTGTGCATGTGTCTGTGTGTCTGTGCATGTGTGTCTATGTGCATGTGTATGTGTGTCTGTGTCTGTTCGTGTGTTGTGTTTATGTCTGTGTTATTTATGTCGTGTGTGTGCGTGTGTATGTTTGTGTGTCTGTGTTTGTGTGTGTGTTGTGTTTATGTCTGTGTTATGTCGTGTGTGTCTGTGCATGTGTATGTGTGTTTGTGTCTGTGTGTGTCTTTGTGTGTGTGTTTGTGTTTATGTCTGTTGTGTGTGTTTAGGTCTGTGTTGTGTGTGTTGTATGTGTTGTGTGTGTTTGGGTGTGTGTTGTGTGGGTTGTGTGTATGTGTTGTGTATGTTTATGTGTGTGTTGTGCATGTTGTTTGTGTCTGTGTGTATGTATGTTGTTTGCGTGTGTGTGGGTTTTGTGTGTGTGTGTGTGTGTGTGTGTGTGTGTGTGTGTGTGTGATGTGTGTATGATTCCTGTGTTGGGATCAGGTAGATGCGGGTGATGTGACTAAGATCTGGGGCCATCTCTTAGGGATTTAATGGCTTCTTGAGGAGAGACAGTCATAGGGAAGTTCCGTCAGGGGGTTCCCCAGACGGGGGCTAGAGGGAGGTGGCACTGGACTCTGCGTGGGGGTCCTGGGGAAGACTTCACCGGAGGCGCAGGCGCAGTGGGAGCCGAACATTGAAGGAGAATTCCCCAGCCTTCTGCATCCAGGCAGAGGACCCAGCATGTGCAAAGCATGGGGTTAGGAAGGTGAGCCAGGCATGGCAGGAAGGCCTGTGCCATGCTCAAGTGTGAACTTGGTTTTGAAGAACAAGGAGGGAGTGAGGTGGTCATCCACTTTCCCTGTCTCCCTACTCCCTGACCCTTTCTGCACCTGCCCTCTTCCTTCCCAGTCAAAAGGGGTAGGAAGGGCTCTCTCTGGGCCATAAAAAGAAATCCAAGCAAGATGTCCTGGGGACAGAGGCAAGAGCAATGAGTTCCATCCAATCTGGGATGTCTGGAACGATCCACCGAGGAGGTGGTGATGCTTGAGCTGAACCTTGAAAGATGCATGGATGGGGAAAATGGAGTTCTCCCAGCTGAGCAAACAGCACCTGGGAAGGCTCAGAAGCTGAGGGCCCGGAGGGGTGGGCAGTGAGGTGGGAAACGCGGGTGGAGCCAGGTTGTGGAAGCCTTCCTCATGCTGGGTTAGGGAGCTGTGGGTTTTATTCTGTGCTTAGGGCCGCCATGAATCCAGACTGTGCCTTTTTTTTTTTTTTTTTTGAGACAGAGTCTCGCTCTGTCACCCAGGCTGGAGTGCAGTGGCGCAATCTCGGCTCACTGCAAGCTCCGCCTCCCAGGTTCACGCCATTCTCCTGCCTCAGCCTCCCAAGTAGCTGGGACCACAGGCGTCCGCCACCACACCCGGCTAATTTTTTGTATTTTTAGTAAAGACAGGTTTTCACCATGTTAGCCAGGGTGGTCTCAATCTCTTGACCTTGTGATCCACCCGCCTTGGCCTCCCAAATTGCTGGGATTACAGGCGTGAGCCACCGTGCCGGTCCCAGACTGTGCCTTTTTAAGATGAGCAAAAGGCACCTTTCCCTGTGGGCAGGCAGCATTTCATGCAGGGTGCAGTGCTGGGCCCGTGCTGGGGAAAGGGGACTCCCGGGCGGCCACAATCCGCTCAACATCTGCAGCCCTGGTTGCATGTCACAGGAGGTGTTTGAACAGGGTTTGTGCCTTGTGCTGATCATTTGAAAATGGAGGGTGGGTTCGAGTGTGGAGTGGGCAGGCGAGGAGATGAGGAGGACAGACAGGGCTGGGCGGGACCTGACGTCCGGATGGGCCTTCCCGGGGAAGCTGAGCTGACGTCCAGATGGGCCCTCTCAGGGAGGCTCGCTTAGACCGTGGACCAGAATCATGTGGAGAGAGGAGCAGGGAGGTTTCTCCCGGGGAATGACTTGAGCCACCCAGGGGAGAGGCTGTGCTGGGCCCAGGGTGACTGGCCAGCTGGAGCCAAGGGTGAGGGAGTGAGCACGAGGCCACAGCCCTGAGCATGTTCCTGACTTTTCCCTTGCCCACCTGTTCCAGAGCTGGGGGACCTCCCTCTGGTCCGCCTGGATTTCTCCTGTAACCGCGTCTCCCGAATCCCAGTCTCCTTCTGCCGCCTGAGGCACCTGCAGGTCATTCTGCTGGACAGCAACCCTCTGCAGAGTCCACCTGCCCAGGTGAGGCGGGTGCCTGGGGGGCCACGAGGACAGGGGTGTGGCTAGGCAGGAGTGGGGTTGGTCCCCTTGGATAGCTGAGCAGGATCCGGGGAGCTGCCCTCCCTGCCAACTCCCTGGCGTGTGCTGCCCCGCACACAGGTCTGCCTGAAGGGGAAACTTCACATCTTCAAGTATTTGTCCACAGAGGCCGGGCAGCGTGGGTCGGCCCTGGGGGACCTGGCCCCTTCTCGGCCCCCGAGTTTCAGTCCCTGGTAAGTCCTAGGTGGGGAGGAAGGAAGCCCTGGGATACTGAATGCCCCTTCCCGGCCCCAGGCACCCCCTGCTTTCTGGCAGGAGGATGGGGGGCTGTTGTCCAGCATCAGGCTGACCAGATCCGCCTGGCTGGCCCCAGCCCTGCAGAGGATCTATTTCCGGGACATCGGTACGATGGTGGGCTGGACTCAGGCTTCCACAGCGTTGATAGTGGCAGCAAGAGGTGGTCTGGAAATGAGGTAAGGGCGTCCTGTCCATGGGTGATTGAGGGTGTCAGCCCTGGGAGAGCACCTCTGAACTGGGGACCTCCAAATTGCAGGGTGCCAGGCAGAGGCTGGAGCTGTCCTCTTCCTTCCCTCTGCCCAGCATCCCAGGGAAGGGCTGGCTCAGCAGAGACCCTGAGCTTAGTCCCACACAGGACCCCCCAGGTCCTGAGCCCCCATGTACAGAGAGGCCATCTCCCATCTCTGCCTCTGCCTTTACAGTCAACAGATGAATTTTCAGAGCTGTCATTCCGGATCTCAGAGCTGGCCCGGGAGCCCCGGGGACCCAGAGAACGCAAGGAGGATGGCTCAGGTGAGTAGCAGGGCTGGCCGGGAGCTGGGCTGGACCAGGGCCTGGGTCCCCGCTCACTTGCTGACATGCTGGCCTCCCCAGCGGACGGAGACCCTGTGCAGATTGACTTCATCGACAGCCATGTCCCCGGGGAGGATGAAGAGCGAGGCACTGTGGAGGTGAGAGCCCAGCTATGCCTCTCCCAAGGGAGGGGAGCTGGAGGAGGGGACAGGGCAGGCGTGGGCACAGGCCTGCCCTCAGCTGCTCTGCTGTTCTCTCCTTAGGAGCAGCGACCACCCGAATTAAGCCCTGGGGCAGGGGACAGGGAGAGGGCACCAAGCAGCAGGTACCCCAAGCCCCCAAACTGACGCCACTGCCCGATCCTCCCACCCCCCAACCGCCTCCTTCCCTGACCCCGGGGTCTGCCCCTCTTGCCCTGTCTTGGTCCCTCAGGCGGGAGGAGCCGGCAGGGGAGGAGCGGCGGCGCCCGGACACCTTGCAGCTGTGGCAGGAGCGGGAACGGCGGCAGCAGCAGCAGAGCGGGGCGTGGGGGGCCCCGAGGAAGGATAGGTGGGACCCAGGGCCGCCCGGGGCTGTTGCTGGACACTGAGCCCTGGAAATGGGGCCACCGAGCCCCGCTGAGCCGTTCTGCCTTGGGGCTAGCTGACCCCACCTCTCCTTGTTCCAGCCTCTTGAAGCCAGGGCTCAGGGCTGTTGTGGGAGGGGCCGCCGCCGTGTCCACTCAAGCCATGCACAAGTAGGTTTCCTGCCAGCATCCCCTCCCCACTCCTCTTCCTATGACCATCATCCCTCTAATTCCCTTCTGTCTCTCCTCAGCGGCTCGCCTAAGTCCAGTGCCTCCCAAGCAGGGGCTGCAGCGGGGCAGGGAGCCCCCGCCCCTGCCCCTGCCTCCCAAGAGCCCCTTCCCATAGCTGGACCAGGTGGGACAGGGATTTTGGGAGGAGGATGGGGCCTGTGTTGGTGAGGGCTGGTTGGGAGAGAGGGACACAGAGGGGATGCCTGTCTCACCTGCCCCTGTCGCTGTGTCCCTGGTTCCGGCCCCAGCGACAGCACCTGCTCCACGGCCACTTGGCTCCATTCAGAGACCAAACAGCTTCCTCTTCCGTTCCTCCTCTCAGAGTGGCTCAGGTGGGTGTCCTGCCCTCCCCAGTGCTGACCCAGTGCTTGCCAGCACCAACGGCTACATCACCCTTCTGCCCTGGGAGCCCTCTGGGTCTGTTGTACCTTTTGTACCTTTGCGTTGAAAATCCCACAAGCAAGCCGGGTGTGGTGGCTCACACCTGTAATCGCAGCACTTTAGGAGGCCCAGGTGGGAGGATCGCTTGAGCCCAGGAATTCAAGACCAGCCTGGGCAACATAGCGAGACCCCATCTCCATGAAATAAAAAAAAATCCCACAAGCAGAGAGGCAGGAGGTGTAGGTGCCAGGCCACTGGGACCCAGCTACAGAGTCAGTGGTGAGCAGTGGAGGCAGCCCCATGCCCCCCTTTTTCTCCTAGGCCCTTCCTCACCAGACTCTGTCCTGAGACCTCGGCGGTACCCCCAGGTTCCAGATGAGAAGGACTTAATGACTCAGCTGCGCCAGGTGAGCAGAGGCGGGAGCTGCGTGGGCAGGGGCCTGGGCCGGGCACCTCCTTGTGTTGCTGTCCTTGGGACCAGCCTCCCTCCACATCCTCTGTGCCCACTCTGGCACCTCCCCTGAGGACAGGAAGGGACAGGCACAAGTTCCCTGCTAGCCCTGAGCCCCCCACTCTCCCTGCCTCCCAGACGCCTCTCCTTCCCTGACCCCTGCTCTATGTGGTCTACACTGCCAGGTCCTTGAGTCCCGGCTGCAGCGGCCCCTGCCTGAGGACCTGGCCGAGGCTCTGGCCAGTGGGGTCATCCTGTGCCAGCTGGCCAACCAGCTACGGCCGCGCTCCGTGCCCTTCATCCATGTGCCCTCCCCTGCTGTGGTCAGTTGGGGCTGGGGAAGAGGTGGGGGATGGGCCGGGGCGCCTGTGGCCTCTCCCTTACCACATTTTCTTCTTTCACCCACCCCAGCCAAAACTCAGTGCCCTCAAGGCTCGGAAGAATGTGGAGAGTTTTCTAGAAGCCTGTCGAAAAATGGGGGTGCCTGAGGTATGGGGGCTGCTTTCTAAAGAGTGGTGGCATGCCGGACTCAGCCGAGCATGTGGCATGGATGGTGGGCTTCCATTTGCAGCGGATGTCTGCTCTCAGATGAAGGCACAGGCTGCCCCTGCCCTGCCCAGCATGCCCCCTGCCCTGCATGCCCCCTGCCCTGCATGTCACCTGTCCTACACATCCCCTGCCCTGCAGGCCCCATCTTGTCCTGCATGTCACCTGTCCTGCACATGCCCTGCCCTGCACTCCTCCTGCACTGCACTCCCCCTGCCCAGCACGTCAGCATGTGGGCGTGGTTCTGGCCCCAGCACGTGAGGGCAGGGGTGGGAGGGACTGTCCTGCTGCTGCTGCTGACGTCTGTCCCTTGTCCTTGTCCACCTGCTCTCCTCTCCCCCAGGCTGACCTGTGCTCGCCCTCGGATCTCCTCCAGGGCACTGCCCGGGGGCTGCGGACCGCGCTGGAGGCCGTGAAGCGGGTGGGGGGCAAGGCCCTACCGCCCCTCTGGCCCCCCTCTGGTCTGGGCGGCTTCGTCGTCTTCTACGTGGTCCTCATGCTGCTGCTCTATGTCACCTACACTCGGCTCCTGGGTTCCTAGGCCCCAAAATCGGCCCTCCCTCACCCCTTTCCCTTCCTCTCTATTTATAAGGTCCCTGCTCCACCCGACCCCACCTGCGGTGCCTTCAGCCCCAACCAAAGACACTAGTGCACCCCCTTCACAGACACTGACCTCAGAGGCCCCACTCTGGTGCCCCCAGACCCTGGGCCCCCAGCCTCTGGCCTCCCTCCAGTAGCCCCACGAGTCCCCACCTCTCAGTGCTGACGGTGCCTTCATGTCCCCGCCGGCCCTGCCCCTGCCCTCTGTACCCCGTGAGGGGTGGCAGGAGCTGGAGTCTCCCCCTTCCTCCTGTGCCCTCCCCTTCCCCCCCCAACAGCTGCTATGGGGGGGCTAAATTATCTCTATTTTGTAGAGAGGATCTATATTTGTAGGGGTTCGGGGCCCAGGCCGGGTCCCTATCTCTGTGTATAAACTGTACAGACCGTGGCCGCCCTGCCTGTGTGTGTGTGTGTGCGCGCGCGCGCGCGTCTGCTCCGCGTGTTGGTGGCTGTGGCCATGGCTCTGTGCCCACCAGCATCTCCCTCCTGAGATGCCGGCCTCTCATGCTCCCGGAGCGTCCGCCAACCCCCCGTGTCACCTCCCTTCTGTTATCGCTGACAGCTTTCTTGCGTCTCATTTGTCGCCGAGCCCCGAGCGCACGGTGATGCTCGGGTCTGCCCCCGACCCCCTGCCACAGGCCGGAAGCCGCAGGGGGCACCGTGGGGAAGCTAACCCGGCCCCTTCCCCCAGGAGTCACTGTGCCAGCCCCACCACATCCTGGAAGAGGAGGGGGCCCCGGGAAGGGGCCTCCCCTACATCGCTGCTGTCGTCCACGCCCTGCTGGACCGGCCTTAGGGGTGAAGGTGGGGGCACAGGGCCCACCCCGCCCGGGACCCCGGGAGCAGAAGACGCGCCTGGGCTCCGCGCTCTCAGAGAAGCACGTGGTGAGGGTGGCCTGGGCCTGGGCACCCTTGGCCTGCCGGCCTGGCTGCCTCTGGGGTCGAGGGTCTGGGTGGAAGGACCGCGGGTGTCGCAGGTGTCGTGTCAGCCGCAATAAACAGAAGCCAGAAGCCCTCTGGGTGGCCCTCAGGTGTAACTGTGTCTGAGAGCACGTGCGTCGCGGGGTTGTTGGGGGGGCCTCTGTTTCCGGAATTCACCGCCCAGTCGCCAGGGGGCGCCCGCGGGAGCCCGGCGGGGGCACGCGCCACGTGGCCGGGAGACGCACAGGGCGCCAGCGTCGCCGCGAGGCCTCTGGGGTGGGTTCGCCAGGAGGGCACGTTCGCGCCGCGCCGCGGAGGGAGGCTGAGAGGGCCGGGCCGGGCGGCGGGGACACGGCGGTACCGTCCTGCGCTCGGGAACGCGGAATGTTGCCCTGGTCGCCGCCGCGGTGGGGCGCGGGCCCGGAGGAGGCGCCCGAGGGACCAGGCCTTCCGGCGGGCAAGGACCAGGGCGAGCCCTGGAGCGCCGGAGCGGACGCCCCCAGGGAGCTGGGGACACCCCCATGGGACAGGTGAGGGGCTCGGACGGAGCCGTGGGGGGACAGCGACTGGGGGCCTCCATGCCTTCACCACGCGCTCTACGGAGGCTTCTCCATTGTCCCTGCTGGAGATTGGGTCCCTCGGTCTCCCTTGCACCAGGCACCCTTGGGCTCCAGGGGAGGGTGCGTGGGGGCGGTGTGGCTGCAGCCTCAGTCCCTGCCCCTCCAGCCCACAGCCCCCATCCCGTAGCCCTTCCTGGATCTGGAGAGAGCAGCTGCTGCTGCCCCACCACCTGCCAGGCCCGGCCACTGAGCAGCCCCCCGGAGCCCCAGGTAGGACAGGCCCTGCTGCCTCTACTACCCCTAAGAGCCTCTCACTGACTGTGAGCCTGTTATAATCCCCAAGCGTCCCCCCAGATCCCCGTTCCCCCCAGGTGGCCTGGGAGGTGGCCCCCTCGAGGATGACTCCACTAGCGCCCTGGGACCCCAAGTATGAAGCCAAAGCAGGACCTCGGCCGGTGTGGGTGAGTTGGGGGCAAACCTGTGGGACTGGCTGGGGTGCTCAGGGAGCTGTGCGGTGGCCTGAGGCTCCAGTGCTCTGTCCTCCTCACCCTAGGGGGCCAACTGTAGCTCAGGAGCCTCGTTCTCAGGCCGGACGCTGTGTCACCCCTCATTCTGGCCGCTGTATGAAGCAGCCTCGGGCAGGGGTCTCAGGCCCGTGGCCCCTGCCACAGGGCACTGGAATGGACAGCAGGCGCCCCCAGATGCAGGTACCTCCCTTGGTCCCCCGGGGGCGCAAGGCTGCCCCAACTCCTCTGGGAACCAGTGCCCAGGGGTGGGAGCCCGCAGCCCGCCACCCTAGTGGTGTTTCCTCCTAGGGTTCCCGGTGGTGTGCTGTGAAGATGTCTTCCTCTCGGACCCTCTGCTGCCCCGGGGGCAGCGTGTTCCCCTGTACCTGTCCAAGGCCCCCCAGCAGGTGAGAGCTCTTTCCCCTCCCTGTCCTTACCCCAGCCTCCAGGCTTGCCTGGCAGGAAACACATTCCATTCTCTCTCCTCAGATGATGGGCTCCCTGAAACTGCTGCCGCCGCCCCCCATCATGTCTGCCAGGGTGCTCCCCCGCCCATCACCCTCCCGGGGCCCCTCCACTGCCTGGCTCAGCGGGCCGGAGCTGATCGCTCTCACTGGCCTGCTGCAGATGAGCCAGGGGGAGCCTAGGCCCAGCTCCTCCGCGGTTGGCCCCCCAGACCATACCTCTGACCCACCCAGCCCCTGTGGTAGCCCCAGCAGTTCTCAGGGTGCTGACCTCTCTCTCCCACAGACCCCAGACACCCATTGTCCATAGCCTTCTCAGGGCAGAGTGGGCTGGTTGTGTTGACAATAAAACAGTGTTGGTTTGCAAAACAGGCTCCGTGTGGCTGGGAGCAGAGTAAGTCATAGAGGCAGGAATGGGGTCTCTTTCTGTCTCACTGCAGATCACCCCCTGCTGTGTTAGGCGGAGGGCGAGGGTATCCATGACCTAAGGCATTTCTGGGCTGACTGGGCAGAGCCCCTTTAATGAGTGGGTGGGTGGTCTGCATGGCAGTGCAGGGCTGAATGTATAGGAAGCAGGCGGGGGAGTAAGTAGGGGCACCTCACTTTTAGGGGACACTAGCCCCACACCTCTTGTGCTGGGGCTCCAGGAGTTCAGTTCTGGGCTGGGTGGGGTAGTTGTCTGGCTCAGAGGAGACACAAAGAATGCACTGCAGGTGTGTGGGGGAGGGTGCCGGTCCATGTAAATGTCACCACTGGCAGAAAGGTGGCCCTGCCGCAGCCTACCTGAGACTCTAGAGATTCTTGCACGAACTCTGTAGAGAAACAGGATCAGGGTTTCAGCTGAGAAAGCCCAGAAGTGTGTAGTCTCGGTGGTTTGGGCGGGGATAGGTTCTAGAATTTTCTCCCATAAAATAGCCCAACTTCTTGGAGAACCTTCTACTCAAGACTTAGGTGCCACAGCTGGAAGGGACACAGGGGGCAGGACCCCAGCTTGTTGCCCTGCAGGTCACTTGTCCGAGGTGGCATCTGGGCCTTAAAGCCCCTCACACGGTGGGGAGTTAGGAGGCAGGGCGGGGGCGTTACAATGCCATTCCCTCCAGTCCCTCCCTCAACCACCCCCCCATCAGTCAGCAGGAGAGAGCTGCCTGGGTCTCAGGTCTCCTCACCGCATAGCTATGTGGGCGGAGCGTGTGGGCCCTGGGGACGTCACCAAGTGCCCCCAGAGAAAGGACCAGGTCCAGATCGACGTAGCTGAGGCAGCTCGTCAGGGGCTCTGGCCTGGCGGTGCCGGTTCCGAGGCTCTCTGGGGCCGATAACTTGGTGCACACTTCACTCCCTAGCCAGCTCTGAGGGGGGCAGGAGCAGCGCTGAGTCCCTACCCATCCCCAGCCAGCCCCCACATCGCGATGGGCACTCCTGGGCCTGTGTCCAGGCTCCTGAACCCAGACTTGTAGGAATGGGCTCATAGTCACTCCCTGCTCCCTTGGTTATGTAGCCCCCACCCAGCCCCTTAGGGTAGAAGGCTGCTGTCCCCAGCCTCGCCAAGGTCTTAAGGGCTGCTTGCTCGATCCCCTCTCCCAGACACCCTGGACGGCTCAGGCCACTTGACTGGTCCGCAGAAGCTGGGGTCTCAGGGATGGGGAACAGGGAGTCTGAAGGTGCTCATAGGAGGGTCCCTGAGCACCTGGGCCTCGTCATTGTGCCTGGAGAACTCTTTTTTTTTTTTTTTTTTTTTTTTTTTTTTTTTTTTTTTGAGACAGAGTCTAGCTCTGTTACCTAGGAGTGCAGTGGTTGATCTTGGCTCACTGCAACCTCCGCTTCCCCGGTTCAAGCGATTCTCCTGCCTCAGTCTCCTGAGTAGCTGGGATTACAGGCATGTGCCACCACGCCCGGCTAATTTTTGTATTTTTAGTAGAGATGGGGTTTCACCATGTTGGCCAGGCTGGTCTCGAACTCCTGACCTCAGGTGATACGCCCGCGTTGGCCTCCCAAACTAATGGGATTATAGGCGTGAGCCACCGGGCCGGGCCTGTGCCCGGAGAACTCTAAACCTGCCCCTTTAATGTTTGAACTTTCGGCGACCTGGGGGAGGGGCGAGCCACGGAGAAACCACAGCCAGAAGCCCCCGAGGCCCCCGGAAGCCCGGGGCTCGGGCCTCACCGGCATCACCGCGCTCCTCGAGCAGGGTGTTGTATCACGCCTGCTGCTCCGCCTCGCCTGCCGCCGCCACGCGCAGGCTGCTGTCGCGGGTGTAGAGGACGATCAGGTGGTGCTGGCGCGCATCTGCGCACTTGCTGGTGGTGCACGCACCCGCCAGGCTCAGGCTGCGCTGGAGCCGCGCTCGGCACGCGCGAAACTTCTGCTCGCTCTCGGAACACTCGGGACGCGGCGGGTCTGCGCGCAGGTGGCCGCAGAACCGCACGTCGGCAGGGCAGGCCCAGGGCAGCGGCTGGCTGAGGGGCACGGCGGCCATTCCCGGCTCTCCCCGGGGCCGCCGCCTGCGGGCTTCATTCAGGGGCGAAGGCAATAAAGTGGCTGCAGAAGAGGCAGAGACGGCTGGGTCTCGTGTCTTGAGCACGGGGAGAGGCCAGCAGGGGTGGGGGTGAGGTGGCGAACTCGGCGGGCCGGGAGCAGCGGCCGGGCAGGCTGCCACCCGTCTTGATGCCCAGCGTCTCTCCCGGGCTCCCGACTGGAAGTTTGGGGCAAGGACTCTGCGCACAGCGAGTGTCCCGGTGACTGTTGCCCCTGGCCTGGGCTCCCCACTACCTCCCTCCCTCCGCCGACCGCTCCGGAACCCCCACCCCACGAGACTAATCCTCACGTCGCCCAGGAACTGGAGTTTGAGTAGGGAAGTCCAAGAGAGGCGGCCTCGACCCCAAGACTGAGCCTTTATAGGGGCAGAGAGCGTGGGGGCGTCTCTACCGATCAGCTGACTGCGGTCCGGACACGTCGTCGGGGCAACCGAGAAAGCCTCGGTGTGAGGCCAGTGATCGGACTTGTGGCAGCGGTGGTGGCGCTGGCGATTAGAGGGCTTTGGAACGGGGCCTCCATGCACCCTGCTGGCTCCTGCCACGCCCCGCTCGGCCTGTAGGTGTCCTTCCTGTGTGTACCCCCTTCCCATCCAGGAGTGGTTTTGTGCCCTTCCAAGTAACCAAAGGAGCCACCGCCACTGAGCACTGCGCTGGATTATTTCTGAGCTGGAGATTGAGTTTCTTGAAAGTTTGGGGTGATAGGAGGTGACTTGGGCTAAGTAAGCTCAGGGGGTAGTCCCTGTGCACAGACCATACCCGCTGGAACCCAGTCAAGTGGCCACTGAAGGAGACCTCGGAGGAAGAGGCCATCTCTCAGGAAGACCCCTTCGGGCTGCCCCATTGCTCTGGGCCCCTCCTTGCCACCACTGCCCAAAAATACTACCCCGGGACCACCTGAAGGCTCTGACCATGGACGTGTGGACTTCCTCATGGAGGTACCCTTTGCTTCTTGAAAAAATTGCGATTGGGCTGGGGACTGGACATTTTTGCACTCAGTTCTGATCCAAGGACCACTGACCCCCTCCAAGGGGATGGGGGTGAAGGTGCACCAGACAAACCAGCAGGTGACACCTGGTGGGACCTTAGAGGACCCTGAGATATCACCCAAGGCAAGTAAGGTGCCTAAAGGGGAAAGCCGAGGGTCAGGGAGGAGAGGCCAACATGCAGCCCCCATAAAGATGGCATTCAGGGAGGAGCTCCCTCAGGGAAGGAACAAGATATGACAAAGACAGAACAAGAGAACAGATGCAAGGACCCAAACCTAGCCCAAGGGCCAGGGCAGCCTGAGCAGGGTGGGCAGGGCTTCCCGCCACACTTCCTGCTTCCTGGGGAAGGGGCCCCACGTGAGTGGGAATATGGGAGGCAAGTGCTGTGTGCATGGAGCTGGGGTCCTCACACACCTATTCCAAGGTCACATTGAGAGGGAGATGCAGGGAACCAACCAGCACCCAGCCAGCAGGCAGGTGGGACCCAGGGCCTGCTCCAGGTGACCTCTGGTAAGCCAAAGCCCCACTGGGGTGCAGGAGAGGCTCGAAGCACAGGTGGTGTGGTGTGGGGCGGGGGGGCCGTGGGGCGGGGCTCGGCAACTGCCCAGTGTTGGGTGTTGGCCACAGAGGCAATGGCTCCGTAAGTGGCCAACAAAACCGGACTGTGTTCAAGGCCATAGCCCCACGTGGCCAAGGGCCTTGATACAGGCACCATGTGCAAAGGGGCAGGGACACAAAGGACATGTGCACACCCCTCCCCCTCCCAGTCCTGCTGCTGCCTCAAAGAGGCCACCAAAGGGCCCCTGTCCCTGCTGCACTCCGGGCCCAGGAGTCTTTTTTACTCCCTGAGGCTTGAAGATACCTGAGGAAGATCTCTTTATTCCTTCCCCTTCCCACTCCCCATCAACCAGGTCCCCCTGCAGCACCCTTCCTTGTGAAATCACAGCTGCTATGACAGTGACCAGCTCCAAACCACCCTGTGTCACTGAACCTTGGGTGCTGGGTGACACATGGGCAGGAAAGGCAGGAAGAGCAGGGATCTGAGGGCCTGGGGGCTGGGCAAGCCTCAGGGGTGGGGTGGGTGCTGATC
This sequence comes from Homo sapiens, assembly GCF_000001405.40. NCBI lineage: Eukaryota > Metazoa > Chordata > Mammalia > Primates > Hominidae > Homo > Homo sapiens. Next base: position 100,567,989 of record NC_000007.14, on the reverse strand, counting down.
AATGCCAGGTGATCAATGCCAGGTGATTGGACCCACTGAGTACCAGGACAAACCTGGAGTCACGCAACTGGCCTACATCAGTTGCCTTGGCAACACACTGCCCTTGACCCTACCCGGAAAAGATTTATTTCAGCCGGTAGCCCTGGTAACTTGAGTGGCTCCCCAGGGACAGGAAGTGGCAGAACCTCAACTCTGCCTCTCCTGACCTGAGGGGTTCACTTTTCATCCCTGTCAGGGACGGGGCACTGCGTTCTCAGCCCCTATGGAAGAATGTTATGGGTTTGGGGGAATCCACGGGGAGGAGACTAGGCTGTTCCAGCGTGCCCCTCCTTCCTCAGCCTGAGGCCTTGCTCCTCTGTGGAAGGCAACACAGGGACAGAGCCACACATTCAGCCCCTACCCTCAGCCCTGCTCCCATCCCCTGGCCCACAGGTCTGACCCGCAAGCTCCGATGTGGAGACACTTGGTGGCTGACTCCTGCTTCCTCACACATGGGGATGGCCCACAGGTGACCGACTGGCTGAATGCTGGGGCCATGCTAGAGGACTGCTGTCTGCAGAGCATGGTCCCTGCATTGGCCAGAAGTTGGTGTGAGCCCAGGTGAGTCACTCTAGCCCCGTGGTGTGTGTGGTGGGTTTGAATCTGCAGCTACCAGGCAATGTTTTCTCCATTTCCTCTCAAGCCAGGCCTTTCTCCATTCTTTGCTACTCTCCAGGAGAGGCGGCTCACTGGAGGGCTGGAGCCTGAGCTGCTGGAGCTGTCCCCGGCCAAGGAGAGCAGCTCCTAGTGTCAGCCTGTGCCCAGGGAACCCTGGGGCCCGAGGCTGACCTGGCGTTAACTTCTTACTGCTCATCCAGCTCTCACCAGCCAGCAGGCTGGAGTCCTTGTGGGCTGGAGGGGAGGGAGTCTGCAGGGAGGACCCGGGCCTGGACCCAGATAGTGAGGAGATGCCGGGAGACAGCACAGGGTGACAGAAGCAGGAGAAAGCCCTTCGGTTTAGCCTCAGTTCCAAACCTCGGCGCTCCTGGCATTAAGGGAAGGGTGATGGAAGCTGGGGGGAAATAACAGAAAGGCTCCTCCCCCTAATACACCATAACAGATTCCAGCTTCCCTCCCTCCGGCTCTAAGCAGAAAGGAAAGAACTGGTAAGAGAATTAGGTAGAGGGACACAGAGATAATCTAGGGTGGCGAAGAGGGGAGAAAGAGAAGAGATGGAACATGCAAAGGCCAGGAGCGAAGCGGGAGACCACCCAGGAGACAGAAGGAGGGCAGAGGCTGGGAGAAGAACAGGAACAGACAGGATGGGGTCCTGATTGTTGGAAAAGACAGGGAGGCCAATCCCAGCCTTGCAAATAGCAGCAGCTAGAGGTTATTTCCAGAAAAATCTGCAAAGTAAATACACTGATCACCCAACTCCCATATCTCTTTGCTGCTCTCTGTGGAAGACTCAGACAAACCCCAAGAATGAATGGCCACGGGGCCAGGGCAATGGTGGAAAGGGAGGGGCCTCACCTGGCCTTGGGCCAAACAGCAAGGTGGCCTCTGCCCAGCCAGGTGAGGTGTTTGCCACCCACCCCCTGACCAGGTCTGTCTTGTCACCACACAAATAGCCCAGACACCACAGCTGGATGTTGTCACAACATCCCCAGGTGGAAAGAGCCTGGGGCAGAGAATGTTCCAGACCCAGGAGGGGTCTACTTCCAGCACCACATTGGCACCAACCTCCTTTGCCCACCCTGGCCCCAGTGGGCATTCCCCTCACATCCAACAAACTCCAGTCCCCGGCAGTGGTGGCTCCTCTCCCGCCACGCTTCTTCTCATTGCTAATGCGGGACTCTTGTTCAGACAGGGACGGGCTCTGCCCTGTCTCTGGCCAATGGCAGCATTATCACTGGCCCAGGCAGTCCAGCCCAGCAGAGCCAGGTCAAGGATCAGTCATGTTGACTGACCTGCAACCCCTCAAAGTGGCCTGAAGCAAAACCACAGGCGCCGTTTTCTCTTTCGTTCAAATGCAGTTCTTTTCCAACATTGCCTGCAATGAGCTTTGGTGCAGAGATTTGGGGACAGGGAGGCACATGGAGAAAAAAAAAAAAAAAAAAAGACCAGGCAATTGCACAAAGCCTTTCCCTGGAAAACCCAGGCTCTGGGGATGGTGGGGGTCAGGACACATGGCTGCCCCCCCTCCAGCCCTGGAGCTCCGGCTTTGATGGTCGAGGCACAGATGGGGATTCATCCCATTCCCCACATACGAGAGCAGTCTGGGAGCGGGAGATCGGCTGGGTGTGTGTATATATGTATGTATGTGCATATAGATAGATCTATTTATATATAATAGGCTATATTAGAAAATCCTCTCTATGTATAAATATAAAACACTGGTATCCAAACATGACACCAACAGCTAACTAAAGTGCTTGACAGGAGCCGGGCCCGGGTAAGCTCGATGGTAAACCGCTCATCCTGGGCGCTGGGGAAGCAAAACAATGGGGGACCCCTTCAGCAGGGGGTGCTGCAGGAGGAAAGTGTGTGCTGGCCAAGCTGGGCCACCAAGAGCACTTGGGCCACCTGGGCCTTCTGGGTCTCAGGACTGTCTGGTCACTGCCCCATCAACACTGTGCCTCATCTTTCCCCTACCTTCCCCACTGCGCTCCCGTCCATGAGGAGCACAGCGCTGGCGAGCTAGGCCCAGGGAAGAGCTGTTCCACAGGGGACTGATCATTTGAAAAAAATCCCTCCCCCTCAACCATCACTCCTCCAGGTCAGGCCCTGCCCGCACTCCTCCTGGGCTTCCTGCCTGGGTGGGGGTGGGACGAGGGAGGGGAGAGAGGCTTTGTGGAATCTGAGGGCAGCCACCTTTCACCTGTAGGCCCCAAGCAAAGCATTAGCACCTCCACCATCCCCAAGGCCCATAGAAATGCCCACAGGCAAGTGGTCACCAGAGCTCTAGGGAGCAGAGGGGCCCCAGAAGGCAGGGAAGAGGCCCCCCAAAAACACAGTGCTACAAGAAGGGGTTGGTGGTTGGAGGTTTGGAGGCGAATGGGCTTGATGAGGGTCCAGTCTGGAAAGAAAGAACAATACATTTTCCAGTTAGGGGAGAGGAACTGGAAGCTTAGAAGAAAGGCAGCCAGGAGTCCTTTCTCCTGAAAAATCGCTATGCTGAGGGCAGTGGGAAAGTGAGGGAGAAAAGGCCAGGCACGGTAGCTCATGCCTGTAATCCCAGCCCTTTGGCAGGCCAAGGTGGGCTGATCACCTGAGGTCAGGAGTTCAAGACCAGCCTGGCCAACACGGGAAAACCCTATCTCTACTAAAAATACAAAAATTAGCCATGTGCGGTGGTGCACACCTGTAGTCCCTGCTACTTGGGAGGCTGAGGCAGGAGAATTGCTTGAACTCAGGAGGTAGAGGTTGCGGTGAGCTGAGATTGGGCCTGGGAGACAGAGTGAGGCTGTCTCAAAAAAAAAAAAAAAAGGAAAGTGAGGGAGAAGGGAGCCAAGGGCAGGGCTGGAACAGCATGGGAGATGCCAGTGCCCAGAAGAGCTGAGGCCCAAGCTCAGCCCTGGCTTGGACAACGCAGACCTTCACGAGGAAGGGGCACAGGGGCCACCTCACATCAGCCTCTTCTGGAAGGATTGTCCCAGAGGGAAAGCCCACGAGCCCTACCACAGCACCCCTGCTGGCACACTCACCATGAAGGGGTTGGTGGAGATCCCAGCTGGCTGGCTCAGTGGCCTCTGCCCCAACTTGGCTGATCCTAAGTCCCCGAAGGAAGAGCCTAGGGGGCGAGAGCAGTCACTCAGCTGACACCAGCCTGCCTTCCTGCAGGCGGACAGCAAGGGGGGCCCTCCTAAACTGGGGGAGTAAGGGAACAGAGCAGTGGAAGTACCCGGGCGGGTCTGGTGCTTCCCTGGTCCCCCCTGCTGGTCAGAAAGGGCACTGCATGGGCTCTGATGAGGTCGGAGGAACAACTAACTGATCTCTATGCAGAGATGGGATGGGGTGAAAGGGTTTGTCCATCTACAGCTCTTACCATTCTGCTGCTGAACAAGCGGGGTCTGCGGGGGGAACAGCGGTGCTGGGAAGGAGCTGGCAAAGGCCCCAGTGGGTGGCACTGCCTGGGGGAAGCCAGGCCCAGCACTGCTCATCCCAAAGCCGGGCCCTATGGAGTGAAAGACGGGAGGCTCAGGTGAACTTCTGGAAGGTGGGCTGGAGAACTGTTTTTCCTAAGTCCCTCCAAGATGGGAAAATGGGATATAGTTTTTTCCTGACATGAGGAACGAGGGACCCAGCCATGGAACTCTTCTGCTTCTCACACCACCAAACAACCCTGCCCTCTCCCTGCCCGGGGGTACGTGGCAGGGAGGGCATGGTAGTTCCAGGCACGGGCGCGGTGCAGGACTGGGCTAGCCTCCCACTAAACTGCAAAAACAGCACAAACTTCTAACGCTGTCTGTGCTTCAGTTCTCATCTCTAAAATGGGGACAGTCCGTCTCATAGGGCTACTGTGAAGATCAAATCAGGGCCACGAAGCCCTCAGCACTGGGCCCACCACACAGCTCTTCTGTGTTTGCTCTTATTCCTCTCTCCCCAGCCTCAAGGCTTCAGCCAGCATGAGTCTGAGGGGAGAGCAGCAGAGGCTGGGGAGGGCCAGGGTGAGAGAAGACAACAGGCCTGGAGTTGATGGAAGCAGGGAACAGCGTGAGTGTTTCAGGTGGCTTAAGCTTCGGGACACAGAAGGGACTGGGGCTGGGTGCCCAAAGGGACACTGCTGAGGGCTGGAGACAGGAGAATCGCTGCCACTGTCAGTCAACTCTAAAACAGTCTTCAGTGCGGTCTCCGGTAAGTAGCCACCTGTGTGCTTCTAATTCTAAAATCTGGCTCTGTGACCTGGGTGCTAGGTGGCCTGGCACCGTGTGGGCAGGGGAAGAACCAGGCTGTCTGCTTCTCCTGACAGCGTGAGACAAAGGGTTAAGGGAGAGGCTGCAGGGTAATGTGTGCCTTGGAAGTCTCAGATGGTCAGGACAAGGGACCATGCTGGAGGCTTACCTGGCGCCAAGCCATTGGGCTGGAACGGGTTGGTGGAAGGCAGCGGGGACTGGGCGGCGGGAGCTGTGAAAGGGTTAGTGAAGGCTGCCCAGGTGGAATGGGGAGCGGCAGGAAAGAGAGAGATGGTTACTTTTTTTCTCACGTGCTTCATCCTGTGATGCCTGAGCATTCCTCTCAATCTCTCCCCTTCCCACCCTGTCCAGAGTCCTTAGACTCCTCCTGGCCTCAGGTCCCCTCCCCTGGGTCTCCACAGGCAGGACTCACCTCCAAAGGCCAGCCCTGTGCTGCTGCCGCCGCCGCCGCCCATCGTGACAGACTGGAGCGGGGGGACCTGGCCAGCCATCCCGAAGAGGCTACAACACGGGGAGAGAGAAGTCATACACAGCTGCCAGGGCCAATCAAACCTGAGCAAGGGGCCAGGAGATGCCAACCCTGCTCTCCAGGGTGAGTAAGGGAGAGGAGGGGAGGGGAGAACTGCCAGGAGATGCCGATGGGGCTGGGAGGAACATGGCCAGGCTTCGGGCGGCTCTCCTGCCCTACAGCAGACTGCCCACTGTCTGTACCTACCTGCTAGGAACACCTGCAGCGGGCACCCCGGGTCCCAGGAAGCTGCCCACGTCTGCGAGGCTGTTTGGCTGACTGGCGGGTGCCAGGGGAGTGGCACCAAATGGAGTCCCCTGGCTGCTCCCTGGGCAGTTGTGGAAAATACAACAGGGAGAGCTGAGGTAAGACAGGGCGGGAGGGGCAGGAGAGCAGATGGAGGTGGTGGTGGTGATGGATTGGAGTCATGGCATGACAGGTGCCTGCTGGGTTCTCTGAGGCAGCCCATTTTCTCAGGGACCACCCAGTTCAGGAGGTCTTGTCTCCCACCAAGAGTTCTGGGCAAGGTGACAGCCCAGCCCTTCTCCGTGTCCCCTGCGCTCAAAGCTGCGCTGCGGAGAGGAAAGCAGCTCGTCCCCAGGTCAGGCTGTCCTCCTCCTGCTCCAGTTTGGCTTTCATGTCTCACTTTTCCCTCAAGAGATGGAAAAGCCTGTCCTTTCCTCAAGCCCGCATTTCCATTTATCAGAACATGGCAGGGAGGGGCAGGCAGAGGCACCATGGAGGACAGCAAGTCCCATCACACTCAGGAGGCTCCTGGCCTGTGCAGCCTCCAGCTATCAGCACTGTCCCTTCCCCATTTAGCCGCTGCTTCTCGGGAGGCCGCCCCAGTGCCCTGAGCCTGGAGGCACTGTTCATGGGGCCAGCCCCGCTGCGGGGTTCTCCTGCCCTGCCTCTTCTTCAGAGCCAAAAAGAAAAAGCACAGAGGGCAAGGCCCACATGGAAATCTTACAAAACAGCTGAGGGCCAAGAGTCCTGGAAATTCCAAGCAATCTTGTCTCAGGGGAAGAGGCTGAGTCCCTGTCATTTTAAGAAAGCCTCCTGTCTGCACATCAAAGTCTCGTCTCTATCTTGGGACCCTATCGACCACACTGGGCTGCTGTGAATGTAAAAGGAGGGTCCAGATGGAAAGAGGCTTTATTGACAGGACGCGGCAGTTCATGCCTGTAATCCCAATACTTTCAGAGGCCAAGGCGAGCAGATTACTTGAGGTCAGGAGTTCGAGACCACCCTTGCCAACATGGTGAAACCCTGTCTCTACTAAAAATACAAAAATTAGCCAGGCATGGTGGCAGGTGCTTGTAATCCCAGCTACTTCGGAGGCTGAAGCAGGAGAATCACTTGAACCCGGGAAGTGGAGGTTGCAGTGAGCTAGGATCACACCATTGCACTCCAGCCTGGGCAATAAGAGCGAAACTCCGTCTCAAAAAAAAAAAAAAAAGGGAGATCTGGCCAGGTGTGGTGGCTCATGCCTGTAATCCTAGCACTTTGGGAGGCCGAGGAGGGCGGATCACGAGGTCAGGAGATCAAGACCAACCTGGCTGACACGGTGAAACCCCGTCTCTACTAAAAATACAAAAAAAAAAAAAATTAGCCAGGCATGGTGGCGGGTGCCTGTAGTTCCAACTACTCAGGAGGCTGAGGCAGGAGAATGGCGTGAACCCGGGAGGTGGAGTTTGCAGTGAGCCGAGATCATATCACTGCACTCCAGCCTGGGCGACAGAGTGAGACTCCGTCTCAAAAAAAAAAAAAAAAAAAAAGGGAGATCTTCCACATGCCAGGCACTATGCATAAATAACAGCGACCCGGGCCCTAAATGGGTGAAGCTGAGAATCTAGTAGGGAAGACGAAGTGCCCAGTGCCTACCTGCTGCCAGGTCCTGAAGCCCCGCTCCCTCTCACTGAGTGTCGGCACTTGTAAGACAGTGCTCTCCTTTGCCACCTCCTTCCTAAATGCCTGGGCTTTCTAGATGAATGAGTGCTGGCTGCCAGCTTCCTCCTGGGCAAGGCTACAATGCCACTGTGCTTACTTGGTCATCAATCCTTTCTAATCCACAGGATGCAAGACAGGCTAGAAAGCCACCTGGGTGGGGCCAGGCCCAGTGGCTCACACCTGTAATCCCAGCACTTTGGGAGGCTGAGGCAAGCAGATCGCTTGAGGTCAGGAGTTTAAGACAAGCCTGGCCAACATGGCAAAACCCTGTCTCTACTAAAAGCACAAAAATAAGCTGGGCGTGGTGGTGCATACCTGTAATCCCAACTACACGGGAGGCTGAGGCACCAGAATCACTTGAACCTGGAAGAGGAAGATTGCAGTGAGCCAAGATTGAGCCACTGCACTCCAGCCTGGGCGACAGGGCAAGACTGTTTCCAAAAAAAAAAAAAAGCCAGCAGCATGGTGTTGGATCCTCTACTGACTCTCCCAGCCGAGGCCTTTCCCTGCCTGCCTGCCTCCAAGTACAGTATGTGGAATTTCCACGCAAGCACGGCTCCCTTTCCTCGGATGGCTGACTCTTTGTGCTGCTGTGGTCCTGCATGTTCCAGGAGCTTCACCCAGTGAGGACCAGGCTGGGAGAGAGGCTGCAGGCCATGCTGTGCCTCCCTGTGGACACTAGGGGGCAGAACCATCCCTAGCCCAGGCAGGGTTGGCCCTTTGCACAGAGGGTGCATTCTCACAAAGGAGGCGGTGGCCCAAGAAACACCTGCACTCCTGTTTGCTTTTCATTTCATGCACTTTTTTTTTTTTTTTTTGAGACAGGGTCTCATTCCAATTGCCCAGGCTGGAGTGCAGTGGCATGATCTCAGCTCACTGCAGCCTCGACCTTCAGGGCTCAGCTGATTCTCCCACCTTAGCCTCCTGAGTAGCTGGGACTACAGGCACGCACCACTATGGCCAGCTAATTATTTGTATTTTTGGTAGAAATGAAGTTTTGCCATGTTGCCCAGGCTGGTCTCAAACTCCTGAGCTCAGGTGATCTGCCCACCTCAGCCTCCCCAAGTGATGGGATTACAGGCATGAGCCACCACACCCGGCCTTCATGCGCTTCTTATACCACGCAGCTAGATTTCTACCCTGCCTTATCACAGTTTGAGGGAGAGAAGCAGTTTTGAAAACCCCTCTCTCCATACTCCCCCTCAGAAATATAAAAATAAAAGCAGGTTTGTCAGAAGAGACACCCACCTCTCAAAATCTCCTCTCTCAGTTCACACCCAACAGCTAAGTCACACTCACGGGAACACCTGCATGATCATGGTGTAGTGGGAAGCGGTTCTGCCAATTATCAGCATTAGATCTGGGCCAAGTTGAGCCAGTTTCCTGCAAAGGGAAGCTCTTTCCTTCCTCATGGACATAATGCATGAAGGCACCCAACAATGGCAGGATCCTCGGAAATGTTCCTTGGCTCTGGGTTTGGCTGTAGATTGACTGTTTTTGTTTTGTTTGAGACAGAGTCTTGCTCTGTCACCCAGAGTGCAGTGGCGCAATCTCAGCTCACTGCTACCTCAGCCTCCCGGGTTCAAGCAATCTTCCTGCCTCAGCCTCCCCAGTAGCTGGGACTACAGTCACGCACCACCATGCCTGGCTAATTTTTGTATTTTGGTAGAGAGGGGTTTCACCATGTAGGCCAGGCTGGTTTCAAACTTCTGACCTCAAATGATGCACCCCACTCAGCCTCCCAAAGTGCCGGGATTACAGGTATGAGCCACTGCGCCCAGTGACTGACTGCTTTTTGAGACAGCCAGATAGTGGACAAAAGGTTTAATGCTTGGGACATCCGTGGAGCTGAGCCCTTCCTTCTCTCTGAGTCTGCCCCAAAAACTGTCTTTACGGTGAAACCCTGTCTCTACTAAAAATACAAAAAATTAGCCAGGTGTGGTGGCGGGTGCCTGTGGCCCCAGCTACTCAGGAGGCTGAGGCAGGAGAATAGCGTGAACCCGAGAGGCGGAGTTTGCAGTGAGCCGAGATTGTGCCACTACACCCCAGCCTGGGTGACAGAGTGAGACTCCGTCTAAAAAAAAAAAAAAACAAAAACAAAAACAAAAAAAACTCTGTCTTTAGAGCAATCAATTGTACTGGGAAGGCATTTCAGAAGGGACGCATCTATAACAACTTTATATAGGCTGTTTCCTCGAGTGCTCCCATTCCTAGGAGCACACCTTTCTTACTAAATCGAATATTCCTGCACCAATGTACAATTCCTGCCAACAGCGCACAAGAAGGTCATTTTCCCCCACATAATACTGGCCATTATCAATCTAAAAATTTTGCCAACATGATGTGCAAAACTATCTTATCCTAGTTTGCATTTCTCTGATTAATTAGGTTGAGGATATTTTCTTTTGTTTTTTTGTTTTTCGAGACAAAGTCTCGCTCTTGTCGCCCAGGCTGGAGCGCAACAGCACGATGTCTGCTCACTGCAACCTCCGCCTCCCGGGTTCAAGTGATTCTCCTGCCTCAGCCTCCCAAGTAGCTGCTATTACAGGCGCCTGCCACCATGCCCGGCTAATATTTGTATTTTTAGCAGAGACAGGGTTTCACCATATCGGCAAGGCTGGTCTTGAACTCCTGACCTCAGGTGATCCACCTGCCTCAGCTTCCCAAACTGCTGGGATTATAGGCATGAGCCACCGCGCCTGGCCTATTTTCATATTTTTTTTTCTGGGTGTTACCTGCTTATATGTCTTGTCCATTATTATATTTTCATATTCACAGGAATTTTAAAAATACTTTATGGATACTAATTTCCATCTGTTTTCCATGTTGTATCTTCTCTCCATCTGTTTCATACCTTTAAGCTTTGTTTGTGTCATCTTTTATCATACAGAATGTGACCTATGGCCAGGCATAGTGGCCCATGCCTATAATCCCAGAACTTTGGGAGGCCAAGGCAGGCGGATCACTTGAGGTCAGGAGATTGAGACCGGCCTAGCCAACATGGTGAAACCCCGTCTCTACTAAAAATACAAAAATTAGCCGGGCATGGTGGCATGCGCCTGTAATCCTGCTACTCAGGAGGCTGAGGCAGGAGAATCGCTTGAATGAGATCACGCCATTGCACTCCAGCCTGGGCAGCAGAGTAAGACTCTGTCTCAAAAAACACACAAACAACAAAACAACAACAAAAACCAAAATGTGACCTATGTGATTTGTCTTTGTTAGAATTTATGGAGATTTTGTTTCCTATAGTTTATTTCTTACTTGTCTATTAGTCATGTGGGAAAGCATATTATAGTCTCCTAGTCCTTTGGCTTATTAAATTCTGATTGTGTCTAATAGTTTTTGCTTCGTGAATCTCATGGGTATGCGGTCAGTTATTTTAAGTACATGATTTTGAGAACCTCTTTGTGAATTTTAACTTTTTTTTTTTTTTTTGAGACAAGAGTCTTACTCTGTCACTCAGGCTGGAGTGCAGTGGCAGGATCTCGGCTCGCTGCAGCCTCTGTCTCCCAGGTTCAAGTGATTCTCCTGCCTCAGTCCCCTGAGTAGCTGGGATTACAGGTGCCTGCCACCATGCCCAGCTAATTTTTGTATTTTGAGTAGAGACGGTGTTTCACCATGTTGGCCAGGCTTATGTCAAACTCCTGACCTCAGGTGATCTGCCCACCTGGGCCTCCCAAAGTGCTGGCATCACAGATGTGAGCCACCACGCCCAGCCAACTTTTATCAATATAAAATGTTTCTTCTTATAGCCCTCCAAAACGATAAAATAAAAACAAAAGCAGCTAATCAGCTCACAGTGGCACAGTGAGAAGGCTGTGGGCAGAGCATGAGTCAAGAAGTCTGGGCTCTGGTCTCAGCTTGGTCGCTCTGTGGCCTGCATGACTAGGGAAATTGCTTAACTGCCTTATCTGTCAAATGGCCAAATTTTAAGGGTTCCTTCCAGCCCTCAAAACTCTATGATCAGAGGCACTTGGGTAGGCTCTGGGGTGGGGATAATAACTTACCAAAGCTGTAACTTTCAGTTAGCATCCGACTGGCTGGCAGTGAGGGTGGAGAAGAGAAGGGTGGGTAGAGGAAGGGAGAAAGAAAGAGTGTATGTCACTGGCTTTTCCCCAGACATCTGAGCCTGACGGCGAGCACTGCAGCTGCCCTCCCATGTGTCCAGGATGTCCAATGGCAGAAGGCACCCAAAGGCTATGAAGACTCAATGTGTAGAGCTTAGGAAGGAGCAGAATGCTTTAAGAAGGCCTGAAGAGTCTCTTGCAATGGCTAAATAACATAGTTTATTTGGTTTTGTTTGTTCGTTCGTTTGTTTTGAGATGGGGTCTCACTCTGTCACCCAGACTGGAGTGCAATGGCACAATAATCACTCACTACAGCCTCAAACTCCTGGGCTCAAGCGATCCTCCCACCTCGGCCTCCCAAAGTGTTAGGATTGCAGGCGTGAGCCATTGTGGCTGGCAGCAACATAGAGTTTACAGGCCTTTGGTCTTAGAGGGATGGATGAGGACTTCTGGAGACTACCTTGACCCTTGACCCTTTGGGACAGCGTACTATGCAGACAAGAGCACCTTAGAGAAAAAGTCACGTCCATTTTCAATTTTTCTAGGACTCAGGTCTTCCATACTTCCTAGTGAAAAGTTTCCTAGTGTATAACCCACACAGCTCCTGCTGCAATCTTAGTCATTTTCCTTTCATGAAAAAGCAGAACAGTAGAGCCCCCTCTCCCTGACAAGAATGTGTCAGACACGCTCATCCTCTCCTGGAGCTGCTTCTCTTTGTGCTTTGCTGCTTTGAGCAGTTCTTTAGGATAGTGAGGATATGAATGGTGATTTATAGACATGAACAAATGGACACGGTTGGAAGAGAAAGGAAGCCAGTGGGGCAGAGTTTACCTGCAGGAGTTGGCTGGGCCTGGAACGAGGCTTGACCAGCTGGAGGGAGGCTTCCAAACACAGAAGAGCTGGGGCCACTGCTAAAGGCATCAAAGTTGGCAAAGCCTCCTTGGGAAGGTGTCTGGCCTGTAGGTGGAAGAAACATAAAGGTTATATAGAAAATTGTCGGGTGTGGTAGCTCACGCCTGTAATTCCAGCACTTTGGGAGGCCGAGGTGGGCAGATCACTTGAGGTCAGAAGTTCAAGACCAGCCTGGTCAACATGGTGAAATCTGTCTCTACTAAAAATATAAAAATTAGCTGGGCGTGGTGGTACATGCCTGTAATCCCAGCTACCTTGGAGGCTGAGGCATGAGAATTGCTTAAACCTGGGAGGTGGAGCTAGCAGTGAGCCGAGATTGTGCCACTCTACTCTAGCCTGGGTGACAGAATGAGACTCTGACTCAAAAAAAAAAAAAAAAAAAAAAAAAAAACCACACACACACAACAGAAAAAGAAAAGAAAATGTATATGCCTATCCATGTAATATAGCTACTAATTCTAAAGGCCAAAGGCCACTCTTATGGGACATCTGCCTTTCCACAGGGTTCTCTTCAGAGGGAAATGGGTGGGGCCTGGGGCCAAGAGCCAGACCCACACAGGGGAACAGGGGCACCCAGGGCCTCCAGGTTCACTCCCTGCCCTCTTCTGTCCTTACTCCATGAGGCATTAACATTTTTGTCAGGGCCTAGTTTGGAGCATGAAAATTTTTTTTCATGGAGGAAGGAGCTTGAATTTTTTTTTTTTTTTTTTTTTTTTTGAGACGGAGTCTCACTCTGTCACCTAGGCTGGAGTCCAGTGATGCAATTGTGATTCACTGCAACCTCCACCTCCTAGGTTCAAGCAATTCTCCTGCCTTAGCCTCCCAAGTAGCTGGGACTACAGGCACATGCCACCACACTTGGCTAATTTTTTTTTTCTTTTTAGTAGAGATGAGGTTTCACCATGTTGGCCAGACTGGTCTTGAACTCCTGACCTCAGGTGATCTGCCCACCTCAGCCTCTCAAATGCTAGGATTACAGGTGTGAGCCACTGTGTCTGGCTTGAAAATTTTTAAAAAGGGAAAACAGATTCTATGCTGCTGAACCCTCTACTGGCTATTGCTGATTTGGGGGAAGAATAATCTTTGGTGAACTGGAACACATGATAATCCCCCTCCTCCCATTTTAACAGAGACAGAAAATAATAAAAAAGGCTATTTCCAGTGTTCTAAAAGGAAGTGCTAGGAGCCCTCAACTATAATGTTTTAGGATCAAACCCCCAAACATAATCCTGGCTGTACTTATTTGACCCCAGTCCTCCCAGCCTCACTGCTTCAGAGTGACCCTCACATTTGTTTGCATGAGAAGATCTAGAGCCATGGTTACCTCCAGGGACTGGATCTCTCATGTTGTAAGCATATACGCTGTAGGGAGGGTCCCATCCCAAAACCCACTTACCCCCAAAGGCAGGGAATGCAGCAAAAGCTGGTGCCATCTGGGGTGCAGCAAAGGGGTCTCCACCGATGTCAGCCAGCAGGTCAGTACTGGCTTTTTTGACAGAGGAGTGGGGAGGTGGCTGAGTGCTCCGGGCCTGGGATGTCCGAGCGTGAGACTGACTGACGGGCTTGGAGGAGAAGGAATGCATACAGCCCTTAGAATCCCAGACATGCCCCAGGCCCTCCTCTGGCTCCCCAGGTTGCCCTCAGATAGGCAGGTAGAGAGAGAAGACAGTGAGTAACTGCCCTCAACCTAGAAGATTCCTGGGCAGGAGCTGCCTTAGCCCCTCTCAGAGCTCATATCATCCTCATCTTCTCAGTACACCTGCTCCAAGAACCACACATTTTACAGCACATGAGCCAAGGTAACCCTGAGATATACAGGAATACTGCCCAATACTGCCCCCAGGGCTGTTACTCCTCAACCTTCCCAGGTATTGGACACCATATTCCAGCCCCTTCTGTGTTTCTTTGATGGAATGCTCAGGTTTGGAGCTGATATTCTGACTTTCCTAAATACCACTTCCTGTTAGGTTCTGACTTCCAAAAGATATGAGGTCCAGAAGTGACAAATACAAGATACAGGTTAACAGCAGAGCCGAGACCCAACTCACAGCTCCTGCACTGTTGTCTGCTAAGTCCGGGGAATCTGATTCAGGAAACTGACACTCCTGTCTCCCAAATCTCAAAAGAAACATGACGAGCAGATCTGAGAGTTACCTGGCTCGAGGTGGAGGCAGCAACTGAGAGAGACGGTGCAGGATCACCCAGAAGTGTCCGAAGGGGCTTCCCTTCTGGGATGGAGCCCTGCACAGGGGTGGAGGCACTGCCTTTGGTATAAGTGGGCCCCTTGACTTGGTCTGGGGGGACATACCTTTGAGAAAGAATAGTTAGGCTGTAAAGAGAGGGATAAAACTTTGGACCACGCTCAGCTGAGATGTTTGGGAAGACACAGGAGTCAAAATCTATGCTCATTTTTCTCTACTGATTCCCTTTTTTGAAGGGAACCGAGCAACTTAGCAAAGTTCTGCCTATCTTGAGCATCCCCTTGAACATCTTTTGGTTTTTTTGAGACAGGGTCTCGCTGTTGCCCAGGGTGGAGTGCAGTGGGGCAATGTTGGCTCAACACAGCCTTAACTACCTAGGCTCAAGTGATTCTCCTGCCTCAGCCTCCCAAGTAGCTGGGACCACAAACAAGTACATGCTACCATGCCTGGCTAATTTTTTAATTATTTGTAGAGAAGAGGTCTCACTATGTTGCCCAGGGTGGTCTCAACCTCTTGGCCTCAGGTGATCCTCCTGCCTTAGCCTCCAAAGTTCTGGGATTACAGGCATGAGCCACCACACCTGGCAAAGGTCCCCCTCTTTTATTTCCTGGGTGTTTCTTCAGACTCCTTCTTCTCAGCTCCATAGAAAAGCTGCCTGCCGCCTCATCCTCTAGGTGCTCACAATCCACACTTCCATCCTGCCAGCTCCTGCCGGGACAATTCCCTTCCACTACAGTGTATGTGGCCCCTACTCTGTAAGTGTCAGCTTAATCCTGAGGACATCCCTAGGAGGGACTCCACAGTGTGGTCTTATCCACATCAATCTCTTTGTTCTCTGCATTCTCTTCTCTACCTCACAGTTACCTCCCAACATGTACACACCCCAGAGATCCCACAAGAAGTGATACCAGGGGAGAGGAAAGGTAAGGGAGAATGGAGATGCTGTTTCCTTCATCAGGAAGACAAAATATAGTTGTCCCATGGTATCCTCAGGGAACTGGTTCCAGGATCCCCCTGACAATTCCATAATCAGAGGACGGGACACTCAAGTCTCTTATATAATATGGTGAAGTATTTGCATCAAATATGTATATCCTCCAATATACTTTAAATCATCTCTAGGTTACTTATAATACCTAATACAATGTAAATGCCATGCAATAGTTGCTATATTGTATTGCTTTTTATTTGTATTATTATTTTTTTTTTGAGACGGAGTTTCACTCTGTCACCCAGGCTAGAGTACAGTGGCACGATCTCAGCTGACTGCAACCACTGCCTCCCGGGTTCAAGCAGTTCTCTGCCTCAGCCTCCTGAGTAGCTCGGATTACAGGTGCCCATGACCATGCCTGGCTAATTTTTTGTATTTTTAGTAGAGACGGGGTTTCACCATCTTGGCCAGGCTAGTCTTGAACTAGTCCTGACCCTGTGATCCACCCGCCTCGGTCTCCCAAAGTGCTGGGATTACAGGCATGAGCCACCACACCTGGCCTTATTTGTATTATTTTTTATTGTTGTATTGTTATTTTTTGTGTTCCCTACTTTTTTTTTTTTTTTTTTTTTTTTTTGAGACAGTCTCTCTCTCTTTGCCCAGGCTGGAGTACAGTGGCATGATCTCAGCTCACTGCAACCTCCGCCTCCTGGGTTCAAGCAATTTTCCTGCCTCAGCCTCCAGAGTAGCTGGGATTACAAGTGTCCACCCCCACACCCAGCTAATTTTTTTTGTATTTTTAGTAGGGACGGGGTTTCACCATGTTGGCCAGGCTAGTCTCGAACTCCTGACCTCAAGTGGTCTGCCCACCTCAGCCTCCCAAAGTGCTGGGATTATAGGCGTGAGCCACCTTGCCTGGCCTATTTTCCCAAATATTTTTGATGTGAGGTTGATTGGATCCATGGTTGCAGAATCTACAGATACAGAGGGCTGACTGTACATATAAATCATGAAACAAGGCCGGGCACGGTGGCTCACGCCTGTAATCCCAGCACTTTGCGAGGCCAAGGCAGGCAGATCATTTGAGCCCAGGAGTTTCAGACCAGCCTGGGCAACGTGGTGAAACCTCATTTCTACAAAAAATATAAAAATTAAGGCCGGGCGCAGTGGCTCACGCCTGTAATCCCAGCACTTTGGGAGCCAAGGTGGGCGGATCACGAGGTCAGGAGATCGAGACCATCCTGGCTAACACGGTGAAACTCCGTCTCTACTAAAAATACAAAAAATTAGCTGGGTGTGGTGGCGGGCGCCTGTAGTCCCACCTACTCGGGAGGCTGAGACAGGAGAATGGCGTGAACCTGGGAGGTGGAACTTGGAGTGAGCCGAGATCACGCCACTGCACTCCAGCCTGGGTGACAGAGCGAGACTCTGTCTCAAAAAAAAAAAAAAAAAGAAATATATATATATATATATATATATATATATATATATAAATTAGCCAGGCATGGTGGCACACACCTGTAGTCCCAGTTACTGGGGAGGATGAGGTAGGAGGATCACCTGAGCTCCAAGAAGCTGAGACTGCAGTAAGCTGTGACTGTGGCACTGCACTCTAGCCTGGGCAACAGAGTGAGACCTTGTCTCAAAAAAAAAAAAAAATCATAAAATGATGGGTTAAAGGAATAAAACTATAGGATGTGTGCTTCCAGCCATCTCTCCCCATACATAAGATCAGCTGAGCTATAAAAATGAACACCCACAGGCCTACCTCCCGACTCCAATCAGTCTACTATCTCTCCAAAAGAGAGGACATAAAATCTGCAGGGTTAGTGACTGAGAACAAGTTGTCCTTTCATGTAGATTTATTTTAGCCGTAACTGAATGTGAGTGGAACAGAATCGACCCAAGTCTAGTCTTTTGTGAGAAGGCCAAATTCAACTCTAGAAACTGGACTGTCAGATGAAGAATGTCTTGAACACGTTTCCATAGCAACCTCTTTCCTACTCCTTACCATCTCTTCTTCTCATATTTTTCCTGGAGAAACTCCTTCACTTTCTGAGGATCCCTGGAATCTGGTACTAAAGATGTCCGAGCATCAAACAGACCCAACCAAATCTTCCGGCAAACCTAAAAGAATGAAGGTGTCAGAGGAGTGGGAGCAGAAAGCAGGAAATACAAAAAATACCACTTCCTTTTTTTTTTTTTTTTTTTTTTTTTGAGACGGAGTCTCGCTCTGTCGCCGGGCTGGAGTGCAGTGGCACGATCTCAGCTCACTGCAACCTCCACCTCCGGGGTTCAAGCAATTCTCCTGCCTCAGTCTCCCAAGTAGCTGAGACTATAGGCATGCGCCACCACGCCCAGCTAATTTTTGTACTTTTAATAGAGATGAGGTTTCACCATGTTGGCCAGGATGGCCTCGATCTCTTGACCTCGTTATCTGCCCACCTCAGCTACCCAAACTGCTGGGATTACAGGCATGAGCCACCGCGCCCAGCCACCACTTCCTATTTATTCATCAGTAAATACATATTGGCTGGATGTGGTGGCTCACACCTGTAATCTCAGCACTTTGAAAGGCCGAGGTGGGTGGATCACTTGAGTACGGGAGTTCAAGAGCAGTCTGGGCAACACAGCGAAACCCACTCTCTAAAAAAATACAAAAATTAGTGGAGCATGGTGGCATGTGCCTATAGTTCGAGCTACTTGGGAGGCTGAGGTGGGAGGATCGTTTGAGCCCAGGAGGTTGAGGTTGCAGTGAGCCAAGATTGCACCATTAAGCTCCAGCCTGGGTGACAGAGCAAGCAAGAGCTTGTCTCTGATAAATAAATAAATAAATAAATAAATAAACAAATATTGAGCATGGACACAGTGCTAGGATCTGGGTCTACCTACAAACCAGATATGATTCCTGTCCTCGCAGAGTTTATAATCCAATGGGGCAGTCATATCTTAGATAAATAAAACTAAAGTTATAATCACATTTTGTGACATGTATTGAAAAAGGAAAATAGAGGGCCATGAGAATTATGGAGAATTAAATTTCA
Source organism: Homo sapiens (assembly GCF_000001405.40). Classification (NCBI taxonomy): domain Eukaryota; kingdom Metazoa; phylum Chordata; class Mammalia; order Primates; family Hominidae; genus Homo; species Homo sapiens. The sequence goes on along the minus strand of NC_000007.14, from coordinate 100,549,478 downwards.
CTAAGGGTAGGGTCCAGGACAATTTTCAGAGCTCTGGCTTCCAGGACACCTCCAGAGGCCCTTGAGGATACCCTCTAAGTAAACCAATCACCCATAAGCTGGGGTACTGCTAACGCCAAGGATAGCAACTTCTGATCGGCAGATTTAGCTAGGGAAGGGGTTTAAGTCACTTTCCAGTACAAGATATGCACTTAAATCCAGGTTGTCGAGGCTGAAGGCAGCAGAGCTGGCTCCAGGAAAGCTTCCTCAGAGGGGCTGGCCCAGTCAACTCTGAATGCTCACGCTCTGGAGCTCTGGTCATTCTACCCCTCCATTGCTCAGGTGCCACATCCTACAACGATATTGCTACTTCCCCTGACTCCTGAAAAGGAGGCCTAGACAAACCATGATTTGTATAACAGAATAAAGATTCTGTAAATATACCTAAGGAAAGAAATCATACATATGAAAAAATTAAGAGAAACTCAACCAAAAATAAAACCGTAAGGTTTCCCTACAATCTTGAGGCAAAGCCCCACCTGCAGATAGGTGACCTTCTCACCACTCCATCGGTGGCAGCTCACCTCATTTCCACGGGATTGCAGGAATACTACTTCAGGCTCAGTGAAAGTTGTCATGGAGATTGACTTGACACGATGAGGGGGGTTCAGCCCTCTCCTATGGGAGAGAAACAGGAAGAAAGAGAAGTATAATGCAGTTAGCATGGCAGGCTGTTCATGGGAGGAGGAGGAGGAGGGAGAAAGGGTGAAAGAATAGCATATAAACTAAGCTCAGATAGAACCCCCCCATCTGAAGCTACTTCCTAATTCCAGGAAAGAAGGGAAATATTTGGAATATTTTGGAGATATTAGAAGTCTCCAAAGAGAGGCCAGGCACAGTGACTCACACCTGTAATCCCAGCACTTTAGAAGGCCGAGGCAGGCAGCTCACTTGAGGCCAGGAGTTCGAGACCAGCCTGGCCAATATGGTGAAAACCTGTCTCTACTAAAAATACAAAAATTAGCCGGGCATGGTAGTGCACGCCTGTAATCTCAGCTACTCAGGAGGCTAAGGCACAAGTATCGCTTGAACCTGGGAGGCAGAGGCTACAGTGAGCCAAAATCACCCCACTGCACTCCATCCTGGGCAACAGCAAGACTCTGTCCCCACTCCCACCACCCCCCTCCAACCCCCAAAAAAAAGAATCTCCAAAGAGACAGGGAAGAGAGAGTCAGGAACATCCTGTGATCCCAGTAGTTCTGGAGAGGAAAGGTAGAGCCTGCCCATCCAGAAGCCTCCTCTAGCCTGGCTCAGATCCCAGTAGTTTCAGTGTTCAGCCTGTAGGCCGAGGGGGGTACTTCTGGGAACTCAGACACGTGACCACTTCCCACTTCCTACTTTATCATTGTTTTAGACCTACAGCCCATCCCCAAGGTCCCAGGGCCCACAAAAACACAAATCCTTCAAGCATGAGGGAAGGCAAAAATGAAGGCCCAGTACTATTCTTGATAACACTAACAAAAACAGGATATGGTGACAAAAAACAGTCTCTAGCCCAGCTGGTCCTCCTTGTGTCTACAAAGAAGGGTGGAGTGGTGGTGGGATGGAGAGGGTCCCTCTCTTTCAGGAAGCCATCTCTAGGAAAAGAAATATTTGATTTTCTTATTTCTGTATCTCTCAATAAAGCAGGAAGAAGTCAAGTTCAACCATGAGCTATAAGGCTGGCATGGGCGAGGAATATGTAACCTGTGGCAATGCTTTTGTGCCTCCTCTGTATGTTCTGTTAACTCCCTGGGAATCCAGTTCTGCCTCCAGGAACCCTGTGGAGATTATAAGAGAAGAGAAGGCTTCCTTGTCCCCACTCAACTGGTCTCAGGAGTGTTCTAATACAGGAAACTTGGGGCTAAGCCAGGCAGGGCTTCATAGGTTCCCCTGTCCTTGCACCTTAAGTATTATTCTGGTCTAGGTCTACTACCCTCACTGGATTAAACAAAACTGCCCAAACCAAAACAAGCTAGATCCTGGGACAGGAGGGAAGCAGTCTCAGCAGATGAGGCCTCTTCAGACTTTTACTCTCATGGAAAAAAAAAAAATGGCCAAATCGAGTTGCTCAAATAAAAATCCAGAATAGGGTCCTGGCTGACATCCTCAGGAAGCGCAAAGGGGGAAAAAGAGACAAAAATATTTAACAGATGAAAATCCTGAAAATTCACAAAGAAGGTGGGGAAAACATACATTCACACTAACAGGTGCACACACAGAATCCAAGTGCTCCTGCCAAGTCTGGGAGAACAGCAGCGAGGTGTAAGCAAAAGCAGCGGTGGTGGGGGTGGGGGGCAGGGAGTGGGCGGACTCAGTACAGAGTGAACAGTAAGGGCGGCCACCCTGCGGATGATAAATTACTCATTATGGGATTTTAACAAAGGACAGGACACTGGAGGCTCCAGTTGACGCTGTTTGCAGCAATTCTGCTGCTAGACCTTTAGGTATAAAGGGTCTCAAAAATGCTCTTATAAAAGACAAGCAATATCAAAGAGGACTGATGCCCCCAAGGAAAGATAAGCTCAGGGAAAAACGAAAGCAAGGCTTTGTTACTACATATCAAACAATAGCTCTTAAGCTTGGTCTGCCCCGAAGACTGTCTTCCGATCACATTTCAGAGATAGTCCATTCTCTCTCCTAAGGCCTCTCTTGCTAATGGCTTGGTTTGGTTTTGCTTTTAATTCTAGCCAGCCTGCTTTTAGACTTTCTCACCTTAACCACTAGGCCCTTCCCCTTCAGAATGTCAGGGCTTTCTGAAGTCTAGCCAGACCTCATTGTCCCTGTGATCTCAAAGGTCTTCTCCTTCACCTCCTACAAACAAAATTTACTTTGCCAAAACACAAGGCATTATGGGAGGCACTGTGGGGGATACAAAAATTATAGGACAGAGTTATCTTATCACCAGGAGCTCACAAGAAGAACCCAGGAAGCCTGGACAAAGGTACTTCTTACTGCAGTAGGGTGCTATTCAGTCAGGCACTGATGGATCAGGGAGAACGTGACTCCAGGATGCAGCAGTTGCGGAAGGAAGAGAAACAGTCATGGGGAAGGTAAAATGTATTATGTTTACACTAGAAAAACAGATTCTAAGCCTATCACAAAAAGGTCATTGACATTTCCTGAATGGATAACCAGGAACTGTTAGCGAACTGTAAACAGGGAGGTATGCTTCCTTGTTAGGGGGAGGAGGCAGGACTCAACCCAGGCATCAATCAAAATGGGATGCTTAGAACAGAACTTATGGTTGAGCCTGGACTAAAAGAGTTTATTTTTGGTGGGGGTGGCGGGCGGGGGGGGCGGCAGACGTGACAGGATGATGGGAAGGCAGAGAAAATAAGAAATGATTTAGGTGCTTTGGGCCAAATGAATCTGATGGAACAGGATGTTTCCATAGCACAGTACAAAAAGCATTGCTCTGACCTTGATGTCTGTAGACTGGATTTTGTACAACCAGAGCCACAGTCTGGGGGCAGGGAGAATTCTCTACAAGGCAACACTGCAGCCTAGGAAGGGGGCCTAGTTACATGGCCTATGAGTCAGAGTTTTTCTTTCTGAATCACAGAGAGGCCACTGCTGGCCAAAAGAAGCAATTTAGAAACGAGAGCCCCCTTCCTCCTGGTAGCTAAAACCATGTGGCCTAGGTGTGCTGCATTTCACTGGGTACACACCAGGGTCATGCAGCGGACCAGATGTGAGTCACTGGCCTGGAATTAAACAGGCCCAGCTCTCCCACTTGCACCCAGCTCCCCAACATAACTCTCAGGTTCCTCCCAAAAGAGGTAATCACAGCAAATTCATTCTGGTATTTCTAACCAGGAAGTGCTGGGGAGGAACAGAGATCAATTTATTTTCTCAGAATAGAGTAAGTTTTTCCAATGGAAAGTACATTATTACTAGGACTCAAGCCTCCAGCCAGTCAGGTTGTCTTTATCCACTTCAGTTTCTTTTTCACAGGGCACCTAAAGGGCATATGAAGTATTCTGAATTATTTGGCAGCTGAAGCCACTTGTATGTGTAGCTGCTAACAACTGCCCAGTCCTCTCTCTTTCCCTCCCTCCCGTCTCCTCTCTGATTCCATTAGGCATAGTACTATTTCCACAAATACCACACCTTTTGTTTTTCTGTGATCATCACCCTCATGCTGGCCCATATTTTTGCTTCTATCTTGCTTCATAAAAGCATCAAACCTGCTCAGCTGCTCAGATAAGAAAGTTCTGCCAGGTCAACAATGGAAAAAAACCAGTTCCACCCAGCACCCAAGTTCTTTTTCATTTGTGCCAAATTTGGACTTGGGAAATCCTTGCCTTTGAACAATTGTGTTCAGATTCATACACCCCAGATCGTGTTTCTTTGCTCTGGGATTTCACTCCTCTGCTTCTGAACAGGATACAACTAAACCAGTTTAGCTCTTATCTTGGATGCAAACATCACCATGAAGAGTCCCTGTTAGGAACTTTTAATAGTCCCTAAGAGGAAGGCTCTCCTATTACCCTGCTCCAGGGTCAATTTCACTAATTTTAGGAACCCTCTTCCTGATCTAAATTCTGCTTCAACCCATTTCCTTTGTTCCTCCTCAGCAGCAATGATAAACAGCTGTCCTGTTGATTAGAGCCAGGTAGACTCCTGATAGCATCCAGCCGCCCTTCCCTTTAGGCTCAACCTCAATCTTTTTTACATGTCTCCCTCTGCCCTCACCTCTCTCATCCCCACCCCCCCGCCCACCACCCCACGTCGAGCTTTTTCTCATCCCTTTAGTAATTTATCACTTCCTTCGGGGCTTTTCAAGTGGTTCATGCACCCCTTATGAAACAGCACCTACATCTGTAATTTAGTGAGAGACTCTGTCCACCTCTGCCCAGCAGAGGTCAACATGAAAGGTGACAGAGGAGGGGATGGAGGGATGGGACTAAAACAGGGGCAAGGTACATGTGTACCTCTCCAACCCAGACAGATGGAAAAGTACTGAATTATTGAAGAACATACTGTACCTTTCCTCCCATGGAGATTAAAATGCTTCAACTAAGAACCACCAGCAAGCCCGACAGGGAAAGTAAGGCACAAGGAGGGCAGGAACTTGTCACAAATAAAGAGCTGTCAAGTGCATTCTTGACACCCAGCCCAGAGCTCTGCCCACCTTAATTCTGACTCCTGTGATCACAGTAAAGTTGGGCAGAAATAGAAGAGATAAGTGTCTATTACAAACACCTGAAGAACGATGGATTGAAGATGGACCCAAACAGCCACATCAAGGAAATATGTCATACTTTGCTGAAAAAACTGGGTGTCAAAGTTAGCGTCCATCCTTGTGTCAATGAGATCTCAGGCCTCAACATCCATTTTCTTTCTGAGGAACAGTGGTTCATTCACAGACGCATTCAGGCAAACCAGAACAAGAAAGAACATTTAAAGCACTGCTTTGCAAATAGATGCTTTTTAGCAGCAATTTTTACCACGTCTTAAGATTCAAATGACAGATTCATCCTCCAAGAATTAGAAATGTAACTAAACAAACAAGCATATGTGTATGTTGGGGAAATTAAACAGATCCACATCTAGGTTAAGGAAATTAGGTACTGGAAGAAAACCAAATGAATAAAACTAGGTCAGGTGTGGGACCTACAATTGTGGCAGTATGTATGTAAATTTAGGAACAGCAGAAACTAGCAGCCTTTCTCTCAACCCCTCACACCAACGCTGTAGGTTTTTGCTACAGCTGAGAAAATATTTCTCATTAAAAAAGAGAGAACAAGAATGAGTTCATACATGCAGGGATGCAGGCAGAGTCATACCCACCCACCAATATTAAAATGTGTGTTTTTCTTCAGATCTTAGGAAATTCAACTTTGGCTGGAACCATCAACTTTGCTACATCGGCCAATCCAACCAGCTGGGAATTCTAGTAATTTTGCTCACTGCCCCCAGACGACTCTATCCCCTTATGAAGGAGACATATTTGTAACCCACTGAACAGAAAACTGGCCTTTAAAATAATGTCATCCTGCTGTCTCCTTTCTGTGGCTACGGTGCTAATGTGGTATTTCAATTTCTTCCCTCAATATCCTCTTCATTTTAACAAAGAATATTTCTTCTCGAGGCCAGGCACAGTGGCTCACGCCTGTAATCCCAGCACTTTGGGAGGCCAAGGCAGGTGGATCACCTGAGGTCAGGAGTTTGAGACCAGCCTGGCCAACATGGTGAAACCCCGTCTCTACTAAAAATACAAAAATTAGCTGGGCGTGGTGGTGTGCACATGTAATCCCAGCTACCTGGGGAGGCTGAGGCAGGAGAATCGCTTGAAACCAGGAGGTGGAGGTTGCAGTGAGCCAAGATCGGACCACTGCACTCCAGCCTGGGCGACAGAGCGAGACTCCATCTCAAAAAAAAAAATTAATAATAATATTTCTTCTCTTTGCATCATACCTCAGTTTGGTATCACTCTAACCCACAGAGCTTCATTTTACTTCATAGCTTTTAGCAATACAGAACGATTTCTTTATAGTCCATGGCTTCCACTAGGATGTCAGCTCCGTGAAAATGGGAACTTATCACTACTGTATCTCCAGTACCTAAAACAGTGTCTGGCGCTTGATAGGCACTGAATAAGTTCGTGTTGACTGACCGAATGAATAAACATGCAGGCTGTCAGCCGACCACAATTTTCACTTCCCACCAACACCAAACCCTAATCTACAGGTAATCAATCATGGGGATTTAAGATGCTAATTGGTCTCCGTGCCACCATGGAGCCATGCCTCCAGAAATAAGCATCCCCTGCCTCACATTCTGCCTTACAGCCCACCTGCCAGCTCCCACTCCTTCCCACAGCATATCAAAGGGACACAGGTAATACTGTGTTAAGACCCCTTTACAAGGATTATATGCCTTGCCCTTGTCATGCTAATTATAGGGAAACTCCAGCTTTCTTGCAGAGTTTCTCCTGAAATTTCTCACTCTCAACATACCTTCAATTCAGCTTCATTTACTGGCCTAACCTCTTGATCTTTCATTTCACTCTCATTTCCTACTAACAAAGGGTTGGTCTAGCTTCTCATTTCCCAAACACCAAAATATGCTCTCTAAATCCTCCTCTGTGAGAATCACTCCCTGGTTTAGTCTCATAATGCTTTACCAAAAAGCTAAGCAGGCTGGGTGCCGTGGCTCACGCCTGTAATCCCAGCACTTTGGGAGGCGAGGCGGGCGGATCACTTGAGATCAGGAGTTCGAGACCAGCCTGACCAACATGGCAAAACCCCGTCTCTACTAAAAATACAAACATTAGCCAGATGTGGTAGCGCGTGCCTGTAGTCTCAGCTACTCAGGAGGCTGAGGCAAGAGAATTGCTTAAACCCAGGAGGCAGGGGTTGCAATGAGCCGAGATCGCGCCATTGCACTCCAGCCTAAGCAACAGAGTGAGACTCCATCTCAAAAAAAGAAAAAAGAAACCAGGTTTTTAACGTGTCCCAGATACCTTAGCTTTCTTTGTGTCCTGATTGAGGGGTATTATAAGGGAAATGTTATCTGTGGGACACTTTAACAAAGATCTACAAAATAATGATAACAATGTCAGCACTTCCCAGTTACTCAATTTTATCCATCAGTTTCATCCTTCTGCTTCTCATAGCAGGATCTTCAGGAATCAGCTCTTTCTCTTTCTACTTTACCCTATACATACTCCTTTTTTTTTTTTTTTTGTGAGACAGAGTCTCGCTCTGCGACCCAGACTGGAGAGTGCAGTGGTGCGATCTCGGCTCATTGCAACCTCCACCTCTTGGGTTCAAGCAATTCTCTTGCCTCAGCCTCCTAAGTAGCTGGGATTACAGGCACCTGCCACCATGCCTGGCTAATTTTTGTATTTTTAGTAAGAGATGAGATTTCGCCATGTTGGCCAGGCTGGTCTCGAAACTCCTGACCTCAAGTGATCTGCTCACCTTGGCCTCCTATACATACTGAGCCACCGAGCCCGACCCCTATACATACTCCTAAACGTTGCTCAATCTCTCCCCAGAGTTCTTCACCCACTCTCGAGTCTCTATCCTCTTGCTTCATTTCAGTCCATCTCAGTTTATGACACATTACTGTTTGGGTTCTCAATCATTATCCCAAGAGCCACGATGACTTTTACTTAGACCAAAGTCAAGTTCATCCTTACAACCCACAAGTGAGGTTGATCAGAACCCAGAGAGAAGTTTAGCAAAGGAGGTTAAAACGAAGTAAATAATTCCAAACGGTATCTTGAGAAAACTAAATCCTCATTGCTGGTCTGCCATGATCATCACTAATATCAAACAACAAATGTTGGAAACCGCAATGCCCATATGGCACTGGATAAGTTACGAAACCTCTCTTTGCTTCTGTTCTCCCATCTGTCTTGCAAGAACAATAGTGCTCGCTCCCTGGCTCCTAAAGGTATCAAGACAGGGAAAGCTTTTTTTTTTTTTTTTTTTTTTGAGACAGTGTCTTGCTCTGTCGCCAGGCTGAAGTGCAGTGGCGCAATCTCAGCTCACTGCAACCTCCACCTCCCGGGTTCAAGTGATTCTCCTGCCTCAGCCTCCCAAGTAGCTGGGAGTACAGGTGCGCGCCACCACACCCAGGTAATTTTTGTATTTTTAGTAGAGATGGGGTTTCACCATGTTGGCCAGGATGGTCTCGATCTCTTGACCTCATGATCTGCCTGCCTCGGCCTCCCAAAGTGCTAGGATTACAGGCGTGAGCCACAGCGCCTGGCTGGAAAGCATTTTTTAAAAAACAAAACAAAAACAACAGTGTCTTAAAATAAGACTAAAAAATTGTCAAAATAAATCCCTTGACAAACTTATTAAAAAACAGAGATCCAGGCCTGATATCAGATGTTAATCATGCATCTAACCAAATAATATCTTAATTTGGGAGTAGGAGGAGTGCAGAGGGGAGTGGAGGGGGCTTTACTATATAACCAGAAATCTAGGCTAGAATTGTGGCTGTAAATTCACTCTGGCATGACCGAACAGTACCAATGCCAAGAGTAGCACTCAGATGATGCACCAAAGCCCCCCCAAAATCTAGAGTTTCCTGGATGCTACCACCAGGATCCAGTCATGGCAACAGGGATCTTAAAGGTGTAAATGATTAACCTTCAGGATGGCTCACCTAGACGTGCAAACGTTTGAAAAAGCTAAGCTCTCTACCAGGGTAACCCATTGGCTCTCATCTCTTAGATTTCGTAAGAGTTTTACCTTCTGGGTAACATTTCAAAGCCCTGCTAAGATTAGTATCTACACCTGAACTCTGGACCATGGCTCCCTTCCAGCCACTATCTCTAGGCTGTCAATCGGGGTTAATTCGCTTTTTTTTTTTTTTTTAATCCTGTACTCTAATCATAGGAATTTCAACCAAGTTTCAGCTGGCTTCTGCATCTCACACTCCAGCAGGGACACAAGCCCGAAGGAAGAAAGGTGCCCGTCCATCTCCAGGCCGGCTTTCCCCACCTTTTTCCTTTTTGCTTTCCACCTGCATGAAGTTCCCTCTAAAGGTGCATGTCATTTTCTGGCCCTTTAAGTCCCGACACCCCATCCCACTCCGAGTTCCCTTCCATCCTCCGCACTTTCTCCCTCCCCACTTGCAGTTTGCCTCGACCCCCTCGGGGAGTTTCTCGGTCCCTCTCCGGGCGTCTTTCTGCACCCGTACCCTTCTCTCCGCAGAGCGACTCCGGCCTTGCTTCCTCTCCCCTGCCCTTTCCCCTCCCCACCACACCGCTGCAGCAGACGACCCCGTCCCCACAGCCGGCGCGTTCCCTGACCTCCCCTCCGCCCCTCACCTCGGCCCCCTTCCCTCGCGCCCCGGAGCCCCGGCCTCCCCACCCCGCCCCCGGGTCCCCCCACGCCGACCTCGGCCACTCCCTCCCGGTCACTCACAGGAGGCCGGAGCAGGTGGTGCACACGAAGCTGCCCACGGTGATATCCACGTAGGTGACCCCGCGCTGGGCGCACTCGAAGCAGTGGCGGTTCCCGGCCTGGCTGCAGCCACCCAGCTCCCGCACCCGACGGCACCACACCTCCGAGGCCGCCTCCGCCTCCGCCTTGCCCCCGCTGACCCCGCCGCCCGGGCCCGGGCCCTTCTTCGCCGCCATCACCATCGCTGCCCACTCCCTCCCCGCTAGTCAGCAATCACCCCTTCAACCACTGCCGCCTTCCCGCCTCCTCAGCCGCCTCCGCACGCCCGGCTCCCCTGACAGAAGCTCGGGAGCGGGCGGCATCCGCAGGAGACTTCGCCGTCCACCACCCTCCTTGCCCGTCCTGCACACTGATTGGCTAGGTTTCTCCCACCTCCTTACTCCGATTGGCCCTCCCTGGGACGGCCTCCGGTTGCTGGAGCCGCCAATGCCCCGCCCCACCGCCTTCAGGCCTCAGGCCTCTCCTATTGGCCGGCAGAGACCCCAGCAGCGAGAACCGTGCGTGCCCTCTCCTTGTCCCCGCCCCCTCTCGCCGCTGCCTCCACCGTGGCCCGCCTCCTAGTTCCGATTGGTGAGTCCTCGGCACTCGGGCTCCGACGCTAATTTTGATTGGCTGGCGGGGCTGCAAAGTTAGCGCGCGAGACAGAGGAGGTGCCCCGCGCGTGCGTAGCTGTCGTCCTCCCGACTGATGACGTTAATTCCCGGCAAATTTCAAAGGCTTACTCTAGACTGTGTAGAGTGTCATGCAAAGCCGAAGAGAAGTGGCCATGTGAGGGGCTGAGCAGGAGGGGGAAAGAAGAGAGCGCTTAAGGGAGAGAGGGAGAGGGAGCAAGAGTGCTTTACTAGACCAGTGCTCTAATTCCTGAGCCACAGAGCGAAGGGAGTGCTTTATAAATGTCATTTCATTCGCTCCGCCTATCCCAGAGGTGGAATCCCCATTTTACACCCTTAGGTTCAACAACTTGCGGCAGATCACACGAGTGCGTGGCCCAGGATTCCACTCTGGGTCTTCCAACTTTAGAAACCCTGCCTTTAACCCTCCTAGTAGGTGGACTATTATTCGATTATTCATTTAACAAACACTGAGTGTCTGCTAGGTTTCAGGCACGTTCTAGACACTGGGAATAGAATACAGCAGCGAAGCAATCAAACAAAATATTCTTATAGAGCTTAGTTTCTAGTAGGGGGAAGCAAACAATACACAAATTAAAGAATCACCAGTTAGTAATAAATCCTACGCAGAGAATTAAAATCACATCTTGGAAAAGACTTTTTGGGTACTTTTTTAATTTTTTAATTTAATTTTAATTTTTTGAGATGGAGTCTCACTCTGTTGCCCAGACTGGAGTGCAGTGGCACGATGTCAGCTCACTGCAACCTCTGCCTCCTGGGTTTAAGCAATTCTCATGCCTCAGTCTCCTGAGTAGCTGGGATTACAGGCGGCCACCACCACCCCCAGATAATTTTTGTATTTTTATTATTATGATTATTATTATTTGAGATGGAGTCTCGCTCTGTCGCCCAGGCTGGAGTGCAGTGGCACGATCTCGGCTCACTGCAAGCTTCGCCTTCTGGGTTCACGCCATTCTCCTGCCTCAGCCTCCCGAGTAGCTGGGACTACAGGCACCCGCCACCACGCCTGGCTAATTTTTTTGTATTTTCAGTGGAGACGGGGTTTCACCGTGTTAGCAAGGATGGTCTCGATCTTCTGACCTCGTGATCCGCCGGTCTTGGCCTCCCAAAGTGCTGGGATTACAGGCGTGAGCCACCGCGCCCGGCCAATTTTTGTATTTTTAGTAGAGACAGGATTTCACCATGTTGGCCAGGCTGGTCTCAAACTCATGGCCTCAAGTGAGCCTCCCGCCTTGGCGTCCCAAAGTGCTGGGATTACAAGCATGAGCCACAATGCCTGGCCACCTGTTGGGTACTTCAGATTGGGTTGGTCACCATTTTTAAAACAATTACTTTTTTTTTGAGACAGGGTCTCGCTTTATCACCCAGGCTGGAGTGCAGTGACACAATCATGGCTCACTGCAGCCTCAACCTTCTGGACTCAAGTGATCCTTCCACCTCAGCCTTCCAAGTAGCTGGGAGTACAGCTGTGCACCACCATGCCTGGCGAATTTTTAAAAATTTTTTGTAGAGATTGGGTCTCACTATATTGCCCAGGCTGGTCTGGACCTCCTGGGCTCAAGTGATCCGCCCACCTCAGCCTCCATCTCCCAGGTTCAAGCGATTCTCCTGCCTCAGCCTCCCAAGTAGTTGGGATTACAGGTGCGTGCCACCATGTCCAGCTAATTTTTGTATTTTTAGTAGAGATGGGGTTTCACCATATTGGCCAGGCTGGTCTTGAAGTCCTGACTTCAAATGATCCACCCACCTTGGCCTCCCAAAGTGCTAGGATTACAGACGTGAGTCACCGCACCCGGCCTCTTTTTGTTTTGTTTTGTTTTTTTTGTTTTTTTTTTTTTTTTTGAGACAAGGTCTTGCTCTGCTGCCCAGGTTGGAGGGCAGTGGCACAATCATACCTCACTGCAGCCTCAACCTCCCCAGTTCAAGTGATCCTCCCACCTCAGTCTCCAGGGTAGCTGAGACTACAGGCGCACACCACCATGCCTGGCTAATTTTTGATTTTTTGTAGAGAAGGGGTCTCACTATGTTGTCCAGGCTGGTGGCTGGCAGCCTGCTTTCTCTCTCTCTCTCTTGTTTTTTTCTTTTTGAGACAGGGTCTTACTCTGTCACCCAGGCTGGAGTGCAGTGGCACAATCTTGGCTCACTGCAACCTCCACTTCCTGGGGCTTGAGTGCTCCTCCCACCTCAGCCTCCCGAGTAGCTGGGACTACAGGTGCATGCCACCATGCCCAGCTAATTTTTTGTATTTTTAGCATGTTGGCCAGGCTGGTCTCGAACACCTGAGTTCAGGTCATCTGCCCGCTTTGGCCTCTCAAAGTGCTGGGATTATAGGTGTGAGCCACCGCACCCGGCCCCATTTTTCAATTAATGGCACCATGAGCCACCTAGTTGCCCAAAGCAAAAATCTAGAGCTACTCTCTTCAATACGGCAGCCACTAATCATATGTGGCTATTTAAGTTTAAATTAAATTAAAATGGGCTGGGCGTGGTGGCTTATGCCTGTAATCCCAGCATTTTGGGAGGCCGAGGCAGGCGGATCACGAGGTCAGGAGTTCGAGAAAAGCCTGGCCAACATAGTGAAACCCTTTAATCTACTAAAAATACAAAAATTAGCCAGGCATGGTGGCAGGCACCTGTAATCCCAGCTACTTGGAAGGCTGAGTCAGGAGAATTGCTTGAACGTGGGAGGTGGAGGTTGCAGTGAGCTGAGATCGCGCCATTGCACTCCACCCTGGGTGACAGAGCGAGACTGTCTCAAAAAAAAAAAAAGAAAGAAAGAAAGAAGAAGGAAAGAAAAAGAAAAGGAAAGGAAAAGGGGAGACTAAAGGAGGAGTAGGTTAGGGCAGGGCCTAACCTACTGGGCCATGGACCAGTACCTGTCTGTGGCCTGTTAGGAACCAGGCCACGCAGCAGGAAGTAAGTGGTGGGCAAATGAGCAAAGCTGCATCTGTATTTACAGCCACTACCCATTGCTCCCATTACCGCCTGAGCTCTGCCTCCTCTCAGATCCGCAACAGCATTAGATTCTCATAGGAGCACGAACCCTATTGTAAACTGCGCATGCAAGGGATCTAGGTCATGCACTCCTTATAAGAATCTAATGCTTGATGACCTGTCACTGTCTCCCATCACCCCCAGATGGGACCGTCTAGTTGCGAGAAAACAAGCTCAGGGCTCCCACTAATTCCACATGATGGTGAGTTGTATAATTATTTTGTTATACATTACAATGTAATAATAATAGAAATAAAGTGCACAGGCCAGGCGCGGTGGCTCACGCCTCTAATCCCAGCACTTTGGGAGCTGAGGTAGGCAGATCACGAGGTCAGGAAATCGAGACCATCCTGGCCAACATGGTGAAACCTCGTCTCTACTAAAAATACAAAACTTAGCTGGCCATGGTGGCACGTGCCTGTAATCCCAGCTACTTGGGAGGCTGAGGCAGGAGAATCGCTTGAACCCAGGAGGTGGAGGTTGCAGTGAGCCAAGATCGTGCCACTGCACTCCAGCCTGGTGACAGAGCGAGACTCCGTTTAAAAAAAAAAAAGTGCACAATAAACTTAATGTGCTCAGATCATCCCAAAATCATCCCCCAACTCCCACCCGCCGGTTAGTGGAAAAATTATCTTCCTGGTCCGTGGTGCCAAAACGGTTGGGGACTGCTGGGTTAGGGGGTGCTGATAGGCAGAAATCAGTAGCTTGGTTTTGGACATGTTGATTTGAGATCCTTGTGAGGCATCCAGTGGGCTGATAAGCAGGCAGGTGGATATGTATAGACTGGATTTCCAGGCCAGGCCAGAGCTGGAAATGTAGGTTTAGGAGTCATCGCTTAGAGCCATGGGACTGGTTGCTTAGGTACAGCATGTAGAGAGAGACTAGAAGCAGGCCCAGAAGTAAACCCTAGGCACCCAATGTGTACTTTGTTCCTTTTCTCCAGTTATCACAGCCACATGCATTTCAACATCCCTAAAAAAAGGCAACACCAGACCGGGTGCAGTGGCTCATGCCTGTAATCCCAGCACTTTGGGAGGCCGAGGGGGGTGGATCACCTGAGGTCAGGAATTTGAGACCAGCCTGGCTAACATGGTGAAACCCCGTTTCTACTAAAAAATACACAAAATTAGCTGGGCATGGTGGCGCATGCCTGTAATCCCAGCTACTCAGGAGGCTGAGGCAGAATCGCCTGAACCCAGAAGTTGGAGGTTGCAGTGAGCTGAGATCGCACCATTGCACTCCAGCTTGGGCAACAAGAGCAAAACTCCATCTCAAAAAAAAAAAAATACAAAAATCAGCTCGGTGTGATGGCGCATGCCCGTAATCCCAGCTACTCAGGAGGCTGAGGCACAAGAATTGCTTGAACCTGGAAGGCAGAGGTTGCAGTGAGCCAAGATTGCATAGCTCCAGCCCAGGTGACAGAGCGGGACTCTATCCCCCTCACCCCCCTCTTCAAAAAAAAAGAAGGCAATACCGTCACATCCAGATATGCAGATGGGGCATCTCAGCCTACTAAACATTCCTTCTGAATTGCAGAGTTCACAATTTCCAAGTGCTGCCCATGCCTCCTCTAGCTTCTCATTAGCCAAGGGTTATTTCTTTTTTCTTTTCTTTTCTTTTCTTTTTGAGATGGAGTCTCACTCTGTTGCCCAGGTTGGAGTGCGGTGGCACAATCTCGGCTCACTGCAACCTCCGCCTCCTGGGTTCAAGCGATTCTCCTGCCTCAGCCTCATGAGTAGCTGGGACCACAGGCGCATGCCACCATGCCCGGCTAATTTTTTGTACTTTTAGTTGAGACAAGGTTTCACCATGTTAGCTAGGATGGTCTCGATCTGCTGATCTCATGATCAGCCCACCTCGGCCTCCCAAAGTTCTGCTATACAGGCGTGAGCCACCGTGCTCAGCATTTTTTTTTTTTTTGAGATAGAGTTTCACTCTTGTTGCCTAGGTTGAGTACAATGGTGCGATCTCGACTCACTGCAGCCTCCGCCTCCCAGGTTCAAGAAATTCTCTTGCCTCAGCCTCCCTAGTAGCTGGGATTACAGGCGCCCACCACCACACCCGGCTAATTTTTTGTATTTTTAGTAGAGACGGGGTTTCACCATGTTGGCCAGGCTGGTCACGAACTCCTGGCCTCAGGTGATCCACCCGCCTCAGCCTCCCAAAGTGCTGGAATTACAGGCGTGAGCCACCGTGCCCAGCTGAGCCAAGGGTTATTTCTTATCATCTTGCAACTTTGAGCAAATTGGTAAATTTAACTACCACCAATAGTGAGTGAAAAAAATTAGAACGTTCATGTAGATAGTGATGGTTTTCTGCTGATTTTTGCCACTGGGTGTGGTGGTGTGAGGGCCGTTGAGGAGCTCACCCTCCTCCCATCTCTACTCCACCCAGGTCATACTGGGGAGCAACACTCCCATTTTCCCTTCATAATCAGGGGGAGCACAGCCAGCATGGGGAGACCTTTTGCCCTGGTGGCAGGAGGAGTCCTAAATAACCAGGTAGAACTCTTATTGGGTTCCCTGGCAAGAACCTTGCCCTTGGGCAGTTAAACCACAGAGCATGAGTGACTTGGGGCGTGGAAAGCAAATATCTTTTTTTTTTTCTTTGAGACGGAGTTTTGCTCTTGTTGCCCAGGCTGGAGTGCAGTGGCGCGATCTCAGTTCACTGAAACCTCCCGGGTTCATGCAATTCTCCTGCCTCAGCCTCCCGAGTAGCTGGGATTATAGGCGCCCACCACCATGCCTGGCTAATTTTTGTATTTTTGGTAGAGACGGGGTTTCACCATGTTGGCGAGACTGGTCTCAAACTCCTGACCTCAAGTGATCCAGCTGCTTCCACCTCCCAAAGCGCTGGGATTACAGGCATGAGCCACCGTGCCCGGCCAGCAAAAAAATTTTAGAGAGAAAAATAATAGTGACAGCTACTCCCCACTGTCCCCCTTAACTGCAACCCTTGGTTTCTGGACCTCTCTATTGACTGAGGAAGACTGGGCGCTGCAATTCAGTCACTGTGAGGATCACATATCACTATCAGCGAGGGAGCGTTGCAGCCTCACAAGTGTGGTCTCGTGGATACTGGCTAGATTTGTTTTTGGTACACCAGTTCATTGTTCTACAAGGCCAGCTGTTTCTGGTACATGGGAAATAGGATAATGGGGCCCATGGCTGGCCAACTGTCTTGTTTTTCTTTTCTTTCTTTCTTTCTTTTTTTTTTTTTTTTTTTTTGACACAGGGTCTTGCTCTGTTGCCCAGCCTGCAATGCAGTGGCACCGTCATAGCTCATTGCAGCCTCTAATTCTTCGGTTCAAGCGATCCTCTTACCTCAGCCTCCCCAGGAGGTGGGACTACAGGCGCACACCACCATGCCTGGCTAGCTTTTTTATTTTTTGTAAAGAGAGAGTTTCACCATGTCTCCCAGACTGGTCTCGAACTCCTGTGCTCAAGCAATCTGCTCACCTTGGCCTCTCAAAGTGCTGGGATTAATTATAGGCGTGAGCCACTGTGGCCAGCCCATGGTAACTTGGTTTTGTTTGTTTGTTTTGTGTGTGTGTGTATGTGTGTGTGTGTGTGTGTGTGTATTGAGATGGAGTCTTACTCTGTCACTCAGGCTGGAATGCAGTGGCATGATTTCAGCTCACTGCAACCTCCGCCTCATGGGTTCAAGCGATTCTCCCTCCTCAGCCCCCCAAGTAGCTGGGATTACAGGCACCTGTCACCACGCCCAGCTAATTTTTCTATTTTTAGTAGAGACGGGTTTCACCATGTTGGCCAGGCTGGTCTCAAACTCCCGACCTCAAGTAATCCACCCGCCTCGGCCTCCCAAATTGCTGAGACTACAGGCATAAGCCATGTGCCCATCCTATGGTAACTTTGTATCCCAGATATTTACACTAAATTTCAGGAACAAGTTAGGAGATGTTCCCCGGAAGAAGAATAATTATCTGCTGAAATGTGGTCTTGTTTCAACACCCCAGAGGCCTCCAGGGAGATTGTCTACTGGGCATGGCAAAGGTTGAGTGGGCTAGACCCCTCTGGCACCACTGGATTAGCCAAGCCATAAGGGCATCTTGCTTTGTAACCTGGACTAATTTAGAAACTTCCTCTTTCACACAGGTGCGGTGGCTCATGCCTGTAATCCCAGCATTTTGGGAAGCCGAGGCGGGCGGATCACGAGGTCAGGAGTTCAAGACCAGCCTGGCCAACCAACATGGTGAAACCCCGTCTCTACTAAAAATATAAAAATTAGCCAGGCGTGGTGGCACACACCTGTAATTCCAGCTACTCAGGAGGCTGAGGCACGAGAATCACTTGAATCAGTGAGGTGGAGGTTGCAGTGAGCCAAGATCATTTCACTACACTCCAGCCTGGGTGACAAAGAGAGACTCTGTCTCAAAAAATAAATAAATAAATAAATAAAAAGTAAAAATGCCCAAGTCTATCCTCCAGAAATGAAATCTGGAATGTCTGAGATGAAAAGTACAGTGAATGGGACTAACAGCAGACTAGATACTACAGAAGAGAATATTATGAACTTGAAGACATAACAGTAGAAAGTATAAAAATGATTTATAGAGCTAGGCACAGTGGTGTGCACCTATAATCCCAGCTACTTGGGAGGCTGAGGCTGGAAGATCAGTTGAGCCCAGGAGTTTGAGACCAGCCTAGGCAACATAGCGAGACCCTGTCTCTTATTTTTTAAAATATTGGAAAAATGAAAAAAGACTGATAAAAACCCAAAACCCACAGATGAACAGAACACCAGTGAGCTGTGAGACAACTTCAGGTGGCCCCCTCAGGAATTGGTGGCAACAGGTATAATACATCTGGGGTAAAGGTAGAGGTTAAAAATAAGTATATTGACTGAAAATCAGTTTTATTTTATTTTATTTTATTTTATTTTATTTTATTTTATTTTATTTTTAAAAATTTTTTTTGAGATGGAGTTTTGGTCTTGTTGCCCTGGCTGGCGTTCAATGGCACGATCTCTGCTCTCTGCAACATCCACCTTTGGGGTTCAAGTGATTCTCCTGCCTCAGCCTCCCAAGTAGCTGGGATTACAGGCACCCGCCACCACACCCAGCTAATTTTGTATTTTTAGTAGAGACGAGGTTTCGCCATGTTGGTCAGCCTGGTCTCAAACTCCTGACCTCGTGATCCACCTGCCTCAGCCTCCCAAAGTGCTGGGATTACAGGCGTGAGCCACTGTGCCCTGCCTAAATGTCAGTTTTAAAAGACATTAGAGCCAGATATGGTGGTGTGCACCTGTAGTCACAGCTATTCAGGAGGCTGAGGCAGAAGGATTGCTTGAGTCCAGAAGTCCTGGGTTGTAGTGTGCTCTGCTGATTGGGTGTCTGCCCTAAGTTCAACAACAATGTGCTGACCTTCCAGAAGCGAGGGACCACCAGGTTGCCTAAGGAGGGTTGAACCTGCCCAGGTTGGAAATGGAGCAAGTCAAAACTCCTGTGCTGATCAGCAGTGGAGTCACGCCTGTGAATAGTCACTGTACTACGGCCTGGGCAACATAGTGAGACCCGTCTCTAAATTAAAAAAAAAAAAAGGGCATTAGACTCACACAAACGTTGGTTGCACTTCTATATATTAAATATGAGCAATGTCAAAAGGAAATTACAAAAACAATTACATTGGCCAGGTGTGGTGGCTCACCTCTGTAATCCCAGCACTTTGGGAGGCCAAGGCGGGCAGATCACTTGAGGTCAGGAGTTCGAGACCAGACTGGCCAACATGGGGAAACCTCGACTCCACTAAAAAAAAATACAAAAATTAGTTGGGTGTAGTGGCCCACGCCTGTAGTCCCAGCTACTTGGGAGGCTGATGCAGGAGAATGGCTTGAACCTGGGAGGTGGAGGCTGCAGTGGGCAGAGATCGTGCCACTGCACTCCAGCCTGGGTGACAGAGTGAGACTCCATCTCAAAAAACAAACAAACAAACAAACAAAAAAACCCCACAAAACATAAAAACAATTACATCTACAATAGCATCACACAGAATAAAATACTTAGGGATTAATTTAACCCTAATTAAATTAAGGAGGTGAAAGACTTGTAAAATGAAAACTATACAACATTGCTGAAAGAAATTAAAGAAGACAAAAATTTATGGAAACACATCCCAGTTCATGAATTGGAAGAGTTAATATTGTTAAGATGTGAATACTAACCAAAGTGATCTACAGATTTAGAGCCAGGCTCAGTGGCTCACTCCTGTAATCCCAGCACTTTGGGAGGAGTAGGTAAGCGGATCACCTGAGGTCAGGAGTTCGAGACCACCCTGGCCAACATGGAGAAACCCCGTCTCTACTAAAAATACAAAAATTAGCCAGGCATGGTGGCATGCACCTGTAATCCCACCTACTCAGAAGGCTGAGGCAGGAGAATCACTTGAACCCAGGAGGAGGAGGTTGCAGTGAGCCGAGATCGCACCGCTGCACTCCAGCCTGGGTGACAGAGCGAGACTCCGTCTCAAACAAACAAACAAAAACCAACAAAGTGATCTACAGATTCAGTGCAATCTCTATCAAAATTCCAATGATGTGTTCTGCAGAAATAGAAAAGCCCATGCTAAAATTTCTATGAAATCTCAGCGGACTCCAAATAGCCAAAACACTATTCAAAAAGACTAACAGGCTGGGCATGGTGGCTCACGCCTGTAATCCCAGCACTCTAGGAGGCCGAGGTGGGCAGATCACCTGAGGTCAGGAGTTCAAGACCAGCCTGGCCATGGTGAAACCCCATCTCTACTAAAAATACACAAAATTAGGCGGGCATGGTGGTGCATGCCTGTAATCCCAGCTACTCGGGAGGCTGAGGCAGGAGAATCACTTGAACCCAGGAGGCGGAGGTTGCAGTGAGCCAAGATCGTGCCATTGCACTCCAGCCTGGGCAACAGGAGCGAAACTCCATCTCAAAAAAAAAAAAGGGACTAACAAAATTGGAGGACTCACACTTCTTGATTTCAAAACTTATTACAAAGCCATGTGATCAAAACAGCATGGTACTGGCATAAAGACAGACATATAGGCTCGGGTGTGGTGGCTCATGCCTGTAATCCCAGCACTTTGCGGGGCCGAGGTGGGTGGATCATTTGAGGTCAGGAGTTCAAGAGCAGCCTGGCCAACGTGCTGAAACGCCGTCTCTACTAAAAAAAAAAAAAAAAAAAAAAAAAAAAAAATACAAACATTAGCCAGGTGTGGTGGCACGTGCTTGTCTTCCCAGCTACTCGGGAGGCTGAGGCAGGAGAATGACTTGAACCAGGGAGGCGGATGTTGCAGTGAGCCTAAATTGTGCCATTGCACTCCAGCCTGGGCGACAGAGCAATACTCCATCTCAAAAAAACGAAACAAAACAAAACAAAAAAAACCTGTCTTTTCAACAAATGGTATTGGGATAACTGCATATCTACATGTGAAAGAATGAAGTGGAACTCTTACCTAACACCATATACAAAAATTAACTCAAAATGGATAAAAGACCTAAATGTCAGACCTAAAACTAAGAAAGATTTAGAATAAACCATAGGGCAAGAGCTTCATGACATTGGATTTTGCAATTACAGTTGACCCTTGAACAAAGCGGGAGTTAGGGACAAAGGACTTGAACAGACATTTCTCCAAAGAAGATACACAAATGGCCAATAAGCACACAAAAAGATGCTCAACATCATTAGTCATTAGGAAATGCAATCAAAGCCATGGATGAGATACCACTTCACATCCACTAGGATGGCTGTAATCAAAAAAGGGAAAACTAGCAATTGTTGGTGAGGATGTAGAGAAATTGTAACCCTTGTACATTGCTGGTGGAAATGAAAAATGGTGCAGCTGCCATGGAAAGCAGTTTACCAGTTCTTCAAATAGTTAAATATAGAGGCCGGGCACAGTGGCTCACGCCTGTAATCCCAGCACTTTAGGAGGCCAAGGCGGGCGGATTGCCTGAGGTCAGGAGATTGAGACCAGTCTGGCCAACATGGTGAAACCCCATCTCTACTAAAAATACAAAAAATAAAAAATAAATAAAAATAAAAAATTAGCCGGGTGTGGTGGTGTACACCTGTAATCCCAGCTACTCGGGAAGCTGAGGCAGGGGAATTGCTTGAACCAGGGAGACAGAGGATGCAGTGAGCCGAGATCATGCCACTGCACTCCAGCCTGGGTGACAGAGTGAGACTCTGTCTCAAAAAAAAATAAAGTTAAATATAGAATTACTATATGACTCAGCTGTTTCACTCCTAGTTATATACCCTAAGGAGTTTAAAACAGCTATTCAAATCAAAACTTGTACACGAAAGTTCATAGCAGCACCATCCATGATAGCCTAAAGGTAGAAATAATCTAAATGTCCATTGACAGATGAGTGGATAGAGAAATTGTGGCATATACAGAACGGGGCATGGTGGCTCACACCTGTAATCTCAGCTTTGGAGGCTGAGGCAGGAGGATTGCTTGATCCCAGTAGTTTGAGACGAGCCTCGACAACAAGTGAGACCCCATCTCTACAAAAATTTTAACAAATTAAAAAATTAGCCAAGTGTGGTGGCACATGCCTGTAGTACCAGCTACTTGGGAGGCTGAGGTGGGAGGATCACACAGCCCAGGAGCAAGAGCCTGTCTTAAAAAGAAAAACAAAAACAAAGAGAAGCAATTGGAAAGAAACAGATACTATGTAAAGAGAAGAAAATTTTACCCAAAACCCACTATAATTAATATCCTTGGAGAGATAAGATACCATTTTCATGAAATATACACAGAACGTTATTTTAAAAGGAATATTCAGGCCGGGTGCAGTGGCTCCCGCCTGTAATCCCAGCACTTTGGGAGGCCGAGGCAGGTGGATCTCCTGAGGTCAGGAGTTCGAAACCAGCCTGGTCAACATGGCGAAACCCCGTCTCTACTAAAAATACAAAAATTAGCCGAGTGTGATAGTGGGAGCCTGTAATCCCAGCTACTTGGGAGGCTGAGGCAGGAGGATTGCTTGAACTCAGCAGACGGAGGTTGCCGTGAGCCCAGATCATGGCATTGCACTCCAGCCTGGGTGACAGAGCAAGAATCCGTCAAAAAAAAAAAAAAAAAAAAAAAAAAACAGAAAAAAAGGAATATTCAGAGAACAAGAAAGAAATCCTGGAAATTAAATATATAAACATGAAAACCTCAGTTGAATGGTTGGAAGATAAAATTGGAGAAATCCTGCAAAAAGCAGTTTAAAATATGAGATGAAAAAAATGATTAAAGGTAAATAAAAGAACAGTTCAGTAGATCTAATATATAAATAATAGAAGTTACAGAAGGAGAGAAGAGAAAAATGGAGGGGAAAAATATTACTGAAAAATTTAGCAAAATTTTCCAGAATTAAAGGGCATGAGTTTCTAGATTAACAAGACCTTAGTCAGGTGTGGTGGCTCACATATGTAATCCCAACACTTTGGGAGGCTGAGGCAGGTGGATCACCTGAGGTCAGGAGTTCCAGACCAGCCTGGCCAACATGGTGAAACCCGGTCTTTACTAAAAGTATAAAAATTAGGCCGGGCGCGGTGGCTCACGCCTGTAATCCCAGCACTTTGGGAGGCCGAGGCGGGAGGATCACGAGGTCAGGAGATCGAGACCATCCTGGCTAACATGGTGAAACTCCGTCTCTACTAAAAATACAAAAAATTAGCCGGGTGCAGTGGCGGGCGCCTGCTACTCGAGAGGCTGAGGCAGGAGAATGGCTTGAACCCGGGAGGCGGAGCTTTCAGTGAGCCGAGATAGCGCCACTGCAGTCCAGCCTGGGCAAAAGAGCGAGACTGTGTCTTTTTACTTTTTTTAAAAAGAAGTATAAAAATTAGCTTGCCGTGGTGGCGTGCACCTGTGGTCCCAGCTACTCAGGAGGCTGAGGCAGGAGAATTGCTTGAACCCAGGAAGGAGAGGTTGCAGTGAGCTGAGATTGCGCCACTGCACTCCAGCCTGTGTGACAAGAGTGAAACCACCTCAAACAAACAAACAAACAAACAAAAAAAAAAACAAACTAAAAAACAAGACCTATGAAGTGCCATGGTATAACTGATAAAAACCAAGAACCGGCTGGGCGCGGTGGCTCACGCCTATAATCCCAGCACTTTGGGAGGCCGAGGCGGATGGATCACGAGGTCAGGAATTCGAGACCAGCCTGGCCAACATGGTGAAACCCCGTCTCTACTAAAAATACAAAAATTAGCCGGACATGGTGGCGGGCGCCTGTAGTGCCAGCTACTCCAGAGGCTGAGGCAGGAGAATGGCTTGAACCTGGGAAGCAGAGGTTGCAGTGAGCCGAGATCGCGCCACTGCACTCCAGCCTGGCGACAGAGCGAGATTCTGTCTCAAAAAAGCAAACAAAAAACCTAAGAACCTCACGAAAGCATATCCTTGTGAAATTTAGAATGGTGGAGATAAAAAAATATCTTACAAGTTCCTAAGAGTACGAACAAATGACCTATATTAGGATTTTTAATAGCAACCCTGGAAGGTAGAAGGACAAGGTGCATTGCATTCACAATTTTATAGGAAAGGCCAGGCATGGTGGCCCATGCCTGTAATCCCAGCACTTTGGGAGATTGAGATAGGAGGACCACTTGAGGCTAGGAGTTCGAGACCAGCCTGGGCGACATTTTGAGATTCTGACTCTACAAAACAGAAAAAAAATTTGAAGGAAATCATTTTCAACAAGTAATTCCATACATGGCCAATCTACAACTATGAATTATTCTAGAATAAAGATATTTTCAGTAATTCAAGGTTCAGATGCAAGTGACAGAAAACCTAAAACAATAGTTACAATTTTCTTTCTCTCTGACATAAAAGTCTAGGTCAGTGGCCAAGCGTGGTGGCTGACGCCTGTAATCCCAGCACTTTGGGAGGCTGAGGAGGGCAGATCACGAGGTCAGGCGATCGAGACCATCCTGGCTAACATGGTGAAACCCCATCTCTACTAAAAATACAAAAAATTAGCAGGGCGTGGTGGCACATGCGTATAGTCCCAGCTACTCGGGAGGCTGAGGCAGAAGAATCGCTTGAACCCAGGAGGCGGAGGTTGCAGTGAGCCAAGATCAGGCCACTGCACTCCAGCCTGGGTGACAGAGTGAGATTCCATTTCAAAAAAAAAAAATCTAGGTCAGTATAGTGGCTCTGTTCCATGAAACTCTCAGCAACCCAAGTTCATTCCAGCCCCAACTCTGCAATGCCCAGGGTGTGGCCCTCATCTTCATGGATAGGATGGCAGCATGTGAGCACCAGACACTGGGTGATAGAAGAGATGATGCCCTCTCCCTCTCCCTCTCTTTCCACGGTCTCCCTCTCCCTCTCCCTCTCCCTCTCTTTCCATGGTCTCCCTCTCATGCCGAGCCGAAGCTGGACTGTGCTGCTGCCATCTCGGTTCACTGCAACCTCCCTGCCTGATTCTCCTGCCTCAGCCTGCCGAGTGCCTGCGATTGCAGGCGCGCGCCGCCATGCCTGACGGGTTTTTGTATTTTTTTGGTGGAGACGGGGTTTCGTTGTGTTGGCCGGGCTGGTCTCCAGCTCCTAACCGCGAGTGATCCGCCAGCCTCGGCCTCCCGAGGTGCCGGGATTGCAGACGGAGTCTCGTTAACTCAGTGCTCAATGGTGCCCAGGCTGGAGTGCAGTGGCGTGATCTCGGCTACAACCTCCACCTCCCAGCCGCCTGCCTTGGCCCCCCAAAGTGCCGAGATTGCAGCCTCTGCCTGGCCGCTACCCCGTCTGGGAAGTGAGGTGCGTCTCTGCCTGGCCGCCCATCGTCTGGGATGTGAGGAGCCCCTCTGCCTGGCTGCCCAGTCTGGAAAGTGAGGAGCGTCTCTGCCCGGCCGCCATCCCACCTAGGAAGTGAGGAGCGCCTCTTCCCGGCCACCATCCCATCTAGGAAGTGAGGAGCGTCTCTGCCCGGCCGCCCATCGTCTGAGATGTGGGGAGCGCCTCTGCCCCGCCGCCCTGTCTGGGAGGTGAGGAGCGTCTCTGCCCGGCCGCCCCGTCTGAGAAGTGAGGAGACCCTCCGCCTGGCAACCGCCCCATCTGAGAAGTGAGGAGCCCCTCCGCCCGGCTGCCACCCCGTCTGGGAAGTGAGGAGCGTCTCCGCCCGGCAGCCACCCCGTCCGGAAGGGAGGTGGGGGTCAGCCCCTGCCAGGCCAGCCGCCCCATCCGGGAGGGAGGTGGGGGGGTCAGCCCCCCACCCGGCCAGCCACCCCGTCCGGGAGGTGAGGGGCGCCTCTGCCCGGCCGCCCCTACTGGGAAGTGAGGAGCACCTCTGCCCGGCCAGCCGCCCCGTCCAGGAGGGAGGTGGGGGAGTCAGCCCCCCGCCCGGCCAGCCGCCCCGTCCGGGAGGGAGGTGGGGGGGGTCAGCCCCGTGCCCGGCCAGCCGCCCCATCCGGGAGGGAGGTGGGGGGGTCAGCCCCCCGCCAGGCGAGATGCCCCGTCCGGGAGGGAGGTGGGGGGGTCAGCCCCCCGCCAGGTGAGACGCCCCGTCCGGGAAGGAGGCGGGGGGGTGGGGGTCAGATCCCCGCCCGGCCAGCCACCCCGTCCGGGAGGGAGGTGGGGGGGTCAGCCCCCCGCCCGGCGAGACGCCCCGTCCGGGAGGGAGGTGGGGGGTCAGCCCCCTGCCCGGCCAGCTGCCCCGTCCGGGAGGTGAGGGGCGCCTCTGCCCGGCCGCCCCTACTGGGAAGTGAGGAGCCCCTCTGCCCGGCCAGCCGCCCCGTCCGGGAGGGAGGTGGGGGAGTCAGCCCCCCGCCTGGCCAGCCGCCCCGTCCGGGAGGGAGGTGGGGGGGTCAGCCCCCCGCCCGGCCAGCCGCCCCGTCCGGGAGGGAGGTGGGGGGGTCAGCCCCCAGCCGGCCAGCTGCCCCGTCCGGGAGGTGAGGGGCGCCTCTGCCCGGCCGCCCCTACTGGGAAGTGAGGAGCCCCTCTGCCCGGCCAGCCGCCCCGTCCAGGAGGGAGGTGGGGGAGTCAGCCCCCCGCCCGGCCAGCCGCCCCATCCGGGAGGGAGGTGGGGGGGTCAGCCCCCCGCCCAGCGAGACGCCCCGTCCGGGAGGGAGGTGGGGGGTCAGCCCCCCGCCCGGCCAGCCGCCCCGTCCGGGAGGTGAGGGGCGCCTCTGCCCGGCCGCCCCTACTGGGAAGTGAGGAGCCCCTCTGCCCGGCCACCACCCCGTCTGGGAGGTGTACCCAACAGCTCATTGAGAACGGGCCATGATGACAATGGCGGTTTTGTGGAATAGAAAAGGGGGAAACGTGGGAAAAAGATTGAGAAGTCGGATGGTTGCTGTGTCTGTGTAGAAAGAAGTAGACATGGGAGACTTTTCATTTTGTTCTGTACTAAGAAAAATTCTTCTGCCTTGGGATCCTGTTGATCTGTGACCTTACCCCCAACCCTGTGCTCTCTGAAACATGTGCTGTGTCCACTCAGGGTTAAATGGATTAAGGGTGGTGCAAGATGTGCTTTGTTAAACAGATGCTTGAAGGCAGCATGCTCGTTAAGAGTCATCACCACTCCCTAATCTCAAGTACCCAGGGACACACACACTCTGCCTAGGAAAACCAGAGACCTTTGTTCACTTGTTTATCTGCTGACCTTCCCTCCACTATTGTCCTATGACCCTGCCAAATCCCCCTCTGCGAGAAACACCCAAGAATGATCAATAAAAATAAATAAATAAATAAATAAAAGAAGAGATGATGAAGAAGGCACCAGGGGCATGTGCCAGCTATTTCTTCAGAAAGTTCTTCCAAAGAACTTTCACTTCTCCTTGCATCCCATTGGTCAGAATTTGGTCACATGGCCACACCAAGCTACAAGGTAGGGTGGAAAATGCAGAAATATAGACTTTATTTTGAATTATCTTTTTTTTTTTTCTTTTTTGAGACAGCGTCTCACTCTGTTGCTCAGGCTGGAGTGCAGTGGCACAATCATGGTTCACTACAGCCTGGACCTCCTGGGCTCAAGTGATCCTCCCAGCTCAGCTGCTGGAGTAGCTGAGACTATAGGCGCATGCCACCATGCCCAGCTAATTTTCTCATTTTTTGTAGAGACAGAGTCTCCCTATGTTACCCAGGCTAGTCTTGAACTCCTGGGCTCCAGTGATCCTACTGCCTTGGCCTCCCAAAGTGCTGGGATTACAGGTGTAAGCCATAGTGCCTGGCCTTTGGATGGTTTTATGCCTAGATAAAAACTCTATTACTATGGAAGAATGGAAGGATACTGGTGGAATTAGTCACATTCTCTGCTACACAGTCTTGAACATTTCCTGAACATTCTCAGGAAGCTATCAGTAGAGTACACCACCTACGTAAAGCGATAAAGCAAGAAAGAAGACTTGGGATCCATGAGTGAGGGTATCCAATTCAACAAAGACGAAGGGAGTCCCTAGGGTAATAGTGAGAGGAGACCCCAAAATGACAGCTGAGTTGCTGCCCTAGAAAGCAGCTAGTCCAAAGTAGAGAAGATCAGAAGGTAGGTTTCACAGAGAGCAGGCAATAAGATTTTTAAAAAGGTAAAAAAAAAAGAAACAAATCAGAAGGTTCTTGGAGGGATTCCTTCAAGAAGATGAAACTGACTGAAGACCTAATAATTTACCTTCACCTAGCAGGTGCAGCAATATGCCTTCACTGCCCTGTGACAATCTACTCTGTATGTTTGAACATAATGAGAAGACTTATTTTACAGCAGGGATTCAATTAGGATTAATACCTAGAAACATCGGCAAACCAAAAGATAAGGCAATTATTAACTCCAAGGGAAACAAATGGCTCAATTATGAATAGCATATATACACTTATAAAAATATAACCCTAGGACAGGCGCGGTGGGTCACACCTGTAATCCCAGCACTTTGGGGGGCCGAGGCAGGTGGCTCGCCTGAGGCCAGGAGTTTGAGACCAGGCTGACCAACATAGCGAAACCCCGTCTCTACTAAAAATACCAAAAAAAAAAAAAATTAGCTGGGCGTGGCAGTGGGCGCCTGTAATCCCAGCTACTTGGGAGGCTGAGGCAGGAGAATCGCTTGAAACCAGGAGGCGGAGGTTGCAGTGAGCCGAGATCGTACCATTGTACTCCAGCCTGGGTGACAAGAGTGAAACTCCGTCTCTCTCTCTCTCTCTCTCTCTCTCTCTCTCTCTCTATATATATATATATATATACACACACACACACATACTTACACACATATACGTATATATATGTGTATACATATACACACATATACATATATACTTATATATATATGTATACATATATGTGTGTGTATATATATACACACACATACATAAAATCCTAAATCTCTTTCTAACTAAAATGACAAATACAGAGCCTCCCTGACTTATGATGGAACTGTGTCCTGATTAATTCATTATAAAATCAAGAAAATCCTTAAGTCAAACCATCCTAGCTCCCTGACTTATGATGGGACTGAGTCCTGATTAACTCATTGTAAAGTTAAGAAAATCATTAAGTCAAACCATCCTAAATTGGGGGACTGTCTGTGTTCAGAGGATGGTGGGATGGGAAGTGTGTGTGTGTGTGTGTGTGTGTGTGTGACTGGTGTGTGTGTGTGTGACTGGTGTGTGTGTGTGTGACTGGTGTGTGTGACTGGGAAGTGAAAGAGAGCTAACCCTCACTGTCCACACGGTAAGTCAATAGATAATAGGTAATACTGAAAAAAAAAACCAAGAGCTAAAGACATAACTGTATTATTTAGACATATAAATATAAACCAAATAACAAAAGATCAGCTATAAGAACTGAAAAAATGCTTACTTCTGAGGAGCTGAAAATGGAGGAGAGTTGAAAAGGATCTTCTCTTTTTTCTAACATGTCTTTGGAAGTATTTAACTCTTTAAATTACGACCACGTCCAAATTTATTAAAAATAAGACACAAATTTGGCTGGGCGTGGTGACTCATGCCTATACTTCCAGCACTTTGGGGGGCCAAGGCAGGAAGATCGCTTGAGGCCAGGGGTTAGACGCCAGGCTGGGCAACACAACAAGACTCCATCACTACAAAAAATAAAAAGTAAAATAATTAGCCAGTGTGGTAGCCAGCTACTAGGGAGGCTGAGGTGGGAGGATTGTTTGAGCCCAGGAGTTTAAGGCTGCAGTGAGCCATGATCATGCCACTGCACTACTGCAGCCTGGGCAACAGAGTGAGACCCTGTTTCCAAACAAAACAAAACAAAACAAAACAAAACCCAACCTAAAACATAAGTTTTAAAAAATGAAAAGATAGGCTGGCCGCGGTGGCTCATGCCTGTATTCCCAGCACTTTGAGAGGCCGAGGCGGGCAGATCACCTGAGGTTGGGAGTTCAAGACCAGCCTGACCAACATGGAGAAACCCCATCTCTACTAAAAATACAAAATTACCCGGGCGGTGGTGGTGCATGCCTGTAATCTCAGCTACTCAGGAGGATGAGGCAGGAGAATTGCTTGAACCCAGGAGGCAGAGGTTGCAGTGAGCTGAGATCGCGCCATTGCACTCTAGCCTGGGCAACAAGAGCGAAACTCCATCTTAAAAAATAAATAAATATGAAAAGATAAATTAATCAGATTTTCTTTCTTGGGCCTTTTAGGTGAGAAATGTGGAACCGGGTAGAAGGAGACAAACACTAACAAGTGGTAGGTGGTGGCTAAATCACATTGACACTTGGAGGGAGAGGGAACATTCACCAATTCCTTTTTTTTTTTTTTTGAGATGGAGTCTCGCTCTGTCGCCCAGGCTGGAGAGCAGTGGCACAATCTCGTCTCACTGCAACCTCTGCCTCCCAGGTTCAAGCGATTCTCCTGCCTTAGCCTCCCTAGTAGTTGGGACTATAGGCGTGTGCCACCACACCCAGCTAATTTTTTTGTATTTTTAGTAGAGACGGGGTTTCACCGTGTTAGCCAGGATGGTATCCATCTCCTGACCTTGTGATCTGCCCGCCTCAGCCTCCCAAAGTGTTGGGATTACAGGTGTGAGCCACCGTGTCTGGCCCATTCGCCAATTCCTATTGTGAAGCACCTAGAGTTTTTCCTGGACTCAGAACTTCCTTGGGTTTCAACCTACATGAATTCTGATTCCACTATGGCTTAGTTCTAAGAGATCAGGTCTCCCTTATCTATCTCTTTCTCTTACTTGAGCTTTGTTGAGTGAACTTTTTTGTTTCTTGCAGTGAAAAAAGCCCTGCTAAAATAGAGGTAGATGCTGCTTCCAGAATTCCTTATTAGTTGAAAGTATAAAATGTAGCAAGTTGGCCTGATGCAGTGGCTCATTCCTGTAATTCCAGCCCTTTGGTAGGCCAAGACAGGATCACTTGAGCTCCGGTGTCCAAGACCAGCATGGGCAACATAGGGAGACCCACATCTCTACAAATAATTTAAAAATAATATGACTGTGACAAATGATTGGAAAGAAAAAAAATTTAAAAATTAATAAATAATTTTTAAGGCCAGGCGTGGTGGCTCACACCTGTAATCCCAGCACTTTGGGAGGCTGAGGCAGGTGGATCATGAGGTCAGGAGATCGAGACCATCCTGACTAACACGGTGAAACCCTGTCTCTACTAAAAATACAAAAAAATTAGCTGGGTGTGGTGGCGGGTGCCTATAGTCCCAGCAACTCGGGAGGCTGAGGCAGGAGAATGGCGTGAACCCAGGAAGTGGAGCTTGCAGTGAGCCGAGATCGCGCCACTGCACTCCAGCCGGGATGACAGAGCGAGACTTTGTCTCAAACAAACAAACAAAAATAATAATAATTTTTAAAAAGAAATAAAAATTAGCTGGGTGTGGTGGTGTGTACCTGTGGTCCCAGGTACTCCACAGGCTGAGGTGGGAGGCTGAGGTGGGAGGATCACTTGAGCCCTGGAGGTTGAGGCAGCAGTGGGCCATGATCATGCCACTGCACTCCAGCTTGGGTGACAGAGCAAGACCCTGTCTCAAAAAATAAAATAAATAAAATGCAGCAATTTGTCCTTCATTCTCTGCCCTCCCATCCCCCACATTTTGAAGGAGATCTTATATTACTAAGGAATATTCATTGCTAATTATTATTCATTACTAATGAATATTCATTACAACTTACTATTCATTACTAATGATTTTCTAAGCTCTACTGATGTGACAGGTCCTTGCATTTCTGCCAGTTATATCTCACAACCCCATTACATCCACGTCTCAGCAAGACCTGGGGGATCTTTGATACTTCAAGTCCAAGGCAAATCAGCATGATATTGTCAATGACGATCAGGATGACATCCTACAGAGGAGTCAGTTAGTGTGATCAACCATCCCAGTTTGCCAGGGACCTGGGGGCTTCCTAGGATGCAGAACTTTCAGTGCCCGAATAACAGTTTCAGGTAAACCTAGATGGCTGGTCCCTAGGTAAAGTGGACTAGGTCCCTGTGAAAGGATACTGCTACCCCTTCCAGGTAAAGATAAATAGCTGGGATGGGTAAAGAGAAACAGAGGCCAGGTGCAATGGTTCATGCCTATAATCCCAGCACTTTGGGAGGCTAAGGAGGGAGAATTGCTTGGTGCTAGGAGTTGGGAGACCAGTCTGGGCCACATAGTGAAATGCCATCTCTTTAAAAAAAAAAATTAAAAAAATTAAAAAAAAATTTAGCCAGGTGCAGTGGCATGTGCCTGCAGTTTTTTATTTGTTTGTTTGGGTTTTTTTGTTTGTTTTGATTTGTTTTGAGACGGAGTCTCTCTGTTACCTAGGCTGGAGTGCAATGGCGTGATCTCGGCTCACTGCAACCTCTGCCTCCTGGGTTCAAGCAATTCTCCCGCCTCAGCCTCCCGAGTAGCTGGGAATACAGGTGCCCGCCACCACGCCCTAATTTTTGTATTTTTTTTTTTTTAGTAGAGACGGGGTTTAACCATGTTGGTCAGGCTGGTCTCAAACTGTTGACCTCAGGTGGTCCACCCACTTTGGCCTCCCAAAGTGCTGGGATTACAGGCATGAGCCACTGTGTCCATCCGTGCCTGTGGGTTTGAGGCTGTGATGAGCTGTGGTTGTGCCTCTGTACTCCACTGTGGGCAACAGAGTGAGACCCTTTCTCTAAATTGAAGACAGCATATCAAGTACCCACGTAATTAAGCCCAAGGTAATCCTCCATTATTTTTCAAGTCCTGTCCATCTTTGGTACTAACCAGCCTGGAGAAACAGCCTCCAAGGTTCCCATCCTCCTCTTCAGGAACTCTGGGTCAAGAAACTTATTCAGGGCCAGGCACAGTGGCTCACACTTGTAATTCCAACACTTTGGGAGGCCAAGGCAGGAGGAGACCAGCCTGGGCAGCAGAGTGAGATCCCATCTCTACGAAAAAAAAAAAAAGAGAGAAGGGATGGTTAAGGCTAGAAGGACTGTGACTATGTAGTGTGTTGACTTGACTTAGATCTTTGTTCATTAAGCTAAGGAATTATCTTGTTTTACAAACCAAGCTGAACCCAGGCCCGCCCATCTGCTCTGTTCCTGCCACTACTTCAAACAGAAGCCAAAACCTCAACTCAGTATGTTAGGCCATTTCTTGCAGCAAATTTACCACACCTACTTGGCTTTTGCCTTTTTGTGGCCACAGCCAGGGGTGATATTCAAAATATTTCACAGCTGGTTACCACATGGCCGGCAGCCATTTAGAACAGACACTGATTTTAGCACTAAGTCCTGTTCCTGGAGATCAACAGCTATGCTGGGGATTAACTCTTTAGTTGCTGAAAGAGAGGGAGGTCTGGCCAGCACGGTGGCTCATGCTTGTAATCACAGCACTTTGGGAGGCTGAGGTGGGCTGATCACTTGAGGTCAGGAGTTCAAGACCAGCCTGGCCAACATGGTGAAACTCCATCTCTACTAAAAAAGCTAGCCAGGCGTGGTGGTGTGCACCTGTAATCCCAGCAACTCAGAAGGCTGAGGCAGGAGAATTGCTTGTACCCAGGAAGCAGAGGTTGCAGTGAGCCAAGATCGTGCCACTGCACTCCAGCTTGGATGACAGAGCAAAACTCCGTCTCAAAAAATAAAAAATAAAAATAAGAAGAGGGAGGTCTGGGGGCCTGGAGGCAGGTGGATGGGGTGGGGAACTCAGGAGGCTGTTGGCAGTAATTTACCAACTGCTAGGAAAGCTTTTCAGTATTTCAACAACCAGTATCGGCAGGACATGGTGGCTTATGTCTATAATTGCAGCACTTTGGGAGGCCAAGGCGGGCAGATCACTTGAGGTCAGGAGTTCGAGACCAGCCTGGTCAACATGGCAAAACCCTGTCTCTACTAAAAATATAAAAATTAGCCGGGCGTGGTGGCACGCGTCGGTAATCTCAGCTACTTGGTAGGCTGAGGCAGGAGAATCGCTTGAATCCAGGAGGTAGAGGTTGCAATGAGCTGAGATTATTCCACTGCATTCTAGGCAGGGTGACAGGGTGAGATTCTGTCTCAAAAAAAAAAAAAAAAAAGTATGATCAACCAGGCCACGTGCAGGAGAAGGGAAATGAGGGGATGGGGTGGAGAGAGGGAGAGAGACAAAGAGAAATGAAGGGAGGGAAGAGGCAGGAAGGAAATGAATGTTCTATCCTTGATTTGGTCTGTCTTCCTTGATTACAACCCCACAGGATTCGAGTCCACATAGTTGCTGCTGTAACAACTCCCTAGAAAATTAGCCTCTAATTCCTTTTTTCCCTGCTTGGATTTTGCACACCATCCATGGTTGCATGATATTTCCAAATTCCTGTGATCAGATGTTCCTCATTAGGAAGTGACTCATCACATTTGCTTGGCAATCATGAATACAGGAGAAATTACTTGGAGGGGCCCAGGGGACTGGGAAGCCCCATGCCCTCAAGATATTGCTCTTCCAACCTCCAGGATTTCAGTCTTTGATAATCAAAATCTTAATGTTAACTACAGAAAGCCAGCACAGTTGTGAACTTAGCAAATACTGTGATTTGTCAATTTACAGTATCTTTTTGTATTATAAAATATTTGGCAGGTAAATTTTATAATGTATTTTAAAATATACAAATAACTCTGTATTATACCTGTTGATTATGATGCGTAAAAATAAATGAACACTGGGCTGGATGCAGTGTCTCACGCCAGTAATCCCAGCACTTTGGGAGGCTGAGGTGGGTAGATCACTTGAGGTCAGGAGTTCGAGACCAGCCTGGCCAACATGGTGAAACCATGTCTCTACTGAAAATACAAAAATTAGCCGGGTGTGGTGGCACGAGTCTGTAATCCCAGCTACTCAGGAGTCTGAGGCAGGAGAATCGCTTGAACCTGGGAAGCGGAGGTTGCAGTAGCTGAGATCGCGCCACTGCACTCCAGCCTGGGTGACAAGGTAAGACTCTGTCTCAATAAATAAATAAATAAATAAATAAATAAATAAATAAATAAACAAACAAAAAAACACTGGTAAACCCACCACTCAACATAAGTAGAATGTAGTCAATATTCACTTTAGAGATCTAATTTTTAGTCTTTTCCAATCACTGGCTGATAGTAGTAAATGTGTTTTTTGGTAAGGTACAGTGGCTCATGTCCCAAAGTACCCAGCACTTTTAGATGCCAAGGTGGGAGGATCGCCAGAGGCCAGCAGTTCAAGACCAGCCTAGGCAACATAACAAGATCTCGACTCTACAAAGAAATAAAAAATTAGCCAGGCATGGTGACGTGTGCCTGTAGTCCCTCCTACTTTGGGGGCTGAGGTGGAGGGATCCCTTGAGCCCAGGAGGTAGAGGCTGCAGTGAGCTGTGATGGTGCCACTGAGCTCCAGCCTGGGTGAACGAGTTAGACTCTGTCAAAAAAAAAAAAAAAAAAAAGTCAAAACAACAACAAAGATGTGTTTTTTTTGCTGGTATACAGAATGGCCTTGAATGTTGTTTTCTTTCTCTCTTTTTTTTTTTTTTTAGATGGAGTCTTGCTCTGTTGCCCAGGCTGGAGTGCAGTGGTGCCATCTTGGCTCACTGCAACCTCCGCCTCCCAGGTTCAAGCAATTCTCCTGCCTCAGCCTCCCAAGTAGCTGGGATTACAGGCACATGCCACCATGCCCAGCTAATTTTTGTATTTTTAGTAGAGACGGGGTTTCACCATGTTGGCCATTCTGGTCTCAAACCCCTGACCTCAGGTGATATGCCTGCCTAGGCCTCCCAAAGTGTTGGGAATTACAGGTGTGAGCCACTGTGCCCGGCTGAATGTTGTTTTCTGATTCTACCCAGTCATCCTAATTCCTCCTTTTTTTTTTCATTTCCTTCCTTCTACTTATCTCTCTTTCTCCGTTTTTTTTTTTTTTTTGACAAGGTCTCACTCTGTCACCAAGGCTGGAGTGCAGTGGCATGATCACGGCTCACGGCAGCCTTGATCTCCCAGGCTCAAGTGACCCTCCCACCTCAGCCTCTTGAGTAGCTGGGACCACAGAGTGCCACTACGCCCAGCTAATTGAAAAAAAAAAAACTGTAGTTATAGAGTCTCACTATGTTGTCCAGCCTGATCTCAAGCTCCTGGCCTCAAGCAATCCTCACCACTCAGCCTCCCTAAGTGCTGGGATTACAGGCCTGAGCCATCACGCCTGTCCTTATTTCCCAAAGTGCTGGGATTACAGGCGTGAGCCACTGCGCCCAGCCCAAAACTTTACTTTCAAAGGACATAGTATCTGAATACTAAGACTTTACGAACTGTTTTATCAATCCATGGACTTCTAACCTCCCATTCAGGGACATGGAAATCATCTCTGACTCTCTCTCCTGTGTTACTATGAAGATTCCATGCCTCTTTGGAGATTCTGTTGCTTGCAACCCCGCTCCTGGAATAGAATTCTGTGCTTGTTAGAGTAGTTTGGTATTTCATTTGCAAGAAACAAGAACTAACTGCAAATTTTAGGGGGAAAAAAGGGCTTGGACATACCATAAGGACATAGGTGGGCTGGAACTGAAAATCTAAGAATTTGAGGTTGGCTGGGAACTGGCCACTGTCTCTTTCATCTTTCATGGCCCGCATAGCCTCCTGCATGGCATCCTTTTCTCTCTCACTGTTACCCTCCTAAGCAGTGGGGATTTCATTAGGCTGGCTAATCATTTTTAGACTCTGAATGTCAGAGCCCAAGTCAGTAATAATAATAGGAGACTTCCATACCCCATTTAAATAATGGAGAAGTCATTAGGCAGAAGATCAACAAGGAAATAGAAGACTTGAACAACAGTATAAACTGATCAGACCTAACAGGTATCTATAAAATATTCAACCCGCCAACTGCATAATCTATATTCTTCTCAAGTCCACAAGGACACTCTCCAGAATGAACTATATGTTAGGCCATAAAATAAGTCTCAATATATTTAAAAAGATTGAAATCATACACAGTACATTCTCTAACCATAATAAAACAAAATTAGAAATCAATAATAGAGCCCAGGCACAGTGGCTCACACCTGTAATCACAAAATTTTGGGAGACCGAGGCAGGAGGATCACTTGAGGCCAGGAGTTCAAGGCTAGCCTGGCCAAAGTGATGAAACCTTGTCTCTACTAAAAATACAAAAAATTAGCCAGGTAAGGTGGCATACGCCTGTAATCCCAACTACTTGGGAGGCTGAGGCACAAGAATCGCTTGAACCTGGGAGGCAGAGGTTGCAGTGAACCTCAGTGAACTGAGATTGTGCCACAGCACTCCAGCCTGGGTGACAGAGCGAGACTCTGTCTCAGAATAAAATAAAATGAAATATAAAATAAATCAATAATAGAAATTTGAGAAATTTAAAACTATGTGGAAATTAAACGCAGTCCTAAATAACTCATAGGTCAAAGAAGAAATCACGGCTGGACATGGTGGCTCACGTTTGTAATCCCAGCACTTTGGGAGACCAAGGTGGGTGGATCACCTGAGGTCAGGAGTTCAAAATCAGCCTGGCTAACATGGTGAAACCCCGTCTCTACTGAATATACAAAATTAGCTGGGCGTGGTGGTGCATGCCTGTAACCCCAGCTACTTGGGAGGGTGAGACAGGAGAATCGCTCTAACCCAGGAGGCAGACGTTGCAGCGAGCAGGGATCGTGCCACTGCACTCCAGCCTGGGTGGGTGACAGAGTGAGACTCCATCTCCAAAAAAAAAAAAAGAAAGAAAAAGAAATCACAAGAGAAATTAGAAACTACTTGGAGATAAATGAAACTGAATGATATACCAAAAACTTAAAGGATTTAGCTAAAGCAATATTTTGAAGGATATTTATAGTTGTAAATGCCTACAGTGAAAAAGAAGAAAGATCTCAAATTCAACAACCCATTTATTTATTTATTTATTTACTTATTTATTTATCTATTTACTTATTTTTTGAGACAAAGTCTCGCTCTATCTGAGGCTGGAGTGCAGTGGCGCAATCTCAGCTCAATGCAACCTGCGACTCCCCTGTTCAAGGGATTCTCCTGCCTCAGCCTCCTTAGTAGCTGGGATTACAGGCGCCTGCCACTGCACCCAGCTAATTTTTGTATTTTTAGTAGAGACGGGGTTTCACCATTTTGGCCAGGAGGGTCTCGATCTCCTGACCTTGTGATCCACACGCCTCAGCCTCCCAAAGTGCTGGGACTACAGGTGTGAGCCACCACACCCGGCTAATTTTTGTATTTTTAGTAGAGACAGGGTTTCTCCATGTTGCCCAGGCTGGTCTCAAACTGCTAACCTCAAGTGATCCGCCCGCCTGCCTTGGCCTCCCAAAGTGCTGGGATTACAGACAGGAGCCACTGCGCCTGGCCTGCATGTCTTCTTTGATCTGGCCCCACCCTCCTTTACTTACTCTGTTCCTTCAAATTGGAATGTCCTTCAGCCTCCACATCTACAACAATGGCTGGAATTGTCTCCGTTCTTCAAGGCCTGATTATAATTCCATCATCTTCATGTAACCTTTTTTTTTTTTCTTCATCCTACTCTTCAACTGATGGAGCACAAAGTCTGGTAGAGGAGATAAAGGAGACAATTGGGTTCTGTCTTGCAATGTGATAACACTCTGGTGGGTGTGTGCACAGAGTCCTAGGAAGGCAGGAGGGTGAGGTAGAAACTGTTGGGTTAGTTGAAAGATAGAAAATTGCACACTCCAGTTGACTTCCACTTCTGAGGGCTTAGAACTCCATGAGGAGGCATCGATTTCATCTTAAAGGATCCCTTTCTACACTCATTTCTTTTCTTTCTTCTCTTTCTTTTTTTTTTTTTTTTGTTTTGTTTTGTTTTTAGAGACTGGGTCTTATTCTGTCACCCAGCCTGGAGTGCAGTGGTGTGATCGTAGTTCACTGCAGCCTCCAACTCCTGGGTTCAAGTGATCCTCCCATCTCAGCCTCCCAAATAGCTGAGACTACAAGTTTGCATCACCATGCCTGGCTAATTTTTTTTACTTTTGGTAGACACAAAGTCTCACTCTGTTACCCAGGCTGATCTCGAACTCCTTGCCTCAAGCAATCTTCCCACCTCGGCCTCCGAAAGCACTAGAATTTCAGGCATGAGCCACCACACGTGGCCTAACCTGCTGTTTTCTCAAGAGCAGGACAGTTTTTAATTTCTGGACCTATCGCATCTAGCAAGGTTCCTGGCCAGAAAAAGTGAAAATAATTTTTTTTTTTTTTTGGAGACAGAGTCTCGCTCTGTTGCCCAGGCTGGAGTGCAGTGGCGTGATCTTGGCTCACTGCAACCTCCACCTCCTGGGTTCAAGTGATTCTCCTGCCTTAGCCTCTAGAGTAGCTGGGATTACAGGCATGCGCCACTACGCCTGGCTAATTTTTTTTTTTGAGATGGAGTCTCACTCTGTTGCCCAGGCCAGAGGGCAGTAGAGTGATCTCGGCTCACTGCAACCTCTGCCTCCCGGGTTCTAGCGATTCTCCTGCCTCAGCCTCCAGAGTAGCTGGGATTACAGGCACCCACCACCATACCCGGCTAATTTTTGTATTTTTAATACAGACAGGTTTTCACCATCTTGGCCAGGCTGGTCTTGAACTCCTGACCTTGTGATCCACCTGCCTTGGCCTCCCAAAGTGTTGGGATTACAGGTGTGAGCCACCACACCCTGTTGCCTGGCTAATTTTGTATTTTTAGTAGAGATGGGGTTTTTCTATGTTGGTCAGGCTGGTCTCAAACTGCTAACCTCAAGTGATCCGCCTGCCTCGGCCTCCCAAAGTGCTGGGATTACAGGCATGAGCCACCACACCTGGCTGGGACTTGCTTTTAATAAACTAAATGTGATGGAAATGACAGTGTGTGATTTCTGGGGCTAGGTCATAAAAGACATTGTGCTTCTGCCTTGCTCTCTCTCTCTCAGAGCCCCCACTCCGGGGGCAAGCCAGCTGCCGCATCACGAGGACATCCACGCAACCTATAGAGCTGCTCAGGAGGAACTGAGGCCGGCTGCCAATAACCAGCACCAACTTGCCTGCCGTGTGAGTGAGCCATCTGGGAAACCAAGCCTCCAGCCTCCATGAAGCCTGCAGGTAACGTCAGCCCTCCAGTCTTCCGGTCTTCCAGCTGAGGCCCCACACGTCGTGGAGCAGAGCCAAGCCAATCCCGTCATGCCCTGAATTCCTGATCCACAGAACTGCGAGAGAATACATGAAAATTGTTTTAAGCCACTACGCTCTGAGATAGTTTGTTATGCAGCAGACAACAACTGATGTAACAGTGGCAGGTGTACACGGAGTGCCAAGGGAATGCAAAGAACGGACACTTAGGGGCTTGGAGTGGTGGCTCATGCCTGTAATCCCAGCACTTTAGGAGGCTGAGGCATGAGAATCACTTGAAACCAGGAGTTCAAGACCAGTTTGGGCAACATACGAGACCCCTGTCTCTACAAAAAAATTTTAAAAATTAGCTGCCCACACTGGCACATGCCTCTAGTCCCAGCTACTCTGGAGGCCGAGGCAGGAGGATGGCTTGAGTCCAGGAATTGGAGGCTGAAGTGAGCTATGACTGCACCACTGCACTCCAGCCTGGGAGACAGAGTGAGACTGAGACCCTGTCTCAAAAAATATATATATTATAAATACTTAATTCTAAATTTTATGATATAATTGTATTGAGAGGATAGGGGAAGGGAAAGAGTTTTGTGTGGGGGTGTAAAAGTTAAATCCTCATTTCCTGTTTTAAGAAATCATAGATCGTATCTAAAATAGAAAAATCAAGGAATAGCTATACAAGCAAGTTATTTAGAAACTGGAGCTGGGCTCATGCCTGTAATCTCAGCACTTTGGGAGGCCGAGGCAGGAGGATCACCTGCGGTCAGGAGTTCAAGGGTAGCCTGGCCAACATGGTGAAACCCCATCTCTACAGAAAATACAAAAATTAGCCGTGTGTGGTGGCACGCGCCTGTAGTCCCAGCTACTCAGGAGGCTGAGGCACGAGAATCGCTTGAACCCAGGAGGCGGAAGTTGCAGTGAGCCAAGATCATGCCACTGCACTCCAGCCTAGGTGACAGAGCAAGACTCTGTCTAAAGAAAAAAAAAAAAAAAACAGAAAAGAAACCAAGAGGCATATACTGGAAGAAACAACTGAAGAAGTTGGTTGAATCCAAGAAGCAGGTCAAGAGTAGAAAGAGCAGGGATTGCTTTTCACCATTGTTAACCTTTTAGTACAATTTGACTCTTAAAATTATGTATGTGTATAACTTGACAAAATAAAAACAAACTAAAAAAAGGTCAGAGAGAAGGAGCAATAAAATAGGAGATTTAGGTGGAGCGATGGAACATGTTGTTCTTTGTATTTTATTTTATTTATTATTATTATTATTATTATTATTATTTTGAAACAGAGTTTCCCTCTTGTTGCCCAGGCTGGAGTGCAGGGGCGCGAGCTCAGCTCACCACAACCTCTGCCTCCTGGCTTCAAGCAATTCTCCTGCCTCAGCTTCCCGAGTAGCTGGGATTACAGCCATGTGCCACCACGCCCAGATAATTTTGTATTTTTAGTAGAGATGGGGTTTCTCCATGTTGGTCAGGCTAGTCTCGAACTCCCAACCTCAGGTGATTCGCCTACCTTCACCTCAGGTGATTCACCCTCCCAAAGTGCTGGGATTACAGGCGTGAGCCACCACACCCAGCCTGTTCTTTGCATTTTAAATTAAGGGGCAGGGCACATCAAACTATTTAATATGTGCAATGAACAATAAAATATATCCTTAGGATTTATATGGGGCAATTATAGAGCAAAGATACAGGAAGAGATCGATGTCAGGAGACAGTGTGATGGAGAAACAAAGGACAGAAGGAAAGAGAGGGGAAGAGATAGAAACAAATGCCAAGACCCAGGAAAACACAGAAAGACATAACCCAGCCTCATATAAACTCAAAGTGAGAAGGTGGAGAGACATAAAGAAATCCACAGGTGGCTGGGCGTGGTGGCTCACGCCTGTAATCCCAGCACTTTAGGAGGCCGAGGCGGTGGATCACCTGAGGTCAGGAGTTCGAGACCAGCCTCGCTAACATGGAGAAACTCCGTCTCTACTAAAAATACAAAAAGTAGGCGTAGTGGCACATGCCTGTAATCCCAGCTACTCCAGAGGCTGAGGCAGGATAATTGCTTGAACCCGGGAGGTGGAGGTTGCAGTGAGCTGAGATTGGGTCACTGCACCGCAGCTTGGGCGACACAGCGAGACTCCATCGCAAAAAAAGAAAAAAGAAAGAAATCCATGGGCTATGGAAGTATGTACGCTCACTCAGGCACACACCACCAAGCGTGATGAAGACCCAAGTCTACATAGATAGCACCTCACACTTTTGTTAAATAGCACAGAATTAAAGAATTATCCCAGCCTGGACAACATGGCAAAACCCTGTCTCTATCAAAAGTACAAAAATTAGCCAGGTGTGGTGGTGCGCGATGTAGTCCCAGCTACTTGGGAGGCTGAGGTGGGAGGATCTCCTGAACCCAGCAGGCTGAGGTTGCAGTGAGCCATGATCACACCACCGCACTCCAGCTTGGGCAACAGAGTGAGACCCTGTCTTACAAAAAAAAGAAAAAAAAAAAAAGAAAAGAAAGAAAAGGAAAGGAAAGGAAAAGAAAAGAAAAAATGATTGTTGAGGTAGGAGGCAAGACTCAACTCCAGAGGCAGGGCACGGACACCAGACCAAATTGAGGACCAACTAAAAATGGGTTGGGACAGAAGCAGCTTTCCATAAAGACATCCCTTCCAGAGTGCCATGTCAGTTTACCGTTGCCATGACAACACCCAGAAGTTATCTCCCCTTTCCATGGCAACCACCTACCGACCTGGAAGTTACCACCCTCATCCTAGACATTTCTGCATAAGCCACCCCTTAATTTGCATATAATTAAAAATGGGCATAAATGAGTTTAGGTCTGCCTCTCAGCTGCTATTCTGGACACAGTGCCTATGGGTCATCCCTGCTCTGCAAGGAGCCGTACCTTTGCTGCGGCTGTGCACTGAAGCTTCAATAAAAGTTGTAACACTGGCTGGACACGAGTGCTCAAACCTATAATCCCAGCACTTTGGGAGGTGGAGGTGGGCGGATCACTTTAGCTCAGGAGTTCAAGACCAACCTGGGCAACATGGTGAAACCTCGACTCTACAAAGTACAAAACATATTAGCCAGGCATGGTGGTGTGTGCCTGTAGTCCCAGCTTCTCAGAAGACAGGGGTGAAGGATTGCTTGAGCCCAGGAGGCAAAAGTTTCAGTGAGACTTGATCATGCCACTGCACTCCAGCCTGGGTGACAGAGTGAGACCCTACCTCCAAAAAAAAAAAAAAGTCTTGTTCTACCAGCTAATTGGATTGGCAGGGACCTCCTTTTTAATATATATATATAGGTATGTGCCACCGCACCTGGCTAATTTTT
The DNA here is from genome assembly GCF_000001405.40 of Homo sapiens. Lineage (NCBI taxonomy): Eukaryota > Metazoa > Chordata > Mammalia > Primates > Hominidae > Homo > Homo sapiens. The sequence continues at coordinate 100,506,101 of NC_000007.14, read as the reverse complement.
GTTTTTCTTTTTTTTTTTTTTTGAGATGGAGTCTCGCTCTGTTGCCCAGGCTGGAGTGCAGTGGCGTGATCTCGGCTCACTGCAAGTGGGTTCATGCCATTTTCCTGCCTCAGCCTCCCGAGTAGCTAGGACTACAGGCGCCTGCCACCATGCCCGGCTAATTTTTTTTTTTTTTTTTTTTTTTTGTATTTTTGGTAGAGACAGGGTTTCATGTGCTAGCCAGGATGGTCTCGATCTCCTGATCTCGTGATCCACTCACCTTGACCTCCCAAAGTGCTGGGATTACAGGTGTGAGCCACCGGGCCTGGCCTAATTTTTGTATTTTTAGTAGAGATGGGGTTTTGCCATGTTGCCCAGGCTGGTCTTGAACTCCTGGGCTCAAGTGATTCACCTGCCTCGGCCTCCCAAAGTGTTGGGATTACAGGCGTGAGCCGCCACGCCAGGCCTCATGAGTTTCTTATGTAGCTGTATCAAACTTGTTTCTCTTTTGAACTGTGATTACAGTTCCAGTGTTCATATGTTGCCCTGCAAGTAGGTTATAAGTGCATGGGGGACAGGAACCAAGCCTTATCTACTGAAGAATCTTCCTCGGGCCCAGCTTCCAGGGAGGCTCTGAATTTGAAGCCCCTCTCTGCCATTCACTTGCTGTGTGACTTTGGGCAGGTTACTTGACCTCTCTGTGTGTCAGAGCTTTTATCTTCAGAGATACCACTGGGTTGAATGACATAAAATTGCCAATATTCTATTATATTTGACCCCAAAATGGCAATTTCATATAGTTCAACCTAATAAAACCACTACCTCTTAGGTATTTTGAGGGTTAATTGTCATGTCTATTGTACCCCAGGCAAGCACCATCCTGCTGAGTACAAAGTGGACCTGATAGTAAAGCCCCTCAGACTTTGTGGAACAAAAGCAGAACCCTAGGAACGGCAGAGCAACCAGTTAGAAAGAGCCTGGCTCCTGATGAACTGCAGCTTCCGTATCTGTTATGGATTGCTAATGTCTGGACCCTTATATGAGCAAGATGTAATCCCCCATTTAGGTTAAACCACTGTTCTTTGGGTCTGGGTTTTTTGTTTGTTTGTTTTTTCTTTGAGACGGAGTCTCGCTCTGTCTCCTCAGCTGGAGCGCAGTGGCGTGATCTTGGCTCACTGCAATCTCCGCCTCCTAGGTTCAAGCGATTCTCCTGCCTCAGCCTCCCCAAGTAGCTGGGACTAAAGGCGCCCACCACCACGCCCAGCTAATTTTTGTGTTTTTAGTAGAGATGAGGTTTCGCCATGTTGACCAGGCTGGTCTCAAACTCCTGAACTCAAGTGATCTGCCCCTCTTGGCCTCCCTAAGTGCTGGGATTACAGGTGTGAGCAACCATGCTCAGCCTGGGTCTGTTTTGAAAGAGGTAAACTGACATCTTAATTAATAATGGGTGTGTGTCAGAGAGAAATAAACCATGTACTTCCACATAGAGATTTCTGCCTTAAGGCCGGGCACAGTGGCTCACACCTGTAATCCCAGCACTTTGGGAGGCCAAGGCGGAAGGATTATCTGAGGTCAGAAGTTCCAGACCAGCCTGTACAACATGACGAAACCCCGTCTCCACTAAAAATACAAAAATTAGCCAGGCATGGTGGCGCGCGCATGTAATCCCAGCTACTCGGAAGGCTGAGGCAGGAGAATCACTTCAACCTGGGAGGCGGAGGTTGCAGTGAGCCAAGATTGCACCACTGTATTCCAGCCTGGGTGACAGAGCAAGACTCCATCTCAAAAAAAAAAAAAAAAAGTTTCTGCCTTGGGAGACTGAATGTGATGACACTGGCTGAGATGGTCAGTCCAAGACATGAGGGCTGGTTGGGGAAGTAATGAGTTCAATTGCAGATAGATTTTTGTTTTTGTTTTTAGAGACAGGGTGTCTGCAGATAGATTTTTGTTTTTGTTTTTAGAGACAGGGTGTCTCGCTCTGTTGCCCAAGGTGGAGTGCAGTGGTGTGATCATAGCTTACTGCAGCCTTGAAATCCTGGGCTCAAGCGATCCTCCCACCTCAGCCTCCTGAGTAGCTGGGACTACAGGCATGTGCCACCACGGCTGGCTAATTATTATTTTTTATTTTTTGCAGAGACGGGGGTCTCTCTATGTTGCCCGAGCCAGTCTCGAACTCCTGGCCTCAAGTGATCCATCTGCCTCAACACCCTAAAGTGCTGGCACTATAGGCATGAGCCACGGCACCCAGCCACTGTAAGCCTTTTTGCTTCACCTAGCCACCAATCTAAATGGGGGGAAGTGTTCTCCATTTTTTTAGATTTTCATATCTGTAAGTAGACCAACCATGACAGCTTTACGACCCAAATACAAGGCTACATTTGATGTTACTAGCGAGCAAAATAACTTCAGATCTACATGGGCAGTGAAATAAATAGTGCGCATCTTTAAAATTTCCCCTCTAGTTCTAATCTTTTCAGGTTTCCCCCTCATTACTCTGAAATTTCTGGAATGTGTACATGTTGCTCTCACACCCATTCCTGGGCTTTAAGGCAGGAACATCAAAAAACATCAGCATGAGGTCACCACTTGGTCAGTGGAAAATTTTTTTTTTTTTTCTGAGATGGAGTTTCGCCCTGTTGCCTAGGCTGGAGTGCAGTGGCGTAATCTCAGTTCACTGCAACCTCCACCTCCCGGGTTCAAGCAATTCTCCTGCCTCAGCCTTCCAAGTAGCTGGGATTACAGGAGCGTGCCAGCATGCCCAGCTAATTTTTTGTATTTAGTAGAGTTGGGGTTTTGCCATGTTGGCCAAGCTGGTCTGAAACTCCTGACCTCATGATCTGCCCCCCTTGGCCTCCTAAAGTGCTGAGATTACAGGCATGAGCCACCGCGCCCGGCGGGTCAGTGGAAATTTTTTTAAATGGTGGTGACACCATCTCTGGTGCTTCCACCCTGTGGCTCCTGGCTCCCAGCCATTTTTCATGGTGGCAAAGACTGCCCCCAGGGTGGTGGCAGAGGTCAGTGTGTGGCCTGGACGAGTCCCAGCCAACATGCTCCTCACCCCATCCTGGACGCAACGTGGAGGTGGTAGAGAGAGAGGAGCAAGGGAAGCTGGACCCCCGCAGAGTGGACCACTACTCTACAGGGACATGCATGAGGGACACCTGGATCTGAACAGCTAGCACTGAGACACTCCAACACACGGTACCTGGAAACCGCAGGTGGCACTTTGAGGAAACAACCAGGTACGTGCAGGGATTTTTTTTTTTTTTTGAGACAGAGTCTGTCAGCCCAGGCTGCAGTGCACTGGTGTGATCTCAGCTCACCACAACCTCCGCCTCCCAGGTTCAAGTGATTCTCCTGTCTCAGCCTCCCGTGTAGCTGGGATTACAGGCGCCTGCCACCACACCCGGCTAATTTTTGTATTTTTAGTAGAGACAGGGTTTCACCATGTTGGCCAGGCTGGTCTTGAACTCCTGGCTTCCAGCAATCCACCCGCCTTGGCCTCCCAAAGTGCTGGGATTACAGGCGTGAACCACCTCATTCTGCCTTTTTGTTTTTTTTTTTTTTTTTAAAGAGACAGGGTCTCCCTCTGTCCCCCAGGCTGGAGTGCTGTGGTGCAATGATAGTTCACTGCGGCCTCCATCTCCTAGGTTCAAGTGATCCTCTCATCTCAGCCTCCTGAATAGCTGGGACTAGAAGGGTGTACCACCATACCTGGCTAATTTTTTAATTTTCTGAAAATAAGGTCTTGCTATACTGTCCAGGCTGGTTATTTTTAGTTAGAGAGATGTTGTGTGTTTTGGAAGGGGCTTCCTAGATCATCTGCTCCCAATCCTTATTTTTTTCAAAGGAGAAAAATGTTTGACTCATCATACTGACTTTAAAAAAACCCACTTTTTATTGTGGAAAATTTCAAGCAGACTCACGCACAAACAAAACAATATAATGAACACCCATGTACCCATCATGAAAAAATTACCATGAGTTGGTACTCATGGACATTCTTTTTCTTTTTTTTAAGACAGAGTTTCACTCTGTCGCCCAGGCTGGAGTGCAGTGACGCGATCTCGGCTCACTGCAGCCTCTGCCTCCTGGGTTTAAGCAATTCTCCTGCCTCAGCCTCCCAAGTAGCTGAGATTACAGGCACCACCACCACGCCTGGCTAATTTTTGTATTTTTAGTAGAGATGGGGTTTCCCCACGTTGGCCAGGCTGGTTTCGAACTCCTGACCTCAGGTGATCTGCCTGCCTCAGCCTCCCAAAGGGCTGGGATCACAGGCATGAGCCACTGTGCCTGGACTCGTGGCCATTCTTGTTTCATCTTTTCCTCATGTACCTTCTCCTTCCCATTTTATTTTGAATCAAATCCCAGACCTTGTATAATTTCTTCATTAATATTTCAGTATTATTTCTTTAAGGACTTTTAAAAATATATACCCACAATGCATTATCATGCCTAAAAATTAATAATAATTCCTTAATACCATCAAATATATCCAGTCAGTGGTAATATTCCCAATTGTCTCATAAATGTAATAAATGAGGGGTTTCATTGGTTTGTTTTAGAGACAGTCTCTCTAGGAAAAAAATTCCTGGAAGTGGAATTTCTGAGTCAAAACTATACACATTTTATTTTTAAATAAATATGAAACTGACCTTCAAAAGGGCTATATTAATTTATATTTACATAATGAATGACTTTTCTGCATATATTTGCCATACTGATGTTATAAATTTTCTTCAGTTTTGTCTGAAAGGTGAAAAGTATTTTATTATTGTTTTATTTTGCATTATTTCATTAATGCTAAGGCTGAACATGTTTACTCTTAACTTCTGTATCTGGTAAGTTATTTGTTTATGTTCTTGTTCATATCTGTCTGGGTTCCTTTCTCCTCTTCTTATTGACTCATGAACCTATATACTGTATTAATCTTTTTCATATGTGTTAGAAATATATTTGTAGTTTGACTTGCTATATAGAAGTATTTTTGTTTTGTTTTAAAGAGATGGGGTCTCGCTATGTTGTCCAGGCTGGTCTGGAACTCCTGGGCTCAAGCAATCCTATTGTATTAATCTTTTTCATATGTGTTAGAAATATGTTTGTAGTTTGACTTGCCATATAGAAGTATTTTTTTGTTTTAAAGAGATGGGGTCTTGCTATGTTGACCAGGCTGGTCTAGAACTCTGGTGCTCAAGCAATCCTCCTGCCTTGGCCTTTTTTGAGACAGAGTCTCACTCTGTTGCCCAGGCTGGAGTGCAGTGGCGCCATCTTGGTTCACTGCAATCTCTGCCTCCTGGGTTCAAGCAATTCTCCTGCTTCAGTCTCCCAATTAGCTTGGATTACAGGTGCCTGCCACCATACCTGGCTAATTTTTTTTTTTTTTTTTTGTATTTTAGTAGAGACAGGGTTTCACCAAGTTGGCCAGGCTGGTCTCAAACTCCTAATCTCAGGTGATCCGCCTACCTCTGCCTCCCAAGGTGCTGGGATTACAGGCGTGAGCCACCTTGCCCGGCCCACATTTTCCTTTTAATGTTTGTTTTTACACTGAAGTCCTTTGGCATAATAAATGAAATAGAGATGCAGCTTCCCACCCTCCCCCTTCTGAGTAGTTAATTCTTTAAGAAACAACTATTAGGCCAAGTCAGGAGGATCGCTAGAAGCCAGGACGGTGAGGCTGCAATGAGCTATGATCGCACCACTGCACTCCAGCCTGGATGACAGAGCAAAACCTTGTCTCTAAAAAAATATATAAAATATGGCTAGACGCAGTGGCTCACACCTGTAATCCTAACATTTTGGAAGGTCTAGGCAGGAGGATCGCTTGAGGCCAGGAGTTCAAGATCAGCCTGGGCAAGACAGTGAGACTCTTTCTATACAAAATATTTTTTTAGGCTGGGCATGGTGGCACACGTCTGTAATCCCAGCACTTTGGGAGGCCAAGGCGGGTGGATCACGAGTTCAGTAGATCAAGACCATCCTCCCTAACATGGTGAAACCCCATCTCTACTAAAAATACAAAACATTAGCTGGGCATGGTGACACGTGCCTGTAGTCCCAGCTACTCGGGAGGCTGAGGCAGGAGAATTGCTGGAACCCAGGAAGCGGAGGTTGCAGTGATCTGAGATCACGCCACTGTACTCCAGCCCGGGCAACAAAGTGAGACTCCATTTTTTTTAATTATCCTGGTGTGGTGGTGCATGCCTATAGTCCCACTCGGGAGACTGAGGTGGGAGGATCACTTGAGGCCAGGAGTTCGAGGCTGCAGTGAGCTATGGTCATGCCATTGCACTCCAGCCTGAGCAACAGAGTGAAACTCTTGTCTCAAATAATGGTAATAAATAAAAATAAAATTTAGAAAGGAACAATTATTGAATAAGGAATCTTTTCCCAACCAATGTGCAATATCATCTTTATAAGTGCTAAATTCCCATGTGCATTTGGGGCTATTTCTGGACGCTTCATTCCGATGGATTATATGGATTATGCCAGTCCTGTGCCAGGACAAGCATGCTTTGACTTTTATTTCCTGTTTTAATATTTGATAGGGCAGGTCCCCCTATTACTCTTCTGTTTCAGAATGTTCTGGTTTTTCTCATTATCATTCTGCATAAACTTTCAAATTATTTTATCAAGTTTCCCAAATAATCCTTTTGGGATTTAGAGACTGCATTGAATTTACGGATTTAGGGAAAACTGACATCTTCTATATCATCCAATCTTCTTATCTAAGAACAAGTTATTACCATTTGATTATTCAAGTCTTTTTAAATTAATTAATTAATTTTTTTTTTTTTTGAGACAGAGTCTCACTCTGTCGCCCAGGCTGGAGTGCAGTGGCGTGATCTCAGCTCACTGCAAGCTCGCCTCCCGGGTTCAAGAGATTCTCCTGCCTCAGCCTCCCGAGTAGCTGGGACTACAGGTGCCCGCCACCACGTCCGGCTAATTTTTTGTATTTTGTTTAGTAGAGATGGGGTTTCACTGTGTTAGCCGGGATGGTCTTGATCTCCTGACCTTGTGATCTGCCCGCCTCAGCCTCCCAAAGTGCTGGGATTACAAGTGTGAGCCACCACGCCCGGCCCTTTTTTTTTTTTTTTTTAAGACAGGTTCTTGCTCTGTTGCCCAAGCTGGAGGGCAGTGGTGCAATCATAGCTCTCTGCAGTGTTGATTTCCTTGGGCTTAAGTGATCCTTACACCTCAGCCTCCTGAGTAGCTGGGACTACAGGCACATGCCACTATGCCTAGCCTTTTTTTTTTCTTTTAACTTTTTGTAGAGACAAGGTCTTGCTATGTTGCCCAGGCTGATCTGGAACTCCTGGGCTCAAGTCATCCTCCTGCCTGGGCCTCCCAAAGTGCTGGGATTACAGGTGTGAGCCACTGTGCTTGACCCCACAAGCCTTCCTTCTCCCTCGCTCCACGATAGCTGTTTGTCCTGAAGGTTTTCCTTTTGTATTTTTGTATTTATTTTTACTTTTATTTTTTTGAGATGGAGTCTCGCTCTGGCCCCCAGGCTGGAGTGCAGTAGCACAATCTCTGCTCACTGCAACCTCCACCTCCTGGGTTCAAGTGATTTGCCTGCCTCAGACTCCAGAGTAGCTTGGACTACAGGTACTCACCACTATGCCTGGCTAATTTTTGTATTTTTAGTGGAGACAGAGTTTCACCATGTTGGCCAGGCTGCTCTCGAACTCCTGACCTCAGGTGATCCATGCGCCTCAGCCTCCCAAAGTGGTGGGATTACTGGTGTGAGCCACCACGGCCAGCCAAGGTCTTCCCTTTTTAAGTGACTCAAAATACTTTAGTGTTATCAACTGATCCAATATAGGTTCTATAATTTCTTGTTAATGTTACTCCTATTTATTTTAAGGTTTTTATTGCTCTTATGAATGGGATATTTCCTTCCATTAATTTTCCTTTCCTTTTTTTTTTTAATTTTTTTGGAGACAGAGTTTTGCTCTGTTGCCCAGGCTGGAATGCAGCTACATGGTCTTGGCTCACTGTAACCTCCGTCTCCCAGATGCAAGTGATTCTCCTGCTTCAGCCTCCTCAATAGCTGGGACCTACAGGCACACACTACCATGCCCGGCTAATTTTTTTCATTTTCACTAGAGAGGATTTTGCCATGTTGTCCAGGCTGGTCTCGAACTCCCAAGTTCAGGCAATCCACCCACCTCGGCCTCCCAAAGTGCTAGGATTACAAGCGTGAGCCACTGCACCCAGCCCCTTCCATTAATTAACTTTTTTTTTTTTTTTTTGAGACAGAGTCTTGCTCTGTCACCCAGGCTGGAGTGCAGTGGTGCGATCTCGGCTCACTGCAGCCTCTGCCTCCCGGGTTCAAGCAATTCTCCTGCCTTAGCCTTCTGAGTAGCTGGGATTACAGGTGCCCGCCACCACACCCAGCTAATTTTGTATTTTTAGTAGAGACAGGGTTTCACCATATTGGCCAGGCTGGTCTCGAACTTCTGATATCAAGTGATCTGCCCGCCTCGGCCTCCCAAAGTGCTGGGATTACAGGCATGAGCCACCTCACCCGGTCTAATTTTCTGGCTAGTTAAAAAGAGCTACTGCCTGTTTATATCTTGGGTTTTGTTTTTTGTTTTGTTTTGTTTTTTTCAAGTTGGGGTCTCACTCTGTTGCCCAGGCTGGAATGCAGTGAAGGGATCATAGCTCACTGCAGCTTCCAATTCCTGGGCTGAAGCGATCCACCCATCTCAGCCTCCTGAGTAGCTCCAGCTACAGGTGCTCACCACTACATCCAGCTAATTTTTATTAATTTTTTTTGTAGAGATGAAGTCTAGCTTTGTTGCCCAGGCTTGTCTCAAACTCCTGGCCTCAAGCGATCTTCTAACCTTGGCTTCCCAAAGTGCTGGGACTACAGGCATGAGCCACTGTGCCTGGCCTGTATTTCATCCCTAGCTCTTTTCTCTAGCCCTGCCCTCCTTGCAGAGGTCAGCTGTGTTGGGCTTGAGTGCCATTTCTATGTCAATTACTCCTAATGTCCATAGTCTTGTCCTGTCTCCTGAGCTATCATCATTTTACTTTTAACTTGTTTCCTAAATTTCAAATACTCACATACCACTGTCATAATTTTTCATATTCTGTACATTGCCTGTACTATTATTTATTGGCTTAACATTTTTTCTTTAAACCAGCTCATTAAAAATAACTCTAGACTTATCTTGTGTAATCACATTCATGAAATAACAAGTAGCCTTATGTATTGGTTATAACTTTTCTAATATAAGTGAAAATAAATACAAAACTATTACAGTTTAAAAAAAAATGCTCTTCTTCATAAAGTGTAAAAACATCTCTTGTGGCATCTACCACATTTTTTTTTTTTTGAGACGGGGTCTCACTCTGTTGCCCAGGCTAGAATGCAGTGAAGCAACCATGGCTCACTGCAGCCTTGACCTCCTGAGCTCAAGCGATCCTCCCACCTCAACCTCCTGAGTAACTGGGATTACAAACGTGTGCCACCAAGCCCAACTATTTTTTTTTATTATTGTTTGTAGAGATGGGGGGTTCTATGTTGCCCAGGCTGGTCTTGAACTCCTGGCCTCAAGTGATCCTCCTGCCTCGGGCCTCCCGAAGTGCTGGGATTACAGGCGTGAGCCACCACGTCTGGCTATCCACCACATTTTCCGAAACTCTGTTCTATTCAGTAACAAACCATTCAACCTAAATATTCATCATTGCTTCAAATTCAATGTTCTTCCTCCAAAGTCACTCTCAAGCCCACCTGCCTCACTCTGTCAGTTCCCCGATCACCAGACCTCCAAACTTGGGCTTCTTGTATGACCAATTCTGCTCCTTCACTCCCATCCTAAGGTTTCCTTTCAGTGGCCTCTTGCAACTGTCCCTAGCCCTCCATCCTCCCAGGCATCCTCCTTATCCTCCTCCCTGGTGACAGATCACCTCCCAGCAGGATTCCCCTGGCTTCCCTAGTGAGGACCTGAGTCTTGCCTTGTGGCCCGCTTCACCATGGCTGGACCCCCTTCTTTTTTGAGATGGAGTTTCGCTCTTGTTGCCCAGGCTGGAGTGCAATGGCGTGATCTCGGCTCACTGCTGCAACCTCTGCCTCCCGGGTTCTGGCGATTCTCCTGCCTCAGCTTCCTGAGTAGCTGGGATTACAGGCATGCGCCACCATGCCCAGCTAATTTTTTTGTATTTTTTAGTAGAGACGGGGTTTCTCCATGTTGGTCAGGCTGGTCTCGAACTCCCAACCTCAGGTGATCTGTCCCATGGCTGGACCTCTTAATGCCATCACCATCATTTAAACATACTTCCTACCTCCCCCTGCCCCCATCTCCTACTGTTCCATAGACAATCAAAACCATGACCGTGACCTTGGGAGTTTGCCTCTTCCCCTCCCCAAACTTCACCTGTCCTTTTTTTTTTTTTTTTTTTTGAGACAGGATCGCATTCTGTTGCCCAAGCTGGAGTGCAGTGGCATGATCTCTGCTCACTGCAGCCTCTGCCTTCTAGGTTCCAGCCATCCTCCCACCTCAGCTTCCTGAGTATCTGGGACTAAAGGCGCATGCCTTCACACCTGGCTAATTTTTGTATTTTTTGTAGAGATGGGGTTTCTCTATGTTGCCCAGACTAGCTTACCTGTCCTTTTAGGGTAACTTTGCAGGAAGCCTTCTTAGATGATTCCAGCCCTGTACCCCCTCTTTTTTCTTTTCTTTCATTGTTGTTGTTGAGACAGAGTCTCGCTCTGTCGCCCAGGCTGAAGTGCAGTGGCATGATCTCAGCTCACTGCAACCTCCACTTCCTGAGTTCAAGTGATTCTCCTGCCTCAGCCTCCCAAGTAGCTGGGATATATCGCCACCACACCCGGCTAATTTTTGTATTTTTTTTTTTAGTAGAGATAAGGTTTTACCATGTTGGTCAGGCTGGTCTTGAACTCCTAACCTCAGGTGATCTGCCCACCTCGACCTCCCAAAGTGCTGGAATTACAGGTGTGAGCCACCACGCTTGGCCCTGTCCCCCCTCTCTTACTCCTTCAACAGTTTATTGTCATCTCAGTGGAGGTCATCTGAGTAGATCACAAGGTACTTGAAGGCAAGCTTCATGCCCAAATATTCCTTCTGCATCAGTGCAATGCCAAGAACACATTCTGTGCACAAAAAAAATGCTAATGGAGTCATGGCCCAGTGCATTCCCAAAGACTTACCTGGAACTCCACCTCGCCCTGTGACTTGGCCACAGCTACTCACCCCTCCCCGCACAACCTTCAACTCCCACCAACCAGGGGCAAGATGGGAAAAGGAGCAAGTGTAAGAATAGCAGAGCACGCTGTGAAATAGAAGAAGCCAGCTTTAGGATCATGAGTCTTTTAATATATTATTCTGAAAAGAAAGGAATTAAAAAAAAGTTCCTGACATCTCTTCTGTTTTGTTTTTTAATTTAAATAAATACCCTGCCCACCCCCTCCACCCGCTAAAATTTCCCTCCTCCTCCCCCATCATCCTGCCCATCCCTGGCACTAGACCCTCACCCCAGAACTAAATAAGATGCCTGATTCAGAGCAGGCCACACTGACTACCAAATTCTGGCAAATTGTAAATACTGTGAATGGTCTTGGGCCCTCTGCTTCCCTGGGCCCCTTCTTCTCTCGGTCCACTCCCCATGCAGACCCCTCCTTGGCTGTGGGGTGGCATGGACGGCGGGGCCTTTAGGCATTGGCATTGGGGAGAGTGCAAACTTGGCCCTGATTCTCCACTCCTAGCTCAGGAGTAGGTCAGAAAGGCCCAGAATCGCCCTCCAGACTGAAATAAATAACAAAATAAATACCCCCTCCCCAACTCCCGGCTCTCTAGAAAAGAGCTCCTCCATCTGGCACTCTAGTCCCTCTCTTTCAGCTCACCCACCCCCCTCTTCCTCCCATCCCTTCCTTCCTCCCTTCCCCATGCTGACCTCTGGCTTGGTTCAGGAGGAGGGGTGTACAACGCCCAGCGGGAAGAACAGCCAGAGCGACTCTCGCCCCAACCTCAAGCAAACCCTCCTCCTCCTCCGTTTCTCAGCAGCGCTGTTGGCATCCTAAGCCCAATGGGCCTGGCAGACTCTCCCCATCCCGGGGGGTAGGTTGGAGGGCAGGGGTTCTCCCTGGCACTCTCCCACGTAGTCTTTCAATGTCTCTCAAGGCGAGGCTCCCGGGAGAGCCAGGCGTGCCCGCCCCCTCCCCAGTCCAGGCGCCCCGGTACCCCCCCGCCCGCCTCAGATGGCGGTGTCCCAGAGGACCGTGTGCTGCCGGCGGCAGGGCGGGGTGCCGGACTTGCGGGGCTCGGGTCCCCGCCGCCAGCTGGGGAGGATGGGCATGCTCTCCTGCTTGCAGAGGCCTCGGTCCGGGCGGTGGCGCGCCTTGATCTCCTTGCACACGCAGCGCTTGCGCTCGATCACCTCCAGCAGCTTCCCGTCACGCTCGCGGGCCGGCTGGGGCGGCAGGGGCAGAGGCAGCGGCAGCGCGGGGTGGGGCTGTGCCGCGGGCGGGGGAGAAAGGAAAACGCGGGTAAGGTCGGGGACCTCAGCATGACCGGACGGGTCCGCACTGCCGAGACCCACGTCTCCCCTCAGAAGCAAGTCCTTGCTTGCCCCCCAACGGCCTCTGCTGGCTCCCTCTGGCTGTGGGGCCCATGGGGGCCAAAATCCAACTTGCGCAGCTTTGGCCCAGCCACTCCCTAGTCTTCCTAGACAGGTGCATTTTTTAAGTTGGTCCCCCTAGAAGGGATCTCCCCTTTTTTTTCTTTCTTTTGTCTTTTTGAGACAGGGTCTGGCTCTGTCGCCCAGGCCAGAGTGCAGTGGTGCAATCATAGCTCACTGCAGCCTCGACCTCCTGGGCTCAAGCAATCCTCCAGTGTCAGCCTCCCTCCCAAGTAGCTGGGACTACAGGCATTTACCACTACACCAGCTAATTGTTAAAAAATTAAATTAAAGTTTATTTTTGTATTTATGGGATCTTGCTTTGTTGCCAAGCCTGGTCTTGAACTCCTGGCCTCAAGGGATCCTCTCATCTTGGCCTCCCAAAGCACTGGGATCACAGGTATCAACTACCGTGTCCAGCTGGGGCAAGGGTAGACAAGGTCCCTCCCTTCCTCCTTTCCTCCCTTTCTTTCTTTCTCTTTTCTTTCTTGCTTTCTTTTCTTTCTTGCTTGCTTTCTTTCTCTCTTTCTCTCCTTCTCTCTTTCTTCCTTCTTTCTCTCACTCTCTCTCTTTTTCTTTCTTTTGACAGGTTCTCCCTCTGCCACCCAGGCTGGAGTGCAGTGGAACGACCATGGCTCACTGCAACCTCCACCTCCCAGGCTCAAGTGATTCTCCTGCCTCAGCCTTCAGAGTTGCTGGAACCACAAGCATGCACCAGCATGTCTGGATAATTTTTAAATTTTTTGTAAAGACAGGGTCTCCCTATGTCGCCCAGGCTGGTACAGAATTCCTAGGCTCAACCACTTCTCTTGGCTCGGCCTCCCAAAGTACTAGGATTATAGGCGTAAGCTACCATGCTTGACCTCTTTATTTTTATTTCTTTTGAGACACGGTCTTGCCCTTACACCCAGGATAGAGTGCTGTGGTGGGATCGTAGTTCATTGCAACCTCAGCCTCCTGGGTTCAAGCGATCCTCCCGTCTCTGCCTCCCACAGTTCTGGGATTGCAGGCACAAGACATAGTGCCCAGTGGGGAGGTCTTTTTCCTAAATCGCACAAAGGTGTGCTGTTGGCTAGTGGTGGCCCTGACTGATCTCCAAGCTGGGCCCTACCTTGCTGCCCATCTTAAGCAAACCCTCAAACCCTTCCCAGATCCTCTCCCAACCCCCTCACTCTCATTCCTGGGTTCCCGCTGTCTGCGCTGGCTCAGGCCCCAGTCTGCCTGGCCCCTTTTTTTTTTTTTGAGACAGAGTCTAACTCTGTCGCCCAGGCTGGAGTGCAGTGGCATGATCTTGGCTCACTGCAGCCTCCGTCTCCCGGGTTCAAGCAATTCTCCTGCCTCAGCCTCCCGAGTAGCTGGGATTACGGGTGCCTGCCCCAATGTCCAGCTAATTTCTGTGGGGTTTTTGTTTTTTGTTTTTTGGTTTTTTTTGAGACAGAGTCTCTCTCTGTTGCCCAGGCCACTGGAGTGCAGTGGTGCGATCTTGGCTTACTGCAACCTCCGTCTCCCGGGTTCAGGCGATTCTTATGCCTCTGCCTCCCGAGTAGCTGGGACTACAGGCGTGCGCTACCACGCCCGGCTAATTTTTGTATTTTTAGTACAGATGGGATTTCACTATGTTGGTCAGGCTAGTCTTGAACTCCTGACCTTGTGATCCACTCGCCTCAGCCTCCCAAACTGCTGGGATTACAGGCATGAGCCACCGCACCTGGCCCTAATTTTTGTATTTCTAGTAGAGACAGGGTTTCACCACATTGGCCAGGCTGGTCTCAAACTCCTGACCTCAAGTGATCTGCCCGCCTCGGCCTCCCAAAGTGCTGTGATTACAGGCGTAAGCCACCGCACCCTGCCTGGCCCCTTTCTTTCTTTTTTTTTTTTTCTTCTAAGACAGGGTCTCACTCTGTGGCTCAGACTGGAACGCAGTAGCGTGATCATGGCTCAATGCAACCTCCACCTCCCAGGGTAAAGCCATCTTCCTACCTCAACCTCCAGAGTAGCTGGGAATTCAGGCTTGCGACGGCACACCTGACTACATTTTGCATTTTTTATAGAGATGGGATCTCACTATGTGGTCCAGGCTGGTCTCGACCTCCTGGGCTCAAGCAATCTACCTGCCTTGGCTTCTGAAAGCATTGGGATTACAGGTGTGAGCCACTGCAACTAGCCTTCTTTTAAAAAAAAGAAAAAATAGAGACAGGGTCTCACTATGTTGCTCAAGCTAATGAACTTCTGGCCTCAAGTGACCCTCCCACCTTGGCCTCCCAAAGTGCTGGGATTACAGGCATGAGCCACTGTGCCCAGCCCTGGCCCCTTTATTGCTTTTCTTTGCATATTCAAGCCTTCTCCACCTGCTCCTTCACAAATAAAAGAAAAACCAAGCCTCACCTGGCTCAGGGCATCCCTGGGCTGGCTGCAGGGCCGGGGTGTGTGGAGCACGACCTGCCGGACTCCGGAGGTGGAGGCGGAGCGCCCCAGGCGGTAGCCTCCCGTGAAGTCTGAGGTGGAAGAAGGAGGAGTGAGGAGTGCAGGGGCCTCAGGTACCCCTCCCCTAGTTCCCAGTCCCCTGCCCTTGAATGGTCCAGGCTGCCCCTGCCTCATCAGAAGGGAAAAAGGGGTGGAGATGTGGTATGAGGATTTAGGGCCCTGGGCACAGACGTGAACAGGTGAGAGGAAGTCAGGACAGGTGCAGCTAGACCCCGGGAGATCCCCCAGCCAGCCCCGCTGTGCACAGGTGTGTGCAGGCCGCGTCACCTCCATTGCGGTGGCAGGCGGGGAAGGTCTGGCAGGGAATGGGCAGCGCGGTGCGGCTCCCTCCTCGGTCTCCATGGTGGATCCTGGCCAGCAGTCCCTCTGCCCCCTGGCTTCTCACTGGGATCCCCGATGTCCCAGGGCCCCTGTCCTCACGCTCCACCTTGCCTGGACCCTCGGCACTGCCATTCCAGGCCCGGGCACCGTCCTCGACCTCTGCTGGGATGACAAGGAGAGCTGTGTGCCTGCATGTTGGAGGCGTCATTCTGTCCCTCTGGCCACACATGCTGCAGTATGGGTGGACCAGGAGACACAATTGCCCCTTTTGCAAGTAACGGCTGGGATGGGGCTCCTTCACACTCCCCCAACATACATACAAACACACACACACCCCTTCCTTTCCACCCATTGGTACCATCTCTTGGGGCTGAGAATCATGTCTATGTGCTGCATCCAAACCCTTTTCCCTGGTCAGAGGGGCCTCCCCAACCGCAGCTTTAGCTTCCAAGCCCCTCCATCTCCAGATAGGGCGAGAATGACCATCCCCCTGGGATCAAGACCTGTAGGGGGAGAATCCCAATTCCTGAGCCCAGAAGGGGGAGCGCTGGGGGGAAGGGCTGCCTGTGAACTAAGCTCATCTCTGAGAGGAGGCCTGGCAGAGCATTGCGTTGCCAGGCAACGGTAGGGGCCTCCCTCTCCTCTCCCTCCTGTCTGGATGGGTTGCCATGGTAACAGCTGGGAGGCAGCTGTGTTTAGTTCCTGGTGCGCACACTCACAAGCACACACCCCTGCAGCCCCGGGAAGGGAGGGGCAGGGAGCAGAGCAGGACAGGGCCAGATTTGACCCCCTTCGCCTCCCAGACCTTCCTGCCCCTCCAGCGCACACTGGGGGACCCCGGTCTTTCTGTCTATCGCCCACCCCCACCTCTCTGGTCTCCTAGAAAACATCCCAGACTCAAGGCTGTGACTTCCAAATAACCCCTCCAACACCTCCCCCAAACCATCGCAGGCATCCCCAGCTGCCCCCCACCCCTGATGCCAGCCCCCACTCCCCACCCCTCACTCACTGTCCAACTCCTTTGCTTTTCTCCCTCCATAGAGGACCTTCCTCTGCAGGGCCCAGCCTGCCCCAAATGTCGCGGCGCCCACCTCCTCTTCTTCCTCCTCTGGTGTCCCTGCGCTGGCGATGACGTGGGCACAGGAGATGCTGGCAAAAGCACCCCCATCGGTCCCTTGCTCCTGCAGCTGGATCTTGACCATGGGGGATGGGGCCCCCACACCACAGCCCTTATTCAGCACCCCCCCAGCCTTGAGGCTCTCATAGGCAGGGGGTCTCTTGAGCCCAGCTGCTGTGGCTGGGTAGGTCCACAGCGGGGTCAGGGGGCCTACAGTTGGGTCCGGAAGGCTGTGGGGGGAGGCCAGGCAGCCGCGGTGGTGGAGGACCCCAGCTGCTGCGCCCATGGCCCCACCGTGGGGGCTGGTCTTCCCTGGCACAGGGGGCCTTGAGCTGGTACACAGCATCCCATGGAGGACCGAGATCTCCTTCTCCGTCTTTGGCTCCCCAGCACCCAGGGGTGGACCAGCTGGCAGGACAGAGTGCGTGGTCACCTTGACCGCCGAGTACACCATGGTGTAAGACACGGCCTTGTCCTTGGGGGGGCCGGGGAGCAAGGCGGCCGGGGCAGGGGGGGCTGCCGGCGCCCCCGCCGCCTTAGGGCAGATCATGCTGTGGGAGTTGGGGAGCTCCCGCTCCCCCCGGGGCTGGCCAGAGCCCTGGGGTGGCAACGGTGTCGAGTGGCTCCGGGCCCGGCCCGATGGTCCCAGCAGCAGCAGGTTGGCAGCAGGAGGTGGAGGCGGTGGGGGAGGCGTCTCCCGCTCCCGTGCAGGCACTTGGGGAGCTGGGGTGGAGCCGGCTGGCTCCTTGGAGTGGCAGAGGACAGGTAGCCTTGAGACCCCATCGCCAGGGGTTCGGGAAGCAGACTTGGCTTGGGGGAAGGCCAGGAGTGGAGGCCGGTGCTGAAGGAGGTTGGGGAAGGGCGGGGGGATTTCACAAGGAGTGGTCTTGGTGGGCGTCCCGTCCCTCCGGCTCGGGAGGGCTGAAGCTGGGCGGCGGTGGGCATGGGGCGGAAGGGCGTGAGGCTGTTGTGGCGGGGATGTTGCCGTCAATGGTGGAGGGCCATTGGCCCGGCCTTCCCCAGCCTCTTCCGGCAGCGGGTACTTCATCTCTTCATAGATGGCCTCACTCTCTTCAGAGTCCGAGTCGGCGCCCGCTGGAGGGGTCGGGCCCCCACCCCCAAGAGGGGGCCCAGCCAGGCCTCCTCCACTTCGTCCTCCTCCCCTAAAGACGTCCCCCACCATCTCAATGTACACAGGCTCTTCCTGGGCACCCACATCAGGGTCCCCAGCTACTCGGGACCCCCTAGTGAGGCGCTGAAGAGGCAGGTTCCCCCCTCGAGGAGAGGGGCCTGGGGGGCAGGACTCATCGAAGGAGACAGAGAGCTGGGTGTTAGGGCTTCGCCTGGGCTTCTGCGGAGGAACCTTCCGGCTGGACTCTCGGCCCTCTGGGGTTGGCTTCTGTGAGCCTGGACAGGACAAGAAAGAGAAAAATAAACCAGGCTTTTAATGAGGGGAGCAAGTGGGAGGAGCCCATTCTGATCCCTTGACCCTTCTGCAAGGACATATCTGCCTCTTCCTTTTCCCCACATTCCTCAACTTACAGCCCCAGGAGGTTTCTTCATTTCTTTTTTATTTTTTAATAGAGATGGGTCTTGCCATGTTGCCCAGACTGGTCCCAAATTCCTGGGCTCAAGGGATCCTCCTGCCTCGGCCTCCTAAAGTGCTAGGATTCCAGGCATCAGCCACCATGCCCAGCTGTAGGTTCCTTTTCTACTAGTCAGCCCTTGGTCTTTTTAAAACGTCAATTAATTGGCCAAGCACAGTGGCTCACGCCTGTAATCCCAGCACTCTGGGAGGCCGAGGTGGGTGGATCACCTGAGGCCAGCAAGCCTGGCCTTGTCAGCCTGGCCAACAAGACGAAACCCTGTCTCTACTAAAAATACAAAAAATTAGCCGGGCGTGGTGACGGACGCCTGTAATCCCAGCTACCTGGGAGGCTGAGGCAGGAGAACTGCTTGAACCTGGGAGGCGGAGGATGCAGTGAGCTGAGATCGCACCACTGCACTCCTGCCTGGGCAACAGAGCGAGACTCTGTCTCAAAAAAAAAAAAGTGCTGAGATTACGGGCGTGAGCCACGGGGCTTGTCCCACAGCCCTCAGTCTTTCTAACGTATTCTCCAGAATTCGCAGCTCCTACCTTCATTGTCCCTCTGAGGCCACCACCCCTTTCTCAAGAACTTTTCAGGGAGTGTCCCCTGCCCTTGAATGGTTCATCTCAGGCCCATCCAAAAGGACCCCCCCAATTCCTTTTGAGAATGGAATCTTCCACTTCCTTGGTTCTTCCCTGAATGAACCCTCCCGGCAAGCCTCCCCGGGCGTGGAATAGATCCTCCCAGCTCCCAGCTCCACCCCAGGGAGAGATAGGGGGTATCTCACCTGCTTTCTTGCTGGGGGGCGTCTCTGCCCCAGACCCAGGCCCCACCATGCTGAGCTTGGTGCTGGGGTGTCTCCGGGGCTTGGCAGGGGGTCTTCGGGTGCTGCTGTCCTCTGTGAGGCCCCCACTGGCCCCGCCAGGGCCACCCCCGACACTGTCCATGCTGCCCACCGAGTGGCAGGAGAGGGAGCGTGGGGCCATGGCGCTGCGGCAGGGGTGCGGGGTGTGCTCCTGGGAGGCGGGCATCGTCATGAAACCCATCCTGAGGGAGCGCCGCAGCGAGGCGATGTCCCGCACGCGGACCCCAGGCCCCTGGCCGGCCGCGGGCCCAGCCGAGCCAGCGGGGGCCACCTCCTTACTGGAGCTGGGGAGAGAAGGCCACGATGGAGTGGAGGAAGGGCCTCGGACCTGGGCATCCCCCTTCTCCACCCCAAGAGGTGTCAGCAACCCTGTGGCTTCCCAGGGAAGAGGACGGGAGCCTGGGTGGGGACAGGGTTGCCAGAAGGTCCAGGGCACCAATGAAGGGGCTTCAGGCAGAATCTTGGGCTTTAAAAACACAAGGCAGTTGGGGGCAGGGATGAGAAGAGGGGTGAGTATGCCTGCAGGGGAGCATCCCTGGGGCTGGCGGATCCCAGCCTGGGCACCTGTGTGGACAGCCTTGTGCAGAGGTAGAGATACAAACCCAGGTAACACAGATGGACACGCCTGCCCCCCACAGCTCCTTGGCCCCTCTCACTCTCACAGTGGCCCACACCTGGCCTCTGGTTACCCCTCCTGCCCAGCCACTGTGACCTCTGCCCCCACGGCACACCTCCTCTCCCAGATGCAGGATGTGCCCCTCCAGGACCAGAGCAGCCTCCCTCCCTGGCCCATCCTTCTTCCTCCCTCTCCCCTGGTGCTGTTCTCTCTCTGTCAGCCTCCCCGGCTCACCCCCATTCCATTCCACTGTCCCTGAGCTTCTGTCTGAGTGGAGGGTGGCAGAGGGTTGGGGGGGCGGCTGGCAGGGAAGAGAGGAGAGCTGTGTGGGGTGGGCACTCATTAAGGCCCTGTCTACTAGCCCTTCATTAGGGAGAGATCGCTGCAGCGATCACTCTGATTAATCTAATTAACAACAAGAATTAAACTCCACAGTTGCGAGGAAGGAAAAGGGAGGTGGCTGTGAGTCAGGCTCCAAGTGGCTGTGAAGTCAATGGGAGAGAAGAGGAGAAGGAGAGAAGGATGGGAGAGGCCAGGCCCCAGGTCCCTGGAAGGGCAAGCGGGGAGGCAGACAGGGATTGCAGGGGTCTGGAGGTCGTCCCCTGCCCTGGCTCTTTGGCAAGGCCCAGCCTGCATGTCTGCCCACCACACACACAACCCCATCACTTGACCACTCACCTCCCCCAGCAGGGAAAACTGGGAGGAGGCCAAGTGGATGTTCTCTGATGCCCCTGAAATGACCCCTTCCCTAGACCCTGGGAGAGAGGCGGGGCCTGCCCCTTCCAAGGTCAGGTGACAGGAGAGCCCGCAGCCAGCCCCAAATTTGCAGAAAGGAGAAGGGCTACAGGCCAGAGGTGAGTCAGGAAGGAGTGACTCGGGCCTCTGGGGATGGGGAACAACCAAAGGGGTGCTCCTAGGCTGTAAACCCCCCCACAGGAGAGCAGGAGTTGGGCCAGGACAGTGTGTGCAATCCTGGCCATTCCGTACTGACTCTGAGATCAGAGAGCTCACTCATGACAAGGCTGCCGGCCCCCGAGAAGGGCTGTGGCCCAGTGAGGGGGCAGGCAGAGGTGCGGAAGGGAAGGGAGCAGTCTGGGGTGCAGCCTTACCTCCTCTTGGCCTCCTCTTCCTTGTGCTGCCTCCACTCCAGCTTGGTTTTTCGGTAGAGGAGGTTCATCTCGTGGGGCAGGAGGTGGGGGCTGGGGGGCCCTGCTCAGTGCCACCAGGCCCGGGGGGCGGCCCTCCCTGGGTCCCGGATCCACTGGCGGGCGGGGTGGGTGAGAACGGAAAAAAAAGAAAGGTGGGATGGGTGGGGGCCAGGGATGAATGAAAGAGAGAAAACGGAGAAGAGACATGACTCGGGTCCTCAGAGAGGAAAACACAGACAGAAAACCCAACACAGCTTCGAGGACCCACAGACAGACAGACACAGACCCCGACAAAGGTGTTCAGAGCCCCAAATACACACTCTGGAGAGACCAGGTCAACACAGATTCCCTTCTTGTGTAAAGACATCCCGATCCACCACCCATACAGGCCCCACAAACGGACTGCAACCCCTCAGCTACACAAGTACACATTCAGACACACAAACCACGGAGCCACCGACCCACATCTACAGACAGAGGACCAGACGCAGAGATTGGCATAGGTAAACAGAAACCTAGGGATAGACAGGCACACAGACATAAACACCCACAGACACACCCACAGACCTCCAGACACACACAAATCTGCTACACAGAACTGGACACACCTACAGGCAGAGTTATGCCCAGGGCCTACTTGCGTACATTGCACCCCACTGGGAAAAGGGGAGATGGTCAGACTCTCCCCCCTATCTTGGGCTGTAGGGGGATCTCATGAGGGCAGGGTGGGGACGCTGAAGGAAGGATGGGAGACACCCTGAGTTGGGTATCTAAAATACCACCCATCCATCTATCTCCACTGCCTGCCTTCCCCCACTTCCAGTCCTTCCCCGGGCCTGGGCCTTGGTCCACCCCGATTCTGGCTCCCTGGCCCTTTAGCAATGGTTTAGTCTCTGCCTCCCTCCCTCGCTGATGGCCCCAATCACCTTCTTCTTCCTCCAGGATTTGGGAGGCCCCCTGGTTTTCCTCTTCCAGTCCCCGCCCCTCAATCCCACCCGGGGGGCTCCAGTCTGGCCCCACTGCTACCTTCTGGGCTGCGGCCTCCATACCTGCTCCGGTTTTCCTTCCCCCAAACCCACACTCTTCTTTTCGCCTTCAGCCTCACTTCTCCTCCCAGGCGCCCCTCCTTACAGCCGTCCTCCCCCTTCCCCTGTTCCAAACCTGGCCTGCTTCATCCCCCTTCTCCATCCAAGGGCCCCAGGTTCCTGGCACCCCTCCCCTTCCCCTTGTCCTGCTACCCTGGGCTTCTCCGCCTTTCGCTCCGCCAATCCTCCCTGTCCCTTGTCCCCCCACCCCAACCTTCCTGCACCAAGCCTCCCCAGGTTCTCCATCACCGTACCTGGCCTGCCGGGCGCCGGCCCCCCCATGCCGGGCTCCGCCCGGAGCAGGAGGAGGGAGGAGGAGAGACAGAGACAGACCGGGGGGAGCGAAGCTGGGCCCTGCCGCAGAGACAGCCCCGCCTCCGGGTCCGCCCCCAGACCCGCCCCCGGCCCCAAACCCACCCTTCCACACCCTCCAAGGACGGAACGGGAGCGGCCGTGCGGCGCGGGGCCGTGGGGCTGGGGCGCGGGGCGGGGGAGCCGCGGAGCCTGCGGGGGCAGATTCGGAGGAAGGTCGTGGGGCGCTGGGGGCCCGGCGCCAGCCCGTCGCGGTCTTTGGGCGTCCGCTCCTCGCCGCCCCTCGCCCCCTGCCCGGCCGGTCGGTGCTGAGTTCGGTCTCCCCGGCCCCGGCGGAGCGGCGTGCGGCGGCGCCCCCCAGCGGCAGCCTGGGGCCCACGCCCCCGCACCGTGTACCCCGTGCACCCCGTGCAACCCGTACGCCCGGCGCGCCCCGGGTCCGCACCCAGCGTCGGTCCGGGGCCGAGGCTGCGGCTGCGGGGCCCGGGGTGCAGTGAGGCGCTGGGGCCGCCAGGGGGTGCCGCTTTCCGGGCCGAGGGGCTCCGAGGGTGGGGAACGGGACGGGCGGCGGCTCAGCCCAGCAGGGGGCGTGCTCCGGCGGCCGCGCCCCCTTTCCCCACCGCCCCCAGGTGCCAGGAGAGCACCTGAGTTGGCTCGCGGGGGAATCGGCTGCCTCCCCCTGCAGCCTCCCGGGGGTGCCCGGATCTCGTTCCACCGTCTGGGCTCAAAGCTATCCGCCCCCGTGGCCCGAGTCCTCCTCTCGTGACCTTTGACTCCCCCGGCGCCGCTCGCAACGACCAGGGTCGACCTGAGTGTGGCCACCGCGGCTACCACCCTGGCACTGTCGGGGGGCCGCTACGGGACGTGACCTCGACCTCCCCTTTTCTCATTTATCTTTTCTTTTCTCATTATCTCCCCTAGAAATAACTCCCTCTGAAATCCCTTGGGCTCACAGCTCTGCAGCGGGGGTAAATCAGCTCGAGAAGACCTCGGTTGTACCTTCCACGGGCTGGAAAATGGGCACGGCAAAGATAGGCACGGCCTGATCCCTGGAGCCTGCGAATGCTACTTTCCATGGCAGCGTCTTTGCAGTCTTGCTGTGTGGCTTTAGGCAGATCGTGCAACCTCTCTGAGAGACGCTTTAGTCCGGGGATGTCCACTCTTTTAACTTCCCTGGGCCACATTGGAAGAAGAATTTGTCTTGGGCCACACATAAAATACTCTTAACACTGGCGGGGCGCGGTGGCTCACGCCTGTAAATCCCAGCACTTTGTGAGGCCGAGGCTGGTGGATCACCTGACATCAGAAGTTTGAGACCAGCCTGGCCAACGTGGCAAAACCCCGTGTCTACTAAAGATAGAAAAAATAAGCTGGGCATGGTGGCCTGCGCCTGTAATCCCAGCTACTCGGGAGGCCAAGGCAGGAGAATCGCTTGACCTGGAAGGCAGAGGTTGACGTGAGCCCAGATCGGGCCACTGCACTCCAGCCTGGGTGAGAGAGAGAGACTTTGTCTCAGAGAAAAAAAAAAAAAAAACGAAAACAAAAACAAAAACCAAAACTTAGGCGTTTTAAGAAAATTTACCAATTTGTCTTGGGCCACAAGCTGCCCGTGCGGTTGGACAAGCTGGCTTTAGTCCATTCTTTGGAAGGGGAGGGGTAGTAAAATAATACCAAAGTGCCTTGTAAATTGTAAAAGGTCCCACATATTATAGGCTATTAAGAATGCTCCCAGGGGAGGGAAATATTAAAACACTTAAAACCCATTTCACATTTATACCTTTAGTATGATTAGTTTATATGTATAGGCCGGGAGCAGTGGCTCACGTCTGTAATCCCAGCACTTTGGGAGTCTGAGGCATGCAGATCACTTGAGGTCAGGAGTTCGAGACCAGCCTGGCCAACATGATGAGACGCCCATCTCTACTAAAACTACAAAAATTAGCCAGGCGTCGTGGCGGGTGCCTACAATCCTGGCTACTCGGGAGGCTGAGGCAGGAGAATCACAACCTGGGAGGCGGAGGTTCAGTGAGCTGAGATCACGCCACTGCACTTCAGCTTGGGTGACAGAGCAAGACTTCATCTCAAATTAAAATATAAAAATTTGTATGTATTTACTCAACAAACATTTCTGCAGAGATCAACAATGTGCCAGGGCCTCTAGACTCAGATACCAGTGCCTGAGGCAGAGAAAGAGACTGCCCAAAGATAATTTTTGAATAGTTTGTAGCAAGTCAGCAAGAAGGAAGGAGGGTCTGGGGAAGGAGGGACCAAGGCTGTGTTCTGAATGTTGCTAGAGGAGAAAAGGTTCTGTAAGGGACAGAGGGATGCAGTCTAGAGGGGTAGGGAGCAGGTGGGAGGCTGCTTCCCAGACTTCACTACTTGGGAGGCCCACAGACTTGGGCTATGGCAGCCGTTGTTACTATGGCTTAAGGGAGAGAAACAGAAGTGTGGATGCTTCTAACAAAGAGATAAAGAATAAATACATAAAGAGGGTAGGTATTGCATTGTTTTATTTTTACGTACCCCTAAAGAGGGGTTAGAGGCCGGGCGTGGTGGCTTATGCCTGTAATCCCAGCACTTTGGGAGGCCGAGGCGGGCGGATCACGAGGTCAGGAGATCAAGACCATCCTGGCTAACACGGGGAAACCCCGTCTCTAGTAAAAATACAAAAAATTAGCCGGGCATGGTGGCGGGTGCCTGTAGTCCCAGCTACAGGCTGAGGCAGGAGAATGGCGTGAACCCGGGAGGTGGAGCTTGCAGTGAGCCGAGATAGAGCCACTGCACTCCAGCCTGGGCGACAGAGCGAGACTCCGTCTCAAAAAAAGAGGGGTTAGAAATTTCCCTGAGGCCAGGCACCATGGCTCACGCCTGTAATGTCAGCTCTTTGGGAGGCCCAGGTGGAAGTATCATTTGAGGCCAGGAATTCGAGACCAGCCTGGGCAACATAGTAATAACCTGTCTCTACAAAAACTAAAAAATTAGCCAGGTATGGTGGTATACACCTGTGGTCCCAGCTACTAGGGAGGCAGAAGCAGGAGGATCACTTGAGGCCGGGAGTTCAAGACCACCCTGGGCAACATTGCAAGATCCCCATCTCTACCAAAAAAAAAAATTTTTTTTTAAAGAAATTTAGCCAGGCGTAGTAGTGTGTGTCTGTGGTCCCAGCTACTTGGGAGGCTGAGGCAGGAGCATGGCTTGAGCCCAGGAGTTCCAGGCTGTGGTGAGCTATGATCGCACCACTGCACTCCATCCTGGGCAACAGAGAGAGAGAGAGACCCTGTCTCTAAAAAAAAAGGCGGGGGCAGGTTGGGGGAAAGGGGAATAGTATAACATCTAGGATCTGATTTCAAATAGTCCAGCAAACTACAGCTGGCCCCCACACAATGTCATTTCATTGAATGTCATTTCATTATAACATTGATGATTTTCTAAAAATTGATTTTGGGCTGGGACCACCATCTGTGTGGAGTTTGCATGGTCTCCCCATGTCTGCATGGCATGTTTGAAAATTTTCATAATAATCCACTTTTTTTTTTTTTTTGAGACATGGTCTCACTCTGTTGCCCAGGCTGGAGTGCAGTGGCACAATCTTGGCTCACTGCATCCTCAACCTCCTGGGCTCAAGAGATCCTCCTGCCTCACAGCCTCCTGAGTAGCTGGGACTACAGGTATACATCACCACACTCAGTTTTTTTTTTTTTTTAAGATGGAGTCTCACTCTGTCACCAGGCTGGAGTGCAGTGGCGTGATCTCGACTCACTGCAACCTCCGCCTCCCAGGTTGAAGTGATTCTCCTGCCTCAGCCTCCCGAGTAGCTGGGACTACAGGTGCCCGCCACCACACCTGGCTAATTTTTGTATTTTAAGTAGAGACTTGGTTTCACCATGTTGGCCAGGATGGTCTTAATCTCTTGACCTCGTGATCCGCCCGCCTCGGCCTCCCAAAGTGCTAATTTTTTAAATTTTTTGTAGAGATGGGGATCTCGTTATATTGCCCAGGCTGGTCACGAACTCCTGGGCTCAAGCGATCCTCCCACCTTTGAGTAGCTGGAATTATAGGTGCACATCACCATGCCCAGCTATTTTTTTTTATTTTTTGTAGAGATGGGGTCTTGCTATTATATTGTCCAAACTGGTCTCAAGCGATCCTCCTTCCTCGACCTCCCAAAGTGCGGAGATTACAGGCATGAGCCACCACCGGGATCCGGCAATAATCCACTTTTAAAAATAAGGAATGGGGGGAATAATGCAGTTGCTGTGAAAACCAAAGGAGAATGACAGTAACAGCCACAGCTGCCCCACAGCAGGGACTGGGAACTTCTGGGTGGGCATGCAGCACACCTCCCGGCCTGTGCCTTCCGTCTCTTCTGTGTGTCTCTAGGCCAATGGCAGCAATTGACTACAAGTAAGGGAATCCCTCGCCTCCCTGCAAGCTCCTCCCCTTTCTCCCCGAGCCCCGCCCCCTGCAGCCCCTCCCTGCAAGAGTGGGGCTAGGGCCCGGCAGGTGTGGGGTTAAGGGAGTCTGTTTGGGGCCCCCAGGAGCAGCAGCCTAAGCAGTGGCTGCAGCAACTGCAACAGCAGCGGCTGTGGCAGGCCTGGCCCCGGGCCAGCTGGCGGGAAGCCCCAGGAGGGAGGGAGGGAGGAGGAAGGGGAGGAAGAGGGGAAGGAGGAGGAGGAGGAGGAGAGGAGCAGTCAGCAGGCCCGAGGAGGCAGGACTTCCTGGTGTGGGGGTTGTCAACAGCCCAGAAAGAGAAAGACGGAGAGGCAGAGACCCAGGGGAGCCGAGGAGCGGAGACACGGACCCAGCAGGGTCACGCGGGAGGAGACTCGGGACACCCACTCGCTGGCTGCCACCGGGAGCAGAGGGGGGCTCGGCCGCCCCCTCCCACATCAGTCTCCAGACCCTTGGGGCTTCAGAGGCCGCTCCTAGGCTCCTCGGAGGAGGCGCGGGTTTCTTCTTTTCCGGAGAGCAAACTTTCCTCGGAGATGCCTGGCAGGATGAGCCGCGGCCCCCGGAGAGGACGGGACAGCCTCTGATCGCCGCCTGCGTGCCCCGCCACTGCCCATGGCCAGGAGGCCCCAGGGAACGGACAGCCCGACCTCTTAGGCGCCGGGACCCTCAGGCTCAGATCAGTGGCCGAGGCCCCAGAGGTAGGGTTCAGGGCTGGGTGGGGCGCTGGGGGGTAGCCGGGCAGGGCCTGCCCCAGAGATGTGGGAGCTGGGGTGAGGGTGGGGGCTCGAGGCCCAGGAGAGGTCTCTCTGAGTGGCCGGGCCAGGCTGGGGAGCTGCTTCAGCCTGGTTCTCCCAGGCCCTGGAGTCCGAGCTCTTGGGACAATACGGGCCCCCTGAGTCAGAATCCCAGGCGAGAAATGCCCAACTCTGGGACTCATCTGCCTCTTTCTACTCTGAGTGCCTTCTTGGATCCAGTCCCCTCTGCCCTGGTCTCTGTCATCTCTTGCCTGTCTCTGGGTCTCTGACGGTTTCCCCTTCCCCCACTCTGCTCCCCGGAGAGGAAGCCCCGGAGGTGGCCTGCCCACTGGTTTCACACACACACACACACACACACACACACACACACACACACACACACACACTCTCTCTCTCTCTCTCTCTCTCTCTCTCCCCCTCTTTTTCCAGTTTGCAAACTCAGCTCTGGAGTTCAGCAGCAACAGCAGCAGGAAAAACCTGCCCCTGCTCCCCCCTCCCGCCACCTCCCCTCTCCTCTTCTCCCCTCACCCAGCAGGCACCCCCGGTTCCCGCCAGGCCCTCCTGCCATGTCGGACCCAGACGTCCCCAGGGGCTCGGATGTCCCCGCCATGTGGCCCCCTTGTTCCAGGGGTGCCTGAGCCCCTTCAAGGAGCCCCAACCCACCCCCAACCTTGGCCCAGCCCTGAGCCCCAGGGACCATGAGCGGGGGCAAGAAGAAGAGTAGTTTCCAAATCACCAGCGTCACCACGGACTATGAGGGCCCTGGGAGCCCAGGGGCTTCGGATCCCCCTACCCCACAGCCCCCAACCGGGCCCCCGCCCCGCCTGCCCAATGGGGAGCCCAGCCCCGATCCGGGGGGCAAGGGCACCCCCCGGAATGGCTCCCCACCACCTGGGGCCCCTTCCTCCCGTTTCCGGGTGGTGAAGCTGCCCCACGGCCTGGGAGAGCCTTATCGCCGCGGTCGCTGGACGTGTGTGGATGTTTATGAGCGAGACCTGGAGCCCCACAGCTTCGGCGGACTCCTGGAGGGAATTCGAGGGGCCTCAGGGGGCGCCGGGGGCAGATCTTTGGATTCCAGGTTGGAGCTGGCCAGCCTCGGCCTGGGCGCCCCCACCCCACCGTCAGGCCTGTCTCAGGGCCCCACCTCCTGGCTCCGTCCACCCCCCACCTCTCCTGGACCTCAGGCCCGCTCCTTCACTGGGGGACTGGGCCAGCTGGTGGTGCCCAGCAAAGCCAAGGCAGAGAAACCCCCACTGTCGGCCTCCTCACCCCAGCAGCGCCCCCCAGAGCCTGAGACCGGTGAGAGTGCGGGCACATCCCGGGCTGCCACGCCCCTGCCCTCTCTGAGGGTGGAAGCGGAGGCTGGGGGCTCAGGGGCCAGGACCCCTCCACTGTCCCGGAGGAAAGCTGTAGACATGCGGCTGCGGATGGAGTTGGGTGCTCCAGAAGAGATGGGGCAGGTAAGACCTGGGTTCTAGGGCTGGCCCATCAGCCCTGGCCTAACCTCTATCTTGAGCCTCCTTCCTCCTCCTCCCCCCCCTCTCCTCCTCCTTCTCCATCACTTTATAAGATCAGATAGCCCTCTTCTCTGTGCCTGCCAGGTCACTCTGAAGCCCCTTCCTCCTACTTCATTTTCTGTCTCAGCCTCCTTCCTGTTTTTCTGCACCCTCTCTCTTTCTCCCTGGCCTCTGATTCTCTGTCTTGGTCTTCATGTAGCCTGTAGCATATGTGGCCCCCTCATCAGGCCTTCTTCTGTCTTGGTCTCAGCCCCTCTGCCTCTAGGTGATGAGGGTGGAGGCCCCAGCTGGATAGCTGGGTAGCTGGGTCCCTAGGGGAGGAGCTGCCAGGATTTGGGGAGGAAAAGTAAAAGGTAGGCCTTGCGCGCTGCCAGTCTCTGCACTGCAGCCCCATCCTGAATGTGGGGGTCTTTCTTTTCCCCCAGCCACCCATCTCAGTCCTGCCTCCAGCTTTGCTGTAAGCCAAGTGTCACTGAGAAATTGGGTGGGGGGAACACCTCTCAGGGACAGGGAGGGGGCCTGCTGGTTGATCCATTTCACCCCCCAGTTGTCTGGCTCACCCCCGTCCATCTGAGCCTCTCTGTGATTGATAACTCGAGGGTGACCACTGTGGAGTGGGAGAGAAGAGCCCCAGAAGGGAGTTCAGTCCCATACTCTTTCTCCTTCCTGTCTCCAAAAGAGGAACAAGCCAGGCTGTGGGGGCAGGA
Source organism: Homo sapiens (assembly GCF_000001405.40). Taxonomy (NCBI): domain Eukaryota; kingdom Metazoa; phylum Chordata; class Mammalia; order Primates; family Hominidae; genus Homo; species Homo sapiens. Next base: position 100,476,512 of record NC_000007.14, on the reverse strand, counting down.
TGCCTGGGTCCCCATGGTGGGGGTGAGCAGCCAGAGATAGAAGGTTGGATACTTCTGTCCTGTGGGAGAATATAACACCTCGGAGGTCTGGGGAAAGGCAGGGAGTGTGAGGATGCGAACTCTTTCCCCTTCCTGGCCTTGGGCACAAACCACAGTATAAAAATAACCTGGGACTGGATGTCTGGGTCCTGTCAGGACCGGTCAGGACTGGCTCCCCCCAAACCCCTCCTGGCCTCAAGCTCACATCTCTCGTGATGCCCCCTCCTACCCCCCCTCCCCCAACTCTTCTTGAACTCTTGCATTCAGCACCCACCCCAGGGGAGAAGATGCTGTTTCTCTTCCTGTCCTGTCCCCAGACTCTTCCAAAGCAAACCCCCTTGGCCTCCAGCTTCCCTGCTCTCTGTCCTTAAGCCTGGCCTGAGCTTCTCTTGGGGCCACAGACCCTGCCTCTCTCTCTCAGTGCCCCCTACTCCCCAGCCTTCCCCCACCTCCTGACGGTCTTCTGTTTGCACGCATCTGTTTTGCTATTTCCTTGCCCAAAAGTCTGTCTCCCTTCCACGTCCCCTCATGCCTCTTCTCCCTCTTAACAGAGGGGAGTGGTGGAGAAGGGCCAGGGGACACCACCTGGGCCCCCTTCCTCTGCTCTGTCCCTTAACCACCCTGGACTCTCTGTTCTTGGCTTTTCTGAGAAGCTGGGGCCTCCCGGGGCCTCACAGAGGCGTCTTGTCATGTTCCTGTCGCCCCCGCCCTTTTTGCTGCTGCCCCCAGAGCCTGTTGGGCTATGCAGGTCCACGCCCAGGCTCCGCCTCCCCCCAGCTCCACAACCAGCTCCCCCCCCAACCCTAGGGCAGAGCGCAGGAGCAGAATTCCACCTGAGTCCGAGAAGTTTGAGAGGGGAAGCGAGAGTGGGGGGTGGGTGAGGGGATGGAGGAGCAGTTTCTGAGGATCCATTCATTCTACAAATAGCTACTGAGCAAACTGACCTTCTAGCAGGGGAGAGACACAATAAATACTTTAATTTCAGATAATGTTAGGTGCTATAAAAAAATGAAATAGTTCAGTAAACCAGTGAATGATGGGGAAATGCCTCTCTAAGAGGTGACATTGGAGTCATTTTAAGAAGGCAGCCTGGGTGCAGTGGTTCACGCCTGTAATCCCAGCATTTTGGGAGGCCGAGGCGGGCAGATCACTTGAGGTCAGGAGTTCAAGACCAGCCTGGCCAACATGGTGAAACCCTGTCGTCTCTACTAAAAATAAAAAAATTAGCCAGGTGTGATGGCAGGTGCCGGTAGTCCCGGCTACTCAGGAGGCTGAGGCAGGAGAATCAGTTTAACCTGGAAGGCATAGGTTACAGTGAGCCAAGATCACGTCACTGCACTCCAGCATGGGCGACAGAGCGAGACTCCAGTAAAGGCACAGGCTGGGAGTGGTGGCTCATTCTTCCAGCACTTTGGGAGGCTGAGGCAGGAGGATCACTTGAGCCCAGGAGTTTGAGACCAGCCGGGACAACATCTTGAGACCCTGTGTTAACCAAAAATAAAAAATTAGCCAGTTATGATGGTGCATGCCTGTAGTCCCAGCTACTCGGGTGGCTGAGGCTGGAGGATCGCTTAAGCTCAGGAATTCAAGGCTGCAGTGAGCCATGATTGTGCCACTTCACTCCAGCCTGGGTGACAGAGTGAGACTGTCTCAAAAAAATAAAAATAAAACATAAAAGAAGGCAGACACGCTGCGTAGCCTCTGATTAGGGGTCCCGGCCCAGTGGGAGCTGGGGCATTGGAGTCTATTCTGGGTTCCTCCGTCAGTCACCCCCTCCTCCCACTTGGGAGACTCTCTCTAATGTCCTATACACCACTCCTCCCATTCCTTAGGTTGACCCACTTCTTGCTTCTAGTACCTGCCTAATGCCTTCTCCAGAGCTGGAGGAGGGAAGGACTGCGGGGACAGGACTCCTGGGTCCTCGAAAGAGAGTGGGGAGGTGGAGAGGGAGGAAGGCTAATAGGCAAGTTTTAAGGCAGCTGGTTCCTTTCTTTTCTCTTTTCATGTGATGGTTCCTACCTCTCCGCCTCCAGGTGCCCCCACTTGACTCTCGCCCCAGCTCCCCAGCCCTCTACTTCACCCACGATGCCAGCCTGGTTCACAAATCTCCAGACCCCTTCGGAGCAGTAGCAGCTCAGAAGTTCAGCCTGGCCCACTCCATGTTGGCCATCAGTGGTCACCTAGACAGCGACGATGATAGGTAGGTGGGCTTCGTGGGGTGGTGGGGCGTGGGGTTCAGGTTCCCCGCCCAGCACCCGGGGTAGCTGTAAGAAAGTGCCTGGTAGGCATCCTTCCCCCAGGTTGAACTTGGAGAGGACCTCTTAGAGAAACCTGGCCTGGGCATAGCCACTGCACACAGTTGATTTCGGACCCACTCCCTCTCTGTGGAGAGGGCTGGGTGGGACTCCCTGGCTCAGAACTGTCAGGTCACAGACTTTTTTAGAGTCTGAAGGGAGTCATTGTTGTCAGATTCCAGAGCTCTTGCAGATTTAGAGATCATCTGGCCAACCCAGGAACCCACTGGCAAATGCATGCTCTAGACAGAATAGCAAATCAGGCCGGGGCACAGTGGCTCCCGCCTGTACTCATAGTGCTTTGGGAGGCCCAGGCAGGAAAATTGCTTGAGGCCAGGAGTTCAAGACCAAGCCCTGGCAATGTAGCGAGACCTCATCTCTAAAAAGAAAAAGAAAGAAAGAAAAAAAAAATATATATATATATACATAAAGGAAGTAGGCTGGGCATGGTGGCTCATGCCTGTAATCCCAGCACTTTAGGAGGCTGAAGCGGGCAGATCACCTGAGGTCAGGAGTTCGAGGCCAGCCTTGCCAACACGGTGAAACCCTGTCTGTACTAAAAATACAAAAATTAGCCAGGCGTGGTGGTACGTGCCTGTAATCCCAGCTACTCAGGAGGCTGAGGCAGGAGAATCACTTGAACCCAGGAGGCAGAGGGTGCAGTGAGCCGAGATCGCACCACTGCACTCCAGCGTGGGTGACAGAGCGAGACTCCGCCTCAAAAAAAAAACAACAAAAAAAACTGAAAAAGAATGGAAATCAGTTTCCTCCCAGTTCCATCTCCCTCTTTCTCTCCTAACAAAGGACTGGGACTCCCTAACAGCACCTGTGGAGCGTGACATCCTGATAGCCCACAGGGTCTACTTTAGGATCCTAAGATTTCTAGAACCGAGAAAGCAAGTCCCTAAGATGGGCCAGCTAGGAACAGAATCAGAGCTAGGAACGGCAAAGGGGCAGGGGCAGCACTGCAGAGAGCGACTTTCTGGGGTTCTCCCTTTAGGGGACAGTGCTCTGTTGGGTGGGTTTTCAGGGCCAGGTGTCACCATTCCTAAGAAAGCCAGCAAGCTGAAAAGGGAGGCCCAGAATCGTGAGTCAGAGATAGCCAGGCTGCCTGCTTCTCCCCGGGGACTGATAGGAACCGGGCAGAAGGGCTGGGGAGTCACCGCTTTTCTTTTGGAGGGAGAAGTGGGACTTCCCGTGGGAGGTTTTCAAGGGGAGGGACTTCCTGCTTGGAAGGAAATTGGGGGTGGGGCTTCGAGAGTGGGTGAGTGGGTGCCTGAGGGACCAATTCCAGATGGGAGTCGCTCCTTCCTGTCCTCCCCAGATCAGGGGCCACTCGCTGGGATCAGGGACTCAAGCCCACCACTGATAGGGTCCTGCGGCCTCAGGGAGGATAGGGACCTGGCAAAGGAGGTGGCCAGGAGCTGGTGGGACGGAGGGCAAGAGTGCCAGTGCTGGGTGGGGCTGGGCGGGGCTGGGCAGGACTGGGTGGCTTCTGCACGCCCCATTCCCACTCTCAGGAATGTGCGAGGTGTGAGGTCGGCCAGGGCTGGGAGAGTCACCTGCCGCCATCACTGCTATTCTCAGCGTTTCCCGCCCTCTCCCTCTCCCACTTGGGAGGTTCCCCGGCAAGAGGACTCCCCGTCCCTCCCCCACCCCTGTTGAGTTCACAGCCCAGCCTCCTGCTGTCTCTGTCTTAGAGGATTCAACCTCCTGAGGCCTCCGTCTTTCCCCTGTACCCTCCCTCCCTGCCTCCCTCCATCCCACCCCCTCCCTGCACACCCCAATCTGACCGGTCCGGTTCCCAGCCTCCACTTCACCCTGCTGTGCTCCAAGGCTCTTGGGGATCTGTCCCAGCCCAGCCCCTCAAGCCCCACCCTGCCAGGCCAGCGGGTTTGGGTTGGGCCACCCCCTGCCCCCTAGGAATGGGACATGTAGGCCCCACCTCTCCTGTCTGGTGTGCACAGGGCTGGCAGGACAGGATGCCAGTGGCCTGGGACCTCTCTCTTAAGAGGGAAGGTGGGCTGAGATGTTCAGTGCCTGGATCACAGGGAGGGAGTTGGGGACGCCTGACCAGTCCCTGAATCTGGGGATGGGCGAACAGAGGGTGCAGGTGAATCTAGAATGCTCACGTGCCCCAGGGCTGGAAATCCTTGTCCCCTCCCGGCAGGCAGGAGGTAATTAAGGTGTGAAGAAGTGGATGGAAGGAATGGGGGTGGGGGCAGTGACCGGCCTGGGGGATCCAGGCATTATACAGAATGGATCCCAGGGACTTGGGAAAGAAAAGGTACATTTATTTATCCAGTGCCTCCCTTGGGTCCGGTACTGCCTTCTCCCTTCTAATCCTAAAAAGCAGTTCCATTCTCCCACTTGCCAGATGAAGTATCTGAGACTCAGAGAAGGAGGTTTTTTTTTGTTTTGTTTTTGTTTTTTTCTTTTTTAGATGGAGTCTTGCTCTGTTTCCCAAGCTGGAATGCAGTGGCACGATCTTGGCTCACTGCAACCTCTGCCTCCCAGGTTTAAGCGATTCTCCTGGCTCAGCCTCCCCAGTAGCTGGGACTACAGGTGCATGCCACCATGCCCGGCTAATTTTTGTATTTTTAGTAGAAACGGGGTTTCACCATGTTGGCCAGGCTGATCTCAAACTCCTGACCTCAGGTGATCCACCCACCTCGACCTCCCAAAGTGCTGGGATTACAAGCATGAGCCACCTCACCCGGCCAGGAGGGTTTTAGAAACTTGCCCAAGGGCCACCCAGCTAGTTTAAGTGGCTGGACTGCAGCTGGAGCCTGGGTCCAACTCCAAAGCCACACCTTCTCCACTGTCCTACTGGGATGCCTGTGTCCCAGGCAAAGAGGTGGCGGCAATGGTCTACAATATCCTTTCTCTCTAGGACAGTCAGGTACAGCTCTCCCAAGCAGGGCAGGGAGCCAGCCCCCCTTCCCCCTCCCCGACCTCCCCAGCCCCGCCCCAAAGACACCACAGATCCGGGACAGCATAGAGACAGGGCAGCTGGATGACACTTTCTTGGCCCCAGACCTAGGCCCTGGGGGATCCCCTGAACCCACTGGAGAGTGTGCAGGGCTGGCCCCTGTCCCCAAGATCCCAGGCTCCCCATTTCTCCCAGGTGTCCTGCTTTTTATCTCATCTTCATGTTGAGGCCGTTTTATTTGACCCTCAAAGAGGAAGACCAGCTTCTAGGGCTGTCCCCGCCCCAGGACCAAGAGTCCTGCAGGGCTAAGTCTCCCACTGTGCATGTCACACACTGCACAACTAACTCCAGGGGGTGCCGCTCATATTTGAAATCACAGTCAATGCTTGAAGTCACGACAGTTTTCCAGAAGATGGCATTAAGGATCTCGAAGAAGGGGGCATTTTCTAATCCATACAAACTTGCTTTTGGGCTTGTGGTGGAGGTCGATCCTGTCTCAGCAGCCCCTACTTTCCTCCCCCGGACCCTGTCAAAGAATTCTAGCACAGTGCCCACAACCCCTCGCTTTGGGGTCCTAAAGGGAAGGGCCTGCATTGCCAGAGCCCTGGTCCCTTGAAGTGTGTGTTAGAATGTTCCAATAGAGGCCTGGCACAGTGACTCACACCTGTAATCCCAGGACTGAGATGGGAGGCTGAGGTGGGTGGATCATGAGGTCAGGAGTTCAAGACCAGCCTGGCCAACATGGTGAAACCCCATTTTGCCGGAGGCTCCCCGGCAAAAATACAAAAATTAGCTGGGCATGGTGGCTCATGCCTGTAATCTCAGCTACTCTGGAGGCTGAGGCAGGAGAATCACTTGAACCCAGAGGTGGAGGTTCCAATGAGGGAAAATCCCGCCATTGCACTCCAGCCTGGGCAACAAGAGCAAAAACTCCCAGGCGCTAGACAAACAGAAGACAGTCACCTGTCGGCTAACAAACGTTTATTGCTGTATTATTCCTTTATCTCTGGTGAGAATGAACACCTTACTTGACATCTTTACCCCTGAGTCTCTGCCCAGCAGGGCCCATGTTCCTATCCCTGTGTATCCAACCCCTTTGGTCTCTGTGAGTGTTTAATGGGGTGGTGGCAGTATTGGGCTTTCTGTGGTGGCTCCATCTCCACCCAGGTGTTGCTGATTGAAATAGCTCGAAAATTACTTTGACCCTCCTGCTGGCAGACCCACCTCCACCCTTCAACTTCTCCTCTCCCACCACCCCAAGAGTCCCAGATGCCCTTCCCCCACCCACCCCATCCTGCTCGCTCAGGCCTAGTCACCTCCTTAGTTGCTCCACCTGTCAGCGCCTTCTGCACCCAGAGCTGGGATGAGAAATGGAAAATTCCCAGCTCCCTTGTGCTCCCTTCCTGGCTGCAGGACCTTATCCAGGGGTCACCTTGAATTGAGTGCTGATCCCCCTGCAGGAAAGCAAGTCTGAGCTGACAGCCAGGAGGGAGGGCTTACAAGGGAGTCCAGGGATGTGGGCTGCAGCGCCTTGAGGCCCCTGCTCCAAGGGGGGCCCAGCTGGGGGCTGGAGGGCAGGACTGGGGATCCCGCCACAGCGCCAGAGTGCAGGGGTGCAAGGGTGGGTCGGGAGCCTCAGGGCAAGAGCCTGGGGCCTGAGGGGTGGGAGAGGGAGCCTTGGAGGATGAGGTCAGCACAAGGGCCTGCGCAGGTGGGGCCTGAGAGTGGGGCTTGAGGGAGAGCCAGGTTCTGGGACCAGGAGCCCAACGTCGTGGAGCCAGCCTGGAGCCCGGCCCTGGGGGCTGTTGAGCCAGGCCTGAGTCGCCCTCTGGTGGCCACTTCCCAGACTGCAGCCAGACCCTGTCACCCCAGACTCCCAGCCCTCTTCCAAGCCCTGTTGCTCCTCTTCCCAGTGTCCCTTCTCCAAGCTCACTTCCCTTCCTCTCCTCAAACCCTCGCTTCCTCTGAGACCCCAGACCCAGGTCCCAGGCCCATAGGCGATTTTTTTTTTTTTTTTTTTAAGACAGAGTTTTGCTCTTGTTGTCCAGGCTGGAATTCAGTGGCACGATCTCGGCTCACTGCAACCTCCGCCTCCCAGGTTCAAGCGATTCTCCTGCCTCAGCCTCCAGAGTAGCTAGGATTACAGGCACCCCCCACCATGCCCAGCTAATTTTTTGTACTTTTAGTAGAGCCAGGGTTTCACCATGTTGGCCAGGCTGGTCTCAAACTTCTGACCTCAGGTGATCCACTCGCCTCAGCCTCCCAAAGTGCTGGGATTACAAGCGTGAGCCACCACACCTGGCTTTTTTTTGAGACAAGATCTCACTCTGTCGTCCAGGCTGGAGTGCAGTAGCACGATCTCGGCTCACTGCAACCTCCACCTCCTGGGTTCAAGCGATTCTCCTGCCTCAGCCTCCTGAGTAGCTGGAATTGCTGGCACCCTCCACCACGCCTGGCTAATTTTTGTATTTTCAGTAGAGATGGGGTTTCTCCATGTTGGCCAGGCTGGTCTCAAACTCCTGACCTCAAGTGATACACCCACCTTGGCCTCCCAAAGTGCTGGGATTACAGGTGTGAGCCACCACGCCTGGCCTTTACGCTGTATTCATCTTCTAGGGCTTTGGGCTCAGTTTCTGTTGCCATGGTAACCTTTCCCATTTTTGGTCTTCTCTGGAGACTCAGGGACCCTCTGGCCAGATCCCAGGGGTCACCCATGATGTGAGCCTTGTGGGGTTTTTTGGTGGGAGAGCGCTCATGATCTATGGAAGACCACGAGCACGTCAGAACGCCCCCTACCCCAGCCACCTCCACCCTCTTTCCCAAGGCCTTGAGTGACGGAGGGGACAGAATGGGGTCGGAGGTGGCGAGGGGCCTCCGAAGGCCAGCCCCTTCCTCTCCCTTCACACCCTTCACTCCCCGCTCAGACCCAGGCTTCTGCCCCACGCCCCTCCCCTGGCCCAGCCACCAGCTGACTTCCTCGGCCGGCCCCCTCCCCTCCACTCTGGGATTGGTGCCAGGGTGAGAAGGGGACACTGGCACTGACCGTGTCTGGGAATTCCCGCCCACCGAGGAGCTGAAAGGAGGGGGGGTCCCCGTGTCCCCAAGGAGCCAATAGCAGCCAGGCCTTGCCCTTGGGGGGGTGGTGTATATCTTTCAGGCCAGCACCCCCGAGGCACTGTCTCCTCTCTGCCTGCCTGGCACCAGCCAGACCCTGCTCTGCCCGGGGGGCTCTGAGCCCCCCAGGCATTCCCTTCACTGCATCCCTCTCCATTGGGGGGGTGTCTAAGGACCCTTTCCCCTTGGGCATGGCCCAGCCAGGGGTCTCTGTCAAGTCCCTGGTGTCGTCTTATGAGACCCGAGTGGTGGGGATGGCTCCGGGGCTGCCCCGAAAAAGGGGCTGTGCCTCTTCCCCTTGCTCTCCCCGGGGTGCATCCCCCATCCGAGGGACATCTGGGCCCCCGCCCCACCGGGGCCTGGGAGGCCCTGGGCAGCGGCCTTCAACCCGCAGGGGGATGGACAAAACCCTCCTCTCCCTCATTCTCTACTGTCACAGGTACAGGGGGGTGTGGGCGGGAGGCTGTGGTCCAAGAAACCAGCACCTGGGAAGGCTTCTCCTCTCCTCCCCTCACCTTCCTGTGTCTCTCCAGTGGCTCCGGAAGCCTGGTTGGCATTGACAACAAAATCGAGCAAGCCATGGTAAGAGAAGCCATCTTGGTCCCAGGAGGTCCTGGCCCCCTTAAGCCATCCCTCTGCCCCAGCCCTGTCCTCTTCCTTACCAGGGAACACCAACTCCCAGCTCCTCCGTCCCTCTCCCTGCTGGGCTGCTGGGCATCCTCTGCCCCCTCCTGCCACCACCTCCACCCTTGACTTTGCCCAGCCTCTAGTCTGGCTACTGGTCCCCATCTCTGTCTTTGAGCCCTGACTCTGCCTCTGTCCCTCGTCCTTTTCCCCTGTCCCTTCCCTGCTTTGTCCCTCATCCTCTGGACACTGGGGACTGTCTCCCACCCCAGCCCTCAAGGCACTGGGCAGGGGATGAGGCACCCACCCCGTTGACGCTGTGCCTGTCCCGGGGCCCCCAGGACTTGGTGAAGTCCCACCTCATGTTTGCGGTCCGGGAGGAGGTGGAGGTGCTGAAGGAGCAGATCCGGGAATTGGCGGAGCGGAACGCTGCGCTGGAGCAGGAGAATGGGCTGCTGCGCGCCCTGGCCAGCCCGGAGCAGCTGGCTCAGCTGCCCTCCTCGGGGGTCCCACGGCTTGGGCCCCCTGCGCCCAATGGGCCCTCCGTCTGAGCCTCCCTTCCCTTACAATGTGCCTTTGGGGCTGCCCGGCCTTGCGTCAGCCGCCTGCCCCCTCTTCCTATGCAGCTTTAATGTCCCCGTGTCCCCGGGGTGGGAGTTCAAGGCTCAGTAATGGCCTGGTCCCCCGGCCCCTGCCCCATCTCCTCATCATCCCCAGCCTTGATGGAGGAGGGAGGGCTTCAGGACGGGGCGTCAGAGGGAGCCCCCTCTGGGAGGGAACCAACCCCCACCCTCCCTCCTGGGACCCCCCAGCAGTAGACGGCTTGGGGGAGTCGGAGGCTCCCCGGCAGACACCCCACCCCCATCTTGTTCCCTTGAGGTGCCTCCTCTCCTCTGCCCAGGGGAGGGAGTGTGGACAGTATCTGGAAGTTCTGGGATTCAGGTTGTTATTAAAATAATAATAATAATTAAAAACTCTGAAGAAACTTGAATTTGGAGGTTGACATCTCGTTCGTTGCTTGTGTTCAGACTCAGGGGTCGCGCCTGCCATTTAGGGCTCCCCTGAGATCTTTTGCAGACTGGGGAGGTTTAAAGCGTGGGAGACGGAGGAATTGAGACAGAGGCTGGAGAAGGGAGCCAGCGGTTCGGGTCCTGGGAAGGGGCAAGTGAGGATTGGGGGTGGGGGGGCGTCTGCCCACGTGCTGGGCGGGGGGCTGGGAAACAATAAGGTCTTTGGTGGTTGCCCAAGATCCACCCCTGGCTTCCCAGTGTGTCCCCTCTGCGGGCTGGATCCGGGTGGCTGCTTGGGGGCGGGGCGGGGGGCCCTGAATGGGCCCCTTGTCTCGGGGCTGGGTGTGGGCCAGGCTCCCCGGGCACACGGTGCCCTTGCCAGGCCTGGCCAGCCGCCGTGGCTCCCACCCCCGGCCAGCTGAGGACGGGCCCTGTGGGTGAGCTGGCCCCTCCCTGGCAGCCTGGGCTCCGGTCCCAGGCGGAAGAGTCAGCAGCAATGGAGAAGGACCCCATCTAGTGGGGAAGAGGCGAGAGCTGCAGCTGTAGCCCCAGGAGGCCCCTAGCCCCGGGATCCCCTGGCCCCAGCAGCCTCCAAGGAGGCTGACCTGTCTTGGAGTGCCTGACTCTCTGCCTCCTTAGGTTTCCCTAGGTTCATAACCTTGGGCAACTTCTTTGGTTTTTCTTTTTTTTTTTTTCATTTCTCCTTTCTTTTTTTGAGACAGGGTATTGCTCTGATGCCCAGAGTGCAGTGGCACAATCACAGCTCCCTGCAGCCTCCACGTTCCTGGCTCAAGTGATCCTCCCGCCTTGGCCTCCCTGAACTATAGGTGTGCGCCACCACGTTCAGCTAATTTTCTTTATTTTTGTAGAGATGGGGCCTTGCTATGTTGCACAGGCTGGAGTGCAGTGGTGTGATCATAGATCACTGCAGTCTTCAACTCCTGGGCTCAAGTGATCCTCCCACTTCAGCCTCCTAAGTAGCTGGGACTACAGGCATGTGGCACTATGCCCAGCTAGAGTCGAAGTTTCGCTCTTGTCACCCAGTCTGGAATGCAGTGGTGAGATCTCAGCTTACTGCAACCTCCACCTCTCAGGTTCAAGCGATTTCCATGCCTCAGCCTCCTGAGTAGCTGGAACTACACGTGTGCACCACCACACCCAGCTAATTTTTTTTTTTTTTCGTATTTTTAGTAGAGAAGGGGTTTCACCACTTTGGTCAGGCTGGTCTCAAACTCCTGAACTCAAGTAATCTGCCTACCTCAGCCTCCCAAAGTGCTGGGATTACAGGCATGAGCCACTGCGCCTAGCCTAAATTTTTTGGTAGAGACCATCTCGCTATATGGCCCAGGCTGATCTCAAACTGCTGGCTTCAAGTAATCCTCCCACCTTGGCGTCCCAAAGTTCTGGGATTACAGGTGTGAGCTACCACACCTGGCTCTCTTAAGTTTTTTCCTTCCTTGCTTCCTTCCTTCCTTCCTTCCCTCCTTCCTTTTTTGTCTTTCTTTTTTGTTTTTTTCTTTCCTTCTTTTCTTTCTTTTGTTCTTTTCCTTCTTTCTTCTTTCTCTCTCTCTCTCTCTTTCTTTCTCTCCTCTCTGTCTCTCTCTCTTCCTTCCTCCCTCCTCTCCCTTCCTTCCTTCCTTCCTTTTTTTTTTTTTTTTTTTTGAGACAGGGTCTCATTCTGTTGCCCAGGCTGGAGTGCAGTGGCACAATCATGGCTCACTGCAGCCTCCACCTCCTGGGCGCAAGCAATCCTCCTGCCTCAGCCTCCTGAGTAGCTGGGACTGCAGGCACACACCACCACTCCCAACTGATTTAAACTCTTTTTTTGAAAAATTTAAACATAGTGAGTTGGGGGGAGTCTCACTATGTTGCCCAGGCTGGTCTTCAACTCCTGGCCTCAAGTGATCCTCCTGCCTCAGCCACCCAAAACACTGGGATTACAGGCATGAGCCACCATGCCCGGCCCCCTTCAGCTTTCCTGAATTTCAGATTCCTCTTTGATGAAGTGGCACTAACAATAATACCTATCTTGAAGGGCTGCTGTGAAGGACTGCAGGACGTGATGCAGGAACAGTGCTTATTAGTTTGTTACGTGTTAGTTTATTTTCCCTGGATCTGAGCGAAGAAGAGCCAGGGTGGAAGAGATGGACTCTGTGGGTCTGGGCAGGGCCTCGGGGGTTGGGGTCGGGGCCAGGCAGCCTCACAATGGTCTAGAACTCTCCCTCACTGTAGGTTCTCACCTACTTCGACTCCTCTCCCTGTCCCAGGGAGGGGAGAAAAGGTCTGGGATTCATTGCCAGGAGGGGCTTCCCCCAGGATTTCCTACTTCTTTCTTTACTGCTGTGCTTGAAGCTCACAGGAGACCCCTCAAGAGGTGGTCACCGGCCCACAGCCCACCCCATCCCCCACCCGCCACCCCCACCGTACCAAATGCTAGCTCTGCCCTTTCTTCTGTGTTTTTCCCATCAAGAGAGATGGTTGTGGTCATGAAGTTCTTCCGATGGGTTAGACGGGCTTGGCAAAGGATTATTTCCTGGGTGAGTTTCTGAGACCACTCTGTCCTCATGATGCGCTGGGATGAGGGCATGGGTCGCAGCAGCCCCTTACTGCGTGGGTTCCCTCCCTTCCTGGCCTGTGGCCAAACAAGATGGAGTGGGGAGGAAGGAAAGGACAGCTGGGGAGGGGCTGGAGGAGAAGGAAGAGAGGCCAGGAAACTCACTGCTCCATCCCTTTTGTGCCTTCTTTTCTGTGGATGGTGTTGTCTCTGCCCTGCCCCTCTCTCCTGTCTCTCCTCTCTGTGTCTTGGTTCTCAGGTTTTCTTCTGGAGGCAAAAAATTAAACCAACCATCTCAGGACACCCTGACTCCAAGAAACACTCATTGAAGAAGATGGAGAAGACTCTCCAGGTGGTTGAGACTTTGAGGTTGGTCGAGCTCCCAAAAGAGGCTAAGCCCAAGTTGGGTGAGTCCCCCGAGCTGGCAGATCCCTGCGTGTTGGCCAAGACTACAGAGGAGACCGAGGTGGAGCTGGGCCAACAGGGCCAATCCCTACTGCAGCTGCCGAGGACGGCCGTCAAGTCTGTCTCCACGCTCATGGTCTCTGCCCTGCAGAGCGGCTGGCAGATGTGCAGCTGGAAGGTCAGCACCATCCTAACACCCCCTCCCTCTTTCCCCAGCCCCCAGTGACTCACCCCTCCCTCTGATTACTTGTTCAACAATTGTTTCCTGGCCTGGTGCAGTGACTCACGCCTGTAATCCCAGCACTTTGGGAGGCTGAGATGGGAGGATCACTTGAGCTCAGGAATTCGAGACCAGCCTGGGCAACATAGCAAGACCCTGTCTCTTAAAATATCTTTTTCTTTTTCTTTTTCTTCCTTTCTTTTTTTTTTTTCTCCCTGAGACAGAGTCTCCCTCTGTCGCCCAGGCTGGAGTGCAGTAGCGTGATCTCGGCTCACTGCAACCTCCACCTCCCCGGTTTAAGCTATTCTCCTGGCTCAGCCTCCCGAGTAGCTGGGGACTACAGACTCCCACGCCTGGCTAATTTTTGCATTTTTAGTAGAGACAGGGTTTCACCACGAGGCCAAGCTGGTCTCGAACTCCTGGCCTCAAGTGATCCACCTGCCTCAGCCTCCCAAAGTGCTGGGATTACAGGCATGAGCCACCATGCCCGGCAAATGTTTTCTTTCTTAGCCAGGCATGGTGGCTCATGCCTATAGTCCCAGCACTTTGGGAGGCTGAGGCAGGAGGATCACTTGAGGCCAGGAGTTCAAGGCCAGCCTGGGCAACAAAGTGAGACCCCATTTCTACAAAAAAGTTAAAAATTAGCCAGGCTTAGTGGTGCCTGTATTTCCAGCTACTTGGGAGGCTGAGGCAGGAGGAACACATGAGCCCAGGAGTTCAAGGCTGTAATGAGCTATGATTGTGCCACTGCACTCCAGCCTGGGCAATAGAGCGAGACTCTGTCTCTTAAAAATATATATATATTTCTGGCCGGGCACGGTGGCTTACGCCTGTAATCCCAGCACTTTGGGAGGCCGAGGCAGGCTGATCACGAGGTCAGGAGATTGAGACCATACTGGCTAACATGGTGAAACCCCGTCTCTACTAAAAATACAAAAAATTAGCCAGGCAAGGTGGCAGGTGGCTGTAGTCCCAGCTACTCAGGAGGCTGAGGCAGGAGAATGGCATGAACCCGGGAGGCGGAGCTTGCAGTGAGCCGAGATAGCACCACTGCACTCCAGCCTGGGCGACAGAGCGAGACTCCATCTCAAAAAAAATAAATAATAAAAATAAAAAATATTTCCTATGCGTCCACCAAATGCCATGTACTAAAGATACAACAATGAACAAGACTTGCAGACTTGCAGGGCTACAGATGAGACAATAGGCATTGCTAGTTCAGTATCCACACATTGTTGAGTGTGACGTTGTCAAGCGGGCTGTAGGACCCCAGGAGAGAGGCATGTTATCCAAACCTAAGGAGTCAGGTGAGGCCTTTTTTTTTTTTTTTTTTTGAGACGGAGTCTGTCGCCCAGGTTGGAGTGCAGTGGCGGGATCTCGGTTCGCTGCAAGCTCCGCCTCCTGGGTTCACACCGTTCTCCTGCCTCAGCCTCCTGAGTAGCTCGGACTACAGGCACCCGCCACCACGCCCAGCTAAATTTTTTTTTGTATTTTTAGTAGAGGCAGGGTTTCACTGTGTTAACCAGGATGGTCTTGATCTCCTGACCTCGTGATCTGTCCGCCTCGGCCTCCCAAAGTGCTGGGATTACAGGTGTGAGCCACTGCGCCCGGCCAGGCAAGGCCTTCTTAACAGAAGTGAGGGTAAAGCTGAGGCCTGAAGGTGTTAGCTTGGCTTGAAAGGGTTGTTAGGGGAAGGTGGAGGGAGTGGGAGGGGTGTCCAGGGAGTAAGAATGGCAAATGTGTGGCCAGGCACAGTGGATCATGCCTGTAATCCCAACACTTTGGGAGGCCAAGGCAGGAGGATCATTTGAGCTCAGGAGTTCGAGACCAGCCTGGGCAACATGGTGAAACCCTCTCTCTACAAAAAATACAAAAATAAGCCAGGAATCGGTGGCTCACAGCTGTAGTCCCAGCTATTCGGGAGGCTGAAGTGGGAAGTCTGCTGGAGTCTGGGAAGCGGAGGCTGCAGTGAGCCGAGATCGTGCCACTGAGGCAGGTGGATCACCTGAAGTTAGGACCAGCCTGGCCGACATGGTGAAACCCTGTCTCTACTAAAAACAAAAACAAAAATCAGTGGGGTGTGGTGGTGCACCGCTGTAATCCCAGATACTTGGGAGGCTGAGGCAGGAGAATCGCTTGATCCTGGGAAGCAGTGGTTGCAATGACCCGAGATTCTGCCACTGCACTCCAGCCTGGGCAATACAGTGAGAGTCTGTCTCAAACAAACAGAAAAGAATAGCAGATGAGTGCAGAGCTGTCCCAAGGTGTGTGGGTTGGAGTGGAACGATCCTGAAGCCTAAAGTCAGCTGGTAGAAGGCAGGGTTGCCAAGTTGTGAGCTTTGGATTGGACCCTTAGAGCAATGGGAGCCCTTGAAGACATTTGAGCAGAGGAGTGACATGATCAAATGTTGATTTTGAAAGCTCACCTGCACTCATATTTGGGTAGGATTGTAAGCTTGTTCAGCCCAGCCTGGGCAACACAGGGAGACCCCATCTCTACAAAAGTAAAAAAATTAGCCAGGCATGATGCATGCCTGTAGTCCCAGCTACTTGGGAGGCTAAGGTGAGAGGACCACTGGGAGGTCAAGGCCACAGTGAGCTATATTTGTGCCACTGCACTCCAACCTGGGTGGCAGTGAGACACTCTCAAAAAAAAAAAAGGAAAATAGATAGCACAGCAACTCTGGAAAACAGGATGGTCATTTCTCTCTCTCTCTCTCTTTTTTTTTTTATGATGGAGTCTCACTCTCTCACATAGGCTGGAGTGCAGTGGCATGATCTTGTTCACTGCAACCTCTGCCTGCCAGGTTCAAGCAATTATCCTGCCTCAGCCTCCCAAGTAGCTGGGATTACAGGCACTCACCACCATGTCTGACTAACTTTTGTATTTTTAGTAGAGACAGAGTTTCACCATATTGGACCATGCTAGTCTCGAACTCTTGACTTCAGGCGATCCTCCCACCTCAGACTCCCAAAGTACTGGGATTACAGGCGTGAGCCACAGCGCCTGGCCAAGAGTGGTTATTTCTTATAAAACTAACCACGCAGTTATCATATGACCCAACAGTTGTACTCTTGGGCATTTATCCCAGATAAATAAAATCTTATGTTCACACAAAAATCTAAATGTGAGGCCAGGCGCAGTGGCTCACGCCTGTAATCCTAACACTTTGGGAGGCCGAGGCAGGTGGATCACAAGGTCAGGAGATCAAGACCATCCTGGCTAACACAGTGAAACCCCGTCTGTACTAAAAATACAAAAAATTAGTCGGGCGTGGTGGCGGGTGCCTGTAGTCCCAGCTACTTGGGAGGCTGAGGCAGGAGAATGGCGTGAACCTGGGAGGCGGAGCTTGCAGTGAGCTGAAATAGCGCCACTGTACTCCAGCCTGGGTGACAGAGCGAGACTCCATCTAAAAAAAAAAAAAAATCTAAATGTGGATGTTCACAGCAGCTTGATTTGTAATAGCCAAAATCAACCCATGTCCTTCAGTGGGTGAATGGTTAAACTGTGATACCTTCAAACCCCAGAATACTACTCAGCAATAAGAAGGGACAAACTGGCCAGGAGCAGCGACACACCTGTGATCCTAGCACTTTGAAACACCAGGCAGAAGCATCGCTCGAGCCCAGGGTTTCGAGGCCAGCCTAGACAACATAGTGAGACCCCGTATCTGCAAACAAACAAAACAAACACACAAATAAATAAAATTCTAAAAAGACGGAAAGGACAGGGCCGGGCGTGGTGGCTCATGCCTGTAATCCCAGCACTTTGGGAGGCCAAGGCAGGCATATCACCTGAGATCAGGAGTTCGAGACCAGCCCGGCCAACATGGTGAAACCCTGTATCTACTAAAAATACAAAAAAATTATCTGGGCATGGTGGTGGGCTACTCGGGAGGCTGAGGCAGGAGAATCGCTTGAACCTGGGAGGCGGAGGTTGCAGTGAGCTGAGATCATGCCACTGCACTCCAGCCTGGGCAACAAAAGTGAAACTCTGCCTGAAAAAATAAAGGCCGGGCACGGTGGCTCACACCTGTAATCCCAGCACTTTGGGAGGCCGAGGCAGGCGGATCTCGAGGTCAGGAGATCAAGACCATCCTGACTAACAGGATGAAAGCCCGTCTCTACTAAAAAAAAAAATACAAAAAAATTAGCCAGGCGTGGTGGCAGGCGCCTGTAGTACCAGCTACTCGGGAGGCTGAGGCAGGAGAATGGCGTGAACCCGGGAGGCGGAGCTTGCAGTGAGCCAAGATTGTGCCACTGCACTCCAGCCTGGGTGACAGAGGGAGACTTCGTCTCAAAAAAAAAAAAAAAAAAAAGGTAAAAAGGACAAACTATTGATACACACAGTAACGTGGGTGTGAATCTTGAGGGAAATTTTTTGTTTTGTTTTGAGACGGAGTTTCACTCTCATTGCCCAGGCTGGAATGAAGTGGTGCGACCTCGGCTCACTGCAACCTCCGCCTCCCAGCTTCAAGCTATTCTCCTGCCTCAGCCTCCCGATTAGATGGGACCACAGGTGCCCACCACCACACCCAGCTAATTTTTTGTATTTTTAGTAGAGATGGGGTTTCACCATGTTAGCCAGGCTGGTCTGGAACTCCTGACTTCAGGTGATCCACCCACCTTGGCCTCCCAAAGTGCTGGGATTATAGGCATGAGCCACTGGGCCCGGCCTCAAGGAAATTATACTGAGTGGAAACAACCAATCCTAAAAGGTTATATTCTGAATGATTCCGTTTATATTATCTACCACTCTTGAAATAACAAAAGTCTAGAAATGGCAAACATATTAGTGGCTCAGTGGTTTCCAGGGGCCACAGAGATAGGGGGAGAAGAGTGTAGTTATTAAAGGACAACATGAGGGACACTTGTGATGATGCAAATGTTCTGTATCTTTTTTTGTTTTGTTTTTGTTTTTTGCTTTCTCCTGTCTGATGGAAATGTTCTGTAGCTTTCTGTTTTGTTTTGTTTTTATGTTTTTGTTTTTTGTTTCTCCTGCCCGATGGAAATGTTCTGTACCTTGACTGTGGTAGTTGGATACATGAACCTGCATACTGGATAAAACTTGGTAAAATTATACACACACACACACACACACACACACACACACACACACACACACCAGTGAGTACAAGTACAACTGGGGAAATCTACATAAGATCAGTAGATTGGATCAATGTCAATATCCTGACTATGATATAATAGTATAGATTTGCAAGATTTTCCTATGAGGTGAACTCAGTAAAGGGTGCACAGGATCTCTATGATTTCTTCCAATTGCAGGTCAGTCAGTCTACAATGATCTCAAAACAAAACAAAACAAAAAAACAGTTTAAGCCGAGCGTGGCGACTCACGCCTGTAATCTCAGCATTTGGGAGGCTGAGGCAGGTGGATCACTTGAGCTCAGGAGTTCAAGACCAGCCTGGGCAAAACCCCATTTCTACAAAAAAAAAAAAAAATATATATATATATATACACACACACACACACACACACACACACACACACACACATATATATATATAAAAGTTAGCCGGGCATGGTGGTGCACGACTGTAGTCCCAGCTACTCAGGAGGCTGAGGTGGGAGCATCACTTGAACTTGGGAGGTGGAGGTTGCAGTGAGCTGAGATTATGCCACTGCACTCCAGCCTGGGTGACAGAGTGAGACCTTGTCTCAAAAAAAAAAAAAAAAAAAAGGCCAGGCATGGTGGCTCACGCCTGTAATCCCAGCACTTTGGGAGGCCGAGGCCGGCTGATCACTTGAGGTCAGGAGTTCGAGACCAGCCTGGCCAACATGGTGAAACCCCTTCTCTACTAAAACTACAAAAATTAGCTGGGCGTGATAGCGAGCACCTGTAATCCCAGCTACTCAGGAGCCTGAGGCAGAAGAATCGCTTAAACCCAGGAGGTGGAGGATGCAGTGAGCTGAGATCATGCCACTGTACTCCAGCCTGGGTGATAGAGCAAGACTCCATCTCAAAACAACAAAAAAAAGAAGAATAGAACTGATGGGCCAGGTGTGATGCCTCACGCCTGTAATCCCCAACACTTTGGGAAGCCAAGGCAGGAAGATCTCTTGAGCCCAGGAGTTCGAGACCAGCCTGGGCAACATAGCAAGACCCCGTCTCATTAAAAAAAAAAAAAAGGATAGAAATGACAAACATTTGATGCAACCTGAGAAGGCTTTCTGGAGGAGGTGATGTATGAGTTGGGCTGATGGGAGAGGTGGAATCAGGGAGCCCTTTGCTGTTTATCTATGGGTCGTTCTAGCGGCAGTTTCTCCCTAGACCCAGCTATTTACGCATGCACATCTTCTCTTTCTCTTACAGTCATCAGTGAGTTCTGCCTCAGTCAGCTCCCAAGTGAGGACGCAGTCACCTTTGAAGACTCCGGAGGCTGAGTTGCTGTGGGAGGTGTACCTGGTGCTGTGGGCCGTTCGGAAACACCTGCGCCGGCTGTACCGCAGGCAGGAGAGGCACAGACGGCACCACGTCCGATGCCATGCTGCCCCCCGACCCAACCCGGCTCAGTCCCTGAAACTGGATGCCCAAAGTCCCCTCTAGGGGGAACCCCAGACCCTTAGAGAGTCCTGACCTCACTCTTACCTGGGGTCCCATATCAGCCCCTTCATTCCATGTATTCCAGTTGTAAAACAAGTATCAAAATATTGGGAAATAAATATCAGATAGTTCTGAGTCAGTATGGAGTGTGTTTGTGGACGGCGGGAGGGGATGAGAGGAGTTTGGGTGGGTCAGGGAGAGACCCCTAAGGTGAGGGCCTAAATCCCAGTAGGGGTCACCTGTGGGTCTATTTGGGGGGAAGCATGGTCAGCACGTTTCTGCTCTGGGTCCCACCCCCTTCTTGGGGCCAAAATGCCTGTTTGTAACTCCACCTTTCCTTATAAGGACGGTAACAGCTGCCATTCACCAAGGACCCAGTCCCGTCAGCTGCTGTCCTTAGCGATCCTACAAGAAAGGTATTTAGGGTGGATTACGGGACTTGTCCAAGGCTCAGCAAAGGAGGCCTTGCTGGAAACTGCCAGCTCCCAGGGGTAGCCCACTACCCTGCCTCTCTGGTGCTGAAGGGCTTTGCCATGGGCTTGGCTGTGGAGAGTTGTGCGTCTGCAGACGCACATGGGGGCTGTGGGAGATGCATCCACGTGCTGTGAAGGAACTCCAGCCCCGCTGCCTGCTGCCCGCGCCTCACCAAGAGCTGAAACTACACCTCCAGGGGGCTCTACAGGGACCATGCTCACGGCAGGGCCGGGTGAAGGCTGCAGCCTAGGAGCTGGGTGAGGGATTTGGCCTGGCACCGTGGGAATAAGGACCTAGAGGGAGGCTGTGGCAATTTGGAAGGAGGTTGGAGGGCAACGGAGACAACAAGAAGGGAGACCCAGCAGCCTCAGGTCCCCTCTCGGAGTAGCCAAGCCACATGAAGGTGCAGAGGTGGCTCTCCAGGAAAAAGCAGGGTTGTTTCACAAAAGCAACAGCAAGGCCGGGCACGGTGACTCATGCCTATAATCCCAGCACCTTGGGAGACTGAGGCGGGAGGATTGCTTGAGCTCAGGAGTTTGAGACCAGCCTGGGCAACATAACAAGACCTTATCTCTTAAAACATCTTTTTCACATGGTGAAACCCCGTTTCTACTAAAAATACAAAAAATTAGCTGGGTGTGGTGGCATGTGTCTATAATCCCAGCTACTTGGGAGGCTGAGACAGAATAATTTGAACCCGGGAGGCAGAGGTTGCAATGAGGTGAGATTGCACCAGTGCACTCCAGCCTGGGCAACAGAGTGAGACTCTATCTCAGAAAAAAAAAAAAAAAGAAAGAGAAAAGAAAGGTCATGTAGCTTTCATTCTGCACATGTTACACAGCAGGTGTTCAACACATGAGTTAAGTGACTTCACTGGGAATCAGTCCTGAGTGAAGCCTAAAGTCAAAGCCTGCTTTCAGGTTTTCAGGCGGGGCCTCAAAACAGACTAATAAAGAGCAGCTCATGTCTGGAGTTTTCAATCACCAATTATTCATCACGTCTCTATTATCTGCCAGGAACCCTTCTGGGGGTGAATGGTGTTGGTGCAGGATCTGAGTCCCAGGAAGCCCTGAGATTTAATGGGTCCTGAGGTTTGGAGTAGTACCTAGCTGTCTAACATCCGGGATCAGCCCCTCCGAGTCTTTAGAGATGAGCTCCTCATCGCTGGGGACCTGAGGTTTCAGTGAGAGGAGGGGAGGGGAGAGTAGGACGAAGCTGGGCCTCTGAGGGTCACTGGTAAAATAGCCTTGCAAGTAGCTACAGGCCCAGGAGCTCATCCAGGCTTGACGCTGTGGGCTTGTGGAAAGGAATACTGCTCTCGTTTGTCTTTGGCTTCTTCAGCTCTTGGGAGTGGAAGGGAAATTAAGGAAGGTGGGTTCAGCCAGCAACCAAGGCACATCCCATCACTCTCTCCTTCCCCAGATCTGGAGCCCTGTCTAGGCTTGGCTGAGCAGGCACAGGCAGACTTGTGGGAGAGGAAGGAAAGGGGTGGGCAGAAGGAAGCTGCCTCTTGATGACAGTTTTTTTGTGTGTTTTTTTGAGATGGAGTCTCACTCTATCGCCAAGGCTGGAGTGCAGTGGTGTGATCTCGGCTCATTGCAACCTCCGCCCGTGGGGTTCAAGTGGTTCTCCTGCCTCAGCCTCTGGAGTAGCTGGGATTACAGGTGCTTGCCACCACACCCATGTAACCGTTTTTGTTTTTTGGTTTTTTTTTTTTTTTTTTTGAGACAGAGTCTCACTCTGTCACCCAGGCTGTAGTGCAGTGGCATGATCTCCGCTGACGGCAAGCTCCGCCTCCCGGGTTCACACCATTCTCCTGCCTCAGCCTCCTGAGTAGCTGGGATTACAGGTACATGCCACCACGCCCGGCTAATTTTTTTTCGTATTTTTAGTAGAGAACGGGGTTTCACCATGTTAGCCAGGATCGTCTTGATCTCCTGACCTCGTGATCCGCCTGCCTTGGCCTCCCAAAGTGCTGGGATTACAGGCATGAGCCACCGCGCCTGGCCACACCCGGCTAACTTTTGTATTTTTAGTAGAGACAGGGTCTCACCATGTTGTCCAGGCTGGTCTTGCACTCCTGACCTCAGATGATCCACCTGTCTCAGCTCCCCGAAGTGCTAGGATTACAGGCGTGAGCCACTGCACCCGGCCAGTGGTTTTTGTTTTTTAGAGACAGGGTCTGGCTCTGTTGCCCAGGCTGGAGGGCAGTGGCGCAATCATGGCTCACTGCAGCCTCCAACTCCTGGACTCAAGCGATCCTCCCACCACAGCCTCCCGAATAGCTGAAACTACAGGTGTATGCCACCATGCCCAGCTAATTCTTTTTTAATATTTGTGGCGATGGGTTCTAGCTATGTTGCCCAGTCTGGTCTCAAACTCCTGGCCTCAAGCAATCCTCCTACCTCGGCCTCCCAAAGTGCTGGGATTACAGGTGTGAACCACTGCACCCAGCTAGGAATGTCATTTTGGAAGTGATAAAGAATACCATGTGCAGGAAGTAGTAGGAGGAGCCCTTGATGCGGAGTCAAGAGACCTTGGTCCTAGTCTCAATATTGCTACTACTTTGCTGTACGACTCTTATTTTTATTTTTTATTTATTTTTGAGACAGAGTCTCGCTCAGTTGGCCAGACAGGAGGACAGTGGCACAATCATAGCTCACTATAGCCTCCATCTCCTGGTCAATCCTCCTGCTTCTGCCTCCCAAAGGGCTGGGATCGCAGGCACTTGGTGATTTTTGAGAGTCACTTTCCTTCACTGAGACTCAAGCTCCTTAAATAAAATGATGACTTGATGGCTGGGCACAGTGGCTCACACCTGTAATCCCAGCACTTTGGGAGGCTGAGGTGGGTGGATCACCTGACGTCAGGAGTTCGAGACCAGCCTGGCTAACATGACGAAACCCTCTACTAAAAATACAAAAATTGGCTGGGCATGGTGGCTCACGCCTGTAATCCCAGCACTTTGGGAGGCCGAGGTGGGAGGATCACGAGGTCAGGAGATCGAGACCATCCTGGCTAACACGGTGAAACCCCGTCTCTACTAAAAATACAAAAAATTAGCTGGGCGTGGTAGCCGGCACCTGTAGCCCTAGCTACTTGGAAGGCTGAGGCAGGAGAATGGTGTCAACCTGGGAGGCGGAGCTTGCAGTGAGCTGAGATCTTGCCACTGCACTCTGGTCTGGGTGACAGAGTGAGACTCCATCTCAAAAAAAGAAAAAAAAATTAGCTGGGCATGGTGGCGCGCACCTGTCATCCCAGCTACTCGGGAGGCTGAGACAGGAGAATTGCTTGAACCTGGGAGGCAGAGGTTGCAGTGAGCTGAGATCACGCCACTGAACTCCAGCCTGGGCGATAGAATCAGACTCTGTCTTCAAAAAATAAAAATAAAAATAACAAACTTCCTCAGGCTTCAGGGAGTGTTGAGTTAACCTGCAGAAACAAGGTAAGTTCCTGGGAGGTGCTAACTAGCAGTTGCCGGAGACAGAACCAGCCCAGCCTTTGGGCTCACAAAGACCAGGTTCAAATTCTGCCTTTCCTGGCTGTGTGACCTTCAGCAAGTGAATTAACCTGTCTGAATCTCTGTCTCAAAAGCAAGGCTCTGTCTCAAGAAAAAAAAAAAAGGAAAATAAATGAAATAGTTATTAGAGTGTGGTCCTGGACCAGAGCATCGCATTCCCCAGAGAGTAGTAGAAATTCAAACTCCAGGCCCTGCACCGCAGACCTACTGAATCAAAAACCCTAGGATGGGGGCCAGCAATCTGTTTGAACACGCCTGCTGAAGTTTGGGAATCACTGCCACACTGCATGGGAATGTAGACTGTTGGGATTCTGAAGCTTAGGACATATCACAATCTCCTGAGAGCTTGTTAAAAACACAGATTCCAGGCCGGGCATGGTGGCTCACACCTGTAATCCCAGCACTTTGGGAGGCTGAGGCAGGTGGATCACGAGGTCAGGAGATGGAGACCATTCTGGCTAACGCAGTGAAACCCCGTCTCTACTAAAAATACGAAAAATTAGCCAGGCGTGGCGGCACTCACCTGTAGTCCCAGCTACTTGGGAGGCTGAGGCAGGAGAATTGCTTGAACCCGGGAGGTAGAGGTTGTAGTGAGTGGAGATTGCACCACTGCACTCCAGCCCGGTGACAGGGCGAGACTCTGTCTCAAAAAAATAAAACAAAAACAAAAAATAAAATAAGAAAAAAAAAACACAGATTCCAGGCCATGAACGGTGGCTCACGCCTGTAATCTCAGCACTTTGGGAGGCCAAGGCGGGTGGATCACCTGAGGTCAGGAGTTCAAGACCAGCCTGGTCAACATGGTGAAACCCTGTCTCTACAAAAATATAAAAATTAGCTGGGCATGATGGCAGGTGCCTGTAATCTCACCTATCTGGGAGGCTGAGGCAGGAGAATCGCTTGAACCTGGGAGGCAGAGGTTGCAGTGAGCCGAGATCAAGCCACTGCACTCCAGCCTGGGCAGCAGAGCAAGACTCCGTCTGAAAAAAAAAAAAAAACCCACAGATTCCAACTGGGTGTGGTGGCTCATGCCTGTAATCTTAGCACTTTGGGAGTCCAAGGTGGCAGGATCACTTGAGCCCAGGAGTTTGAGGCCAGCCTGGGCTACATAGCCAGACCCCATCTCTACAAAACAAACAGACAAAAAAGAAAAGTAGCTGCTGGTGGTGGTGGTATGTGCCTGTGGTCCCAGCTGCTCGGGAGGCTGAGGTGGAGGATGGCTTGAGCCCAGGAGTTTGAGGCTGCAGTGAACCATGATGATGCCGCTGCACTCCAGCCTGGGCAACAGAGCGAGAGCCTGTCTCAAACCAGACAAGACAAAACAAAACAAAAACCAGATTTTTGGCCTCAAAGTCAGAAACTGAGGTGGGGTCTGGGAATCCTTTTTTTTTTTTTTTTTTTGAGATGGGGTCTCACTCTGTTGCCCAAGCTGGAGTGCAGTGGCACAATCTCGGCTCACTGCAACCTCCGCCTCCCGGGTTCAAGCGATTCTCCTGCCTCAGCCTCCAGAGTAGCTGGGATTACAGGCGTGCACCACCACGCCCGGCTAATTTTTATATTTTTAGTAGAGACGGGGTTTCACCATGTTGGCCAGGCTGGTCTCGAACTCTTGACCTCGGGTGATCTGACCACTTCGGCCTCCCAAAGTGTTGGGATTACAGGCATGAGCCACCACGCCCGCTGGAATCGATATTTTAACCGGAGATGAGTTTTATTGGGGTGGGGGGTGCCCCGGAGGCTGCACTGCGGGGAGATCACAGAAGGCACCTTGGGGTATTGGAGACTCTGGCCTGGGGGACTGAGGACTCCCCTTGGGTGGAGGAGGGGAGATGCAGCTGGAGAGAGGACACCTGGACACCTGCCCAATCCAGTGACGTCAGCCTCGTCTGCTGTCAGAAGGGGGCGGGGCCTCGGGGGCGGAGTCTCTCCCGCCTCAGCCCTCGGTCTAGTCTGGCCACCTTCCCAGTCTGGTGGGTGCAGGTGGGGAGAAGCCTGGGTCTGGGGGCAACAAGCGCGGGTAAGACCTGTAGGGGGCCAGCTAGGGACGCCAGCGGGGGCCGGGTGGTCGGGCGTGGCGGCCGCGGCGAAGCTGGGGGACTTGAACAGCCTGTCTCGTCTTGGTCCTGACCTCCAGGTGGCGCCGCGGTGCGCGGACCGGCGTTAAGGTCGCGTCGCCCTTGGCCTCTGGCTGGGGAAGCCCCTACGGCCTAATGGGGGTGGTGGAGGAACTGCTAGAGGGGCTCTAGGCCATAGCCGGGAACAGAGAGACCTCCCTATGTGAGCCCCCGGAGACCCTGACCGCGGGCTCTGCCGCTCCTCCCAGCACCCCTACGACATTAGCCGATGGGGGAGCCGACATTAGCGGATGGATTCTTAAACACTAAAGGGTCTCCAGAGCATAAAATGGGCACTGGTGACACTGCTTCCACGGGACGGTTAGTTTCTAGTGAAAACAGCTTCTCCACTGCGCATGATGGCTCATGTCTGTAATCCTGACATTTCGGGAGGCCAAGGTAGGGAGAACTGCTTGAGCCCAGGAGTTCAAGACCAGCCTGGGCAATATAGTGAGACCCCATCTGTCGCTTTTTTTTTTTTTTTTGAGACGGAGTCTTGCTCTGTCGCCCAGGATGGAATGCGGTGGCGCGATCTCGGCTCATTGCAACCTCCACCTCCCAGGTTCAAGCGATTGTCGTGCCTCAGCCTCCCGAGTAGCTGAGATTACAGGCATGTGCCACCACGCCCAGCTCATTTTTTTGTATTTTTAGTAGAGAGATGGGGTTTCACCATGTTGGCCAGGCTGGTCTGGAACTCCTGACCTTAAATAATCCACCTGCTTTGGCCTCCCAAAGTGCTGGGGTTACAGGCGTGAGCCACTGCGCCCAACCATGAGACCCTATTTCTAAAAAAAATAATTTTAGGCCGGGTGCGGTAGCTCACGCCGGTAATCCCAGCACTTTGGGAGGCGGAGGAGGGTGGATCACCTGAGATCAGGAGTTCCTGACCAACCTGGCCAACATGGTGAAACCCTGTCTCTACTAAAAATACAAAAATCAGCCGGGCATGGTAGTGGGCGCCTGTAATCGCAGCTACTAAGGAGGCTGAGGCAGGAGAATCGCTTGAAACCGGGAGGCAAAGGTTACAGTGAGCCGAGATTGCGCCACTGCACTCCGCCTGGGCAACAGAATGAGACTCCGTCTCAAAAAAAAAAAAAAAGAAAAGAAAAGAAAAGAAAAAATAAATAATAATTAAATTAACTGGCCATAGTGCCATGCACCTAAAAGTCCCAGCTACTTGGGAGGCTGAGGTGGGAGAATTGCTTGAGTCCAGGAGTTAGAGGCTGCAGTGAGCTGTGATTGCATCACTGCACTCCAGCCTGGTTAACAGAGCAAGACCTTGTCTCAAAACAAAACAAAATTCAACAAAACAAATCCTGCCTCATCCGATTCTTGGCCAGGACACACTGGTGTGGAAACCCTCCTTCCCCACCAAGTTCGCATCCTGCCCGGCCCCCCGGGTTCCACCTGCAGCCACTCTATCCCTCTAGCCCAGAACTAACCCAGCCTCCACCCCTTGTCGTCCCTTTGTTTTCAGGATAACCTGAAATCCTAGCACTTTTGGAATAAACCTGTAATCCTAGCACTTTGGGAGTCCAAGGTGGCAGGATCGCTTGAGCCCAGGAGTTTGAAGCCAGCCTGGGCTACATAGCCAGACCTCATCTCTACAAAACACTCCCTGTGCCCTGGCCTTTCCTCAGCCTGGGGGCCAGTAGAAAAAGTGTGGGGCATTTCGAGGTTTTTCTCAGGTTGAAGGACTGGCAAGGTGTGTCTGTGGTAGTAACTTGTGGGGAAGGGACTGGGCCCTGATTCTCAGGGCTCTGCTTTGAGCCTAGGCTATATTTTATTTAATTTTAATATTTATTTATTTGTTTGTTTTGTTTTGTTTTTAGTTGTTTGAGAAGGAGTTTCGCTCTTGTTGCCCAGGCTGGAGTGCAGTGGCGTGATCTCGGCTCATTGCAACCTCTGCCTCCCAGGTTCAAGCGATTCTCCTGCCTCAGCCTCCCGAGTACCTGTGATTACAGGCATCTGCCACCACACTCCGCTAATTTTTGTATTTTTAGTGGAGACGGGGTTTCACCATGTTGGCAAGGCTGGTCTCAAACTCCTGATCTCAGGTGATCTACCACCTTAGTTAGCCTCCCAAAGTGCTGGGATTACAGGCATGAGCCACCGGGCCCGGCCTTATTTATTTTATTTATTTTTATTTATTTTTTTTGAGACAGAGTCTCACTCTGTCGCCCAGGCTGGAGTGCAGTGGTGAAATCTTGACTCACTGCAACCTCTGCCTCCCAGGTTCAAGCGATTCTCCTATCTCACCCTCCTGAGTAGCTGGGACTACAGGCGCACGCCACCACACCTGGCTAATGTTTGTATTTTTAGCAGAGATGGGGTTTCACCATATTGGTTAGGCTGGTCTCGAACTCCTGACCTCAGGTGATCCATCCGCCTCTGCCTCCTAGAGTGCTGGGATTACAGGCGTGAGCCACCACGCCCGGCCATAATTTATTTTATTTTTGAGACAGTGTCTTGCATGTCACCCAGGCTGGAGTGCAGTGGTGCAATCACAGCTCCCTGCAACTTCTGCTTCCCGGGGTCAAGCGATCCTCCCATCTCAGCCTCCCAGGTAGCTGGGACTACAGGCATGTGCCATCAAGCCTGGCTAATTTTCTGTATTTTTGGAAGAGATGGGGCTGGTCTCGAACTCTTGAGCTCAAGTGATCTGCCTGCCTCAGCCTCCCAAAGTGTTGGGATTAAAGGCGTGAGCCACCGTGCCTGGCCTTAAGCTTCTTTTCTTCTTTTTTTTTTTTTTCCTTGAGACGGCATTTCACTCTTGTTGCCCAGGCTGGAGTGCAATGGTGCAATCTCGGCTCACCACAACCTCCACCTCCTGGGTTCAAGCGATTCTCCTGCCTCGGCCTCCCAAGTAGCTGGGATTACAGGCATGCGCCATCACAATGGGCTAATTTTGTATTTTTAGTAGAGATGGGGTTTCTCCATGTTGGTCAGGCTGATCTTGAACTCCCGACCTCAGGTGATGTGCCCACGTCAGCCTTCCGAAGTGCTGGGATTACAGGTGTGAGCCACCACGCCTGGCTCTTTTCTTCTTTTTTGAGACGGGGTCTCACTGTGTTGCCCAGGCTGGTCTTGAACTGCTGGCCTCAAGTGATCCTCCCAGGTCAGCCTCCCAAAGCATTGGGATAACAGGTATGAGCCACCACACCAGCCTCAGCCTAGTCTTCAGTCTCCTGAAGCTCAGTGTCAAAGGCCTCAGCTTTTTTTTTTTTTTTTTTTTGAGAGAGAGTCTTGCTCTGTTGCCAGGCTGGAGTGCAGTGGCGCGATCTCGGATCACTGCAACCTCTGCCTCCTGGATTCAAGCAATTCTCCTGCCTCAGCCTCCCGAGTAGCTGGGACTACAGGCGCCCACCACCACGCCCGGCTAATTTTTTTGTATTTTTAGTAGAGACAGGGTTTCACTGTGTTAGCCAGGATAGTCTCGATCTCCTGACCTCGTGATCCGCCCGCCTTGGCCTCCCAAAGTGCTGGAATTACAGGTGTGAGCCACCACACCCGGCTCCAGCCTCAGCTTCTTTTTTTTTTTTCCTCTCTCTTCTTTTTTTTTTTTTTTTTTTTTGGAGACGTAGTCTCGCTCTGTCGCCCAGGCTGGGGTGCAGTGGCGCGATCTTGGCTCACTGGAAGCTCTGCCTCCCGGGTTCATGCCATTCTCCTGCCTCAGCCTTCTGGGTAGCTGGGACCACAGGTGCCCGCCACCATGCCCAGCTAATTTTTTGGTATTTTTTAGTAGAGATGGGGTTTCACCGTGTTAGCCAGGATGGTCTCGATCTCCTGACCTTGTGATCCGCCCGCCTCAGCCTCCCAAAGTGCTGGGATTATAGGCGTCAGCCACCATGCCTGGCCATCCCAGCCTCAGCTTCTTGAGCATGCATGCTTCCTGGCTGCCATGGCAACTCGACACTTGCGGATCATGATGGCTGACCAACTGTGTGGCCACCCCCGGAGCTTATGAGGTCTGAGGCCACTGAATGGGCCTTGCTGGACATAGTCCCTCCCCACCAGCTCCTTCACACAACAAGACCTCCCCTAACCATGGTACCCCATCTAGTTCCCCACACAGATGGACCCCGCTCCCATACCAGGGCTTCTGACTCTCCACCTGTCTCACACCACCTGACCTCTCTCCTCCTGCCTCTGCCCTTGTTTCCCTTGGCAACTCTCTGGGCCTGTAGAGGCTCTCTCAGGGGAAGATAGTCCTTCATGACCAAATCCTTCCCTCGTGGGTCCCCAGACCCTCTGATTCCAGCCCCCCAGAGATGGGGATACTGCCAAGGTGAAGGTTTCGGGGAAGACCCTCAGGGAGGTTCAGCTGTGTTTGTTTCCTGTGACTGCTGAAATTGTACAGATTGCCACATACTACATCCTAGACCTCCTGAATTCTGATTTGGGGATCAGGAAGGAGGTTGCTGGGAAGCAGAGGTGAGTCATGACCCAGGCTGGTGGGGCCCCATCAGGGAGGTTAAGTCTCTTTTTTAAAATTTAATTTAATTTATTTATTTTTGTAGAGACAGAGTCTCTCTATGTTGCCCAGGCTGGTTTCAAACTCCTGGCCTCAAGTGATCCTTCTTCCTTGGGCTCTCTTAAGTGCTGGGATTACAGGTGTGAGCTATGGTACCCATTGCCCTCTAGAGGAAGGCAGGCCCAGCCTGCAATCCCAGCATTTTGGAAGGCCAGGTCAGAGGATTGCTTGAGCCCAGGAGTTTGAGACCAGCCCGGGTAACATGGCAAGACCCTGCCTCTACAAAAAAAAAAAAAAAAAAAAAAAAATTACCTGGGTGTGGTGGCATGTGCCTGTAGTCCCAAGCTACTCAGGAGGCTGAGGTGGGAGGATCGCTTAATCCCCAGAGGTCAAGGCTGCAGTGAGCCATGATCGTGCCACTGCACTCCAGCCTGGGTGACAGAGCGAGACCCTGTCTCCAAGAAAAAAATAAAACTTGAAAAAAAAAAAATCTAGAGGAAGGCAAAGGGTCTGGAGGGCATCGTGAGCAACACTCACCTGGTCAGTGAAGCTGAGCAAAACTGCCCTGCTCAGACCTGAACTGGCCTGAGACAGAGACAGAAAGGGGCAGGCAGTCTGGGCATGGTGGCTCACACCTGTAATCCCAGGATTTTGGGAGGCTGAGGCAGGCGGATCACCTGAGGTCAGGAGTTCAAGACCAGCCTGGCCAACTTGGCGAAACCCTGTCTCTAATAAAAATACATAAATTAACTAGGTGTGGTGGCGTACACCTATATAGTCCCAGCTACTTGGGAGACTGGGGCAGAAGAATCACTTGAACTGGGAAGCAGAGGTTGCAGTGAGCTGAGATTGTGCCACTGCACTCCAGCACTCTAGCCTGGGAGACACAGTGAGACTCTGTCTCAAAAAAAAAGAAAGGGCAGTCTCAGACTCCCAGAGAGGAGAACAGCAAGTTTCTGTTCCACCTACTTCCTTCAAGGGCTTCTTCCTCCAGGAAGCCTTCCCATCCTCCAGGCTGAGCTGACCTACCCTTCACAGAGCTGGGGCTGGTGTTTAATCTGCACAGGCTGCATGAAGTTTTGCATCCTCTTTCCTGGAGCCTGGCCTGGCCTGGATGTTAGAGTTCATGCTGCACCCTGGGAGGGTGAAAGCTGGCCCCACTCAGAGCTGTCCATGCCACTCCCAGGCCCCAGCAAATAGCAGGTGTCAGTGAGCGGGTGAGAGGCATGTCTTCTGCCTCCTGGGACTCTGAGCTTCCTAGAACTGGGGCCACATTTCCTGCCTTATCTGTTTTCTCCACTGAGCAGGGCTGGGGCTGGAGGGGGCACGTGTGGGGCCAGCCAGCAGGAGCCCGAGGCGAGAGGGTCTGAACCCCCTGCCTCAGAGCCTACCGGCAGAGAGACCAGGGGCCTTTCATTTCCCAGCATCCCCGACATCCTGCTCATCTGCTGCAGAAACAATGAACACGGGAAAAGGGCAGGATGTCCCAGAGGTCGTCCAGAGGAGGAGAGGACAGGCTGAGTCAAAGGTGGGGAGGGAGGAAGGACAGAGGTCAATGGCACACGTGCCATGATCTCATCAGCTCCTGAAAAACAATGACTCGACCTTCTGAGGGCCCCAACTGAGCTCTGGCAACCATATGAGGCCAGTCATTTCCTCAGTGTTCAGATGAGGAAGAGGGGGGCTCTCAGAGGAAAGGGAATGATCCCCAGGTCACATGGTCAGTAGGCACTGGAGCTGGGACTGAAACCCAGGGAGACAGACGAGAGACGGGCCAGGGCTGCGAGGAGGCAGAGAGGCAAGGGCTTCGGCCTCCCCATTTCCAAGCTTGCATTCCCAGGAGTCCATTCATATGTGAAAAAAATGGCTTTTTATTTATTTATTTGTTTAGAGACAGTCTCGCTTTTTGCCCGGGCTGGAGTGCCGTGGTGTGATCATAACTCACTGTAGCCTTGACCTGGGCTCAAGTGATCCTCCCACCTCAGCCTCCTGAGTAGCTGGGACTATAAGTGTGCACCATCACACCCAGATAATTTTTTAAATTTTTGGTAGAGATGGGGTCTTTCTATGTTGCCCAGCCTGGTCTCCAACTTCTGGGCTCAAGTGATCCTCCCGCCTTGGCCTTCCAAAGTACTGAGATTACAAGCATGAGCCATTGCGCCTGGCTTATTTATTTATTTTTAGAGACAGGGTCTCGCTCTGTCACCCAGACTGGAGTGAAGTGGCACAATCATAGCTCAGCGCAGCCTCAAATTCCTGGGCTCAAGGGACCCTCCTGCCTCAGCCAACAAAGTAGCTGGAACTACAGGCATACACCACCATGCCTGGCTAAATTTTTTTAGAAATGGGGTCTTGACCAGCCCAGGCTGGTCTTGAACTCCTGGGCTCAAGTGATCCTCCGGTCTCAGCCTCCTGAGTAGCTGGGACTACAGGTGCACACCACCACACCCGGCTAATTTTTTTGTGTTTTTATTGTAGAGACAGGGTTTCACCATCTTGCCCAGGCTGCTCTCGAATGCCTGTCCTCATGTGATGCTCCCACCTGGGCCTCCCAAAGGGCTGAGATTACAGGTGTGAGCCACTGCACCCGGCCTGATAGCAGAACCTGCTTTTCTTCTACCAGCCTCTCTTGGACTGTGGAAAAACCTCACACCAACATCTCCTTGTCCAATCGCCTCTCTTGGACTGTGGAAAAACCTCACACCAACATCTCCTTGTCCAATCCAGAGGCTTCCATGGAATCACTCTCCACCCCAAGACCCCCCAACATCTCCTGTGTGCTCATTGAGTAACAGACCATCTGCTGCTTCCCCCGTCCCCAACCATCTCCCCAAGGTCCTGGGCATTGGTCCCCTGCTAAGGGGATCTGTCGGGACCTGCCTCCCAGAGTGAGGGTGGCGATTTCTGCATACATTTCCCCTATCTGTGGCTCCCTTTTCCTGGGTTATGGGCCCATCTTCCGTGCCTCCACACCCTTTCTTTCTACCTCCAGCTGTCCCTGGGCTCTTTGGGACCCTAACCACTGGCATCAATCAACCTTCTATGCCCAGTGTGGACATCAAGGACATCTCCCCAGCAAGCTCAGGCCTTCAGCCCAACATTCTCCTCCTTGCTGTGCTCAGCTCCATTGAATTCTCCATCCTCCACCCCACCCTGCAAATCTGTTTATCTTTGCTTTTCTGGTTTCTTTCATTTTCCTCTGCCTCACCCAGATTCCAGACAAATTCTTATTTATTTATTTATTTATTTGAGATACAGTTGCTGGCGGCTCACTGTAACCTCTGCCTCCCAGGTTCAAGTGATTCTCATGCCTCAGCCTCCGGAGTAGCTGGGATTTGCAGGCATGTGCCAGCACACGCAGCTAAAATTTTTTTTTTTTTTTTTTGAAATGGAGTCTCGCTTTGCTCGCTTTGTTGCCCAGGCTGGTGTGCAGTGGCATGATCTGGGCTCACTGCAACCTCCACCTCCTGGGTTCAAGCAATCCTCCCACCTCAGCCTCCCAAGTAACTGGGATTACAGGCCTGGGCTACCACATACGGGTAATTTTTATATTTTTAGTAGAGACGGGGTTTCAGCATGTTGGCCAGGCTGGTCTTGAACTCCTGACCTCAAGTGATCCATCTGCTTGGGCCTCCCAAAGTGCTGGGATTATAGGCGTGAGCCACAACACCCAGCTTGGATTATGGACAAATTCTTTTGAATGAGACTCTGTCCCCTGCCTCCAACTTTTCTGCATCCCAGCAGCTGGCATCATCCCATGTCCCAGAGACTTCACACATACCTAATGGGGCTCATCTCAACCCTCCTGTTCCTCAGCCTGATGCTGGGGAGGCCAGGCTCAGGGTCAGTGTGTTGGCCTGCAGCCCGATGTGTGCCCTCCTCCCTGGATCTCTTCCTTCTGGGTTGGGACGAAGGCGTGAAGGTGGTTTGGAGTCATGAGTTCAGGCTGAGACACCTCAGACCTACCTGACCTGCTGGGGGATTCACCCTGCCAGCCTCCGAGATGCAGTAGGATGAGAACACGCACTCTGGGGATAGGAGCCTGGATGTGTGTGTGTCTGGAGGTTGGCCATTCCCATCTTCCAGCGTGTCTCGTGTGACAGGGACCAGTGTGGAAGTGTCTCTGGGTTGGCCCTTAGGCATAGGCCAGTTTGAGAATAGGAGACAGGAGGTGAGAGGTCGCCATAGGTGGGGTTTGCAGAGGGTGGTATTAGAGCTTTGCTGTCTCTCTGATCTTTCTTGGCCCTATTTGGGGGTGACTTCCAGGATGACGCCCTTGCTCCTCCCCCACCCCCAACCCTGGCAGGTCTTCCCATGTGTCCTCTGTAGCAGTCTCAGCCACACCGTGCAGTGGACCACTGCATTGGAGGCATCCTACCTCTTCTTAAGGACATGGTCCCTTCAAGGACCCTGGATGCTGACCTGTCTCCTGTCCCACCTAGCCCACCTATAGCACCTGGCTCAGCAGAAGCTCATGGATGACCTTGAATGACCCCTTCCAGCACTGAGACTTGCTTTCTTCAAACTAGCATCCAGGTCTAGGATTACCCCACTCAGCAGCCTCAGATAACTAAAGGAGCATCTCTAACTGGTGAGGTCTAACCCAATCAAAAGTCTTTTTTTTTTTTTTTTTGAGACGGAGTCTCGCTCTGTTGCCCAGGCTGGAGTGCAGTGGTGCGATCTCGGCTCACTGCAAGCTCCGACTCCCAGGTTCACGCCATACTCCTGCCTCAGCCTACTGAGTAGCTGGGACTAGAGGCGCATGCCACCACACCCGGCTAATTTTTTGTATTTTTAGTAGAGACAGGGTTTCACCGTGTTAGCCAGGATGGTGTTAATCTCCTGACCTCGTGATCCGCCCGCCTCGGCCTCCCAAAGTGCTGGGATTACAGGCGTGAGCCACAGCACCCAGCCCAAAAGCCTTATAATAAATAATATTTAAGAGATGGGTGTTGCTCTGTCGCCAAGGCTGGAGTGCAGTGGCGTGATCATAGCTCACTGCAGCCTCGAAGTCCTGGGCTCAAGGGATCCTCCCACCTCAACCTCCCCGGTACCTGGGACTACAGGAATACACCACCACGCCTGGCTAATTTTTAATTTTTTTATAGAGACTGGGTCTCACTATGTTGCCCAGGCTGGTCTTGAACTCCTGGCCTCACAGGGATCCTCCTGCCTCTGCCTCCCAAAGTGCTGGAATTACAGGCATGAGTCACGGTGTCCCAGCCATTTTTTTTTTTTTTTTTTTTTTTTGAGACAGAGTCTCACGCTGTTGCCCAGGCTGGAGTGCAGTGGTGCCATCTTGGCTCACTGCAACCTCCCCCTCTCAGGTTCAAGTGATTCTCATGCCTCAGCCTCCCGAGTAGCTGAAATTACAGGCATGTGCTGCCATGCCCAGGTAATTTTTTGTAGTTTTAGTAGAGAAAGGGTTTCACTGTGTTGCCCAGGTTGGTCTCGAACTCCTGGCCTCAAGTGATCTGCCTGCCTTGGCCTCCCAAAATGCTGGAATTATAGGCATGAACCACCATGCCCTGTCCTCCTCCCCATTTTTTTTTTTTTTTTTTTTGAGACCGAGTCTCGCTCTGTCACCCAGGCTGGAGGGCAGCAGCACAATCTCAGCTTACTGCAACCTCTGCCTCCCCGGTTCAAGCAATTCTTCTGCCTCAGCCTCCTGAGTAGCTGGGACTACAGATGAGTGCTACCACGCCCAGCTAATTTTTTGTCCCCTTTTCTTTTGAAGAGGAAAAGCAATTCCTGGCCTCCCAGCCTGGGCCAGCCAAAATAGCTTAGGAAGAATGTGGGCAGGCCCAAGACCTCTCACCTCCCTCACCTCCACCTTCCGATCTTCACACTCGTACTGTTTTTTTTTTTTTAATTATTATTATTATTATTATTATTTTGAGACAGAGTTTTGCTCTTGTTGCCCAGGCTGGAATGTAATGGCACGATCTCTGGCTCACTGCAACCTCCGCCTCCCAGCTTCAGGCAATTCTGCCTCAGCCTCCTGAGTAGCTGGGATTACAAGCATGCACCACCACACCCGGCTAATTTTGTATTTTTAGTAGAAATGGGGTTTCTCCATGTTGGTCAGGCTGATCTCAAACTCCCAACCTCAGGTGATCTGCCTGCCTCGGCCTCCCAAAGTGCTGGGATTACAGGCGTGAGCCACCGCGCCAGGCCCTGTTTTCTTAAAATCATTGGTGAACATTCCACTTCTTGGAGACCCGCAATGTAAACTGGGCAAACAGAATGGCTTGTTTTCGTCTGTGCTGGGGCCTGAAATGAGTCAGTGACTAGATTTTAAGGCTGAGGAATTGCGTTTACTGGGTTCATGGACACGAACTCCTGTAGGGCCTAGATATTTATCAGCATGGCCAAGGCCTGGGGGACAGTTTCGAGTCTCAGCTCCAACACTTCCTGCATGCCAAAACTGCGTCAGCCTCTTTTTTTAAATAAACAAAAAACGTTTAGTCACAGAAATGTTCAAGAATATGCAAAAGTAGAGAAAATATAGTAATAAAATCCTGCTTCAGCAGTCATCAACATTTGGCTAATCTTGTTTTATCCATGTACCCTCAAATACTGTTCCGAACCCCAACTTTTTTTTTTCTTGTGACAGGGTCTCACTCTGTCATCCAGGCTGGAGTGCAGTGGCGAGATCCTGGCTCACTGCAACCGCCGCCTCCTGGGTTCAAGTGATTCTCATGCCTCAGCCTCCTGAGTAGCTGGGACTATGGGACTACAGGCACGTGCTACCATGCCTGGCTAATTTTTTGTACTTTTTAGTAGAGACGAGGTTTTGCCATGTTGCCCAGGCTGGTCTTGAACTCCTGAGCTCAGGCAACTTGCCTGCCTCGGCTTCCTAAAGTGCTGGGATTACAGGCTTGAGCCACTGTGCTCAGTCTTGATACTTTTCAATTTAAGGTAAAATACAGCATGATTTATTAGTTTTTTTTGTTTGTTTGTTTTTTGTTTTTTGAGACAGAGAGTCTAGCTCTGTCACCCAGGCTGGAGTGCAGTGGCACAATCTTGGCTCACTGCAACCTCCACCTCCTGAGTTCCAGTGACTGGCCTACTCAGTCTCCCAAGTAGTTGGGACTACAGGCACCTGTCACCACACCCGGCTAATTTTTTTGTATTTGTATTTTATTTTACTATTACTTTTTGAGGCAGAGTCTTGCTCTGTTACACAGGCTGGAGTCCAGTTGCACGATCTCAGCTCACTGCAACATACGCCTCCTGGGTTCAAGCGATTCTTGTGCCTCAGCTTCCCAAGTAGCTGGGATTACAGGTGTGCACCACCACGCCTGGCTAATTTTTATATTTTTAGTAGAAACGGGGTTTCACCATGCTGGCCAGGCTGGTCTCGAACTCCTGACCTCAAGTGATCCACCCACCCGGGCTTCCCAAAGTGCTGGGATTACAGGTGTAAGCCACTGTGCCTGGCCTGATTTTTTAAAACCTTTTAATATAATCATATAAAATGCATACATTTCCAAAGTCAAATATACAAAACAAAGTATATTTGGAGGAATAAGACTGTTTGTCTTTCATTCTATTCTCTCCCTCCTATGTCGCTATTAAAAATTTTTAATTTATACTCCCAGTTTAAAAATTTATATTTGTACCTCGCTATTTCTTTTCACAATTGAACAATGAGATAATAGACATACTTGCTTGTTCTTAACTTTAGCAGGAAAGCCTCTAGTGTTCCACCATTGAGATCTTCCTTTAAAATCCTTTTTGTAAAATTTGGGCTGTGCTATCCATTCTATCTGATGTTCCACAGCACTTCCTGGAAAGATAAAATGAACAATGTGGAAACTCATAATGAAAAGTGGTACACAAACGTGCCTGTTGACTGAGCATCAATCAATTCCAGGAAAGCTTCAAGATTCCTGAACCTTTTTGAAGCAGTTTGGAGAATTAAAAAAAAAAAAAAAAAAAGAGTAAGAAAGGATTCCTGAACCCACTTCCACTTACATTCTACACAAAAAATGAAAGGAGACTTGCAGAATTGAGGGGACCTGCCCCAAGTAACCTAAGGAGCAGGTGGGAGCTCTCATTTCCTTTTCTGCAGTTCAGGGGTCTTCTGCTATGTGGAAAAGCTCAGGGCCCAGGATAAGTCCACTGACATTAAAAATTAAAAAAACTGAATTCAAGGCTGGGTGCAGTGGCTACTGCCTGTAATCATAGCACTTTGGGAGGCCAAGGCAGCTGAACCACTTGAGGTCAGGAGTTCGAGGCCAACACGGTGAAACCCTGTCTCTACTAAAAATACAAAAAAAATTAGCCGGGTGTGGTGGTAGGCGCCTGTAATCCCACCTACTTGGGAGGCTAAGGTGGGAGAATTGCTTGAACACTGGAGGCAGACGTTGCAGTGAGCTGAGATTGTGCCACAGTCTCCAGCCTGGGCACCAGAGCGAGACTCCGTCTCAAAAAACAAAATAAAACATTGAACCCACAATACAGAGTTTTTTGTTTGTTTCTGAGACAGGGTCTTGCTCTGTCGCCCAGGCTAGAGCGCAGTGGTATGATCAGAGCTCATTGCAGCCTGGAACTCCTGGACTCAAGTGATCCTCCCGCCTCAGCCTTCCCAGTAGCTGGGACTACAGGTGAGCACCACCACCACGCCCGGCTAAAATTAAATTCTTTTGGTAGAGATTGGGAATGGTGGTGTGGAGTCTCGGTATGTTGCCCATGCTTGTCTCCAGCTCAGGGTTTCAAGACATCTTCCCGCCTTGGCCTCCCAGAGTTGGAATTGCAGGTATGCGCTACCGCACCCGTGCCAGATATCTACTTTTTATACAAATTAATATTTCAGGGAACTCTCGAAGGTAAAAGTAGTCACAAAAAGCTGCAAGAGTTGCTGTGTCCCAGAAGGGAGTCCGGGATGGGGTCGGCGACCCTCGCCCGCACTCATACAGGCCAACTCCGGTCCGAGTTTGGAGGCAACGGAACACCGGAAATGCTGTGCAGGTCTGAGTGGGAGGTCAGGGCACACTGGACCGTTACCTTAAAGCTGCCCCATTTATGGCCAGGTGCGGTGGCTCATGCCTGTAATCCCAGCACTTTGGGAGGCCGAGGTGGGCGGATCACGAGGTCAGGAGTTCGAGACCAGCCTGACCAACATGGTGAAACCGTCTCTACTAAAAATACAAAAATTAGCCGGGCGTGATGGCGCGCGCCTGTAATCCCAGCTACTCAGGAGGCTGAGGCAGGAGAATCTCTTGAACCTGGGAGGCGGAGGTTGCAGTGAGCCGAAATCGCGCCCCTGCACTCCAGCCTGGGCTACAGAGAGAGGCTCAGTCTCAAAAAAAAAAAAAAATGCTGCCCCATTTGGCGCCCCAGAATGAGGACTGACACACTGGGCAATGGGCATCGCAGCGCTAGCAGGACTAAGATTCCTCTGGGTAACTCAGCCATAGCAGAGTTTTCAAGAGGAGGAGTGGCCCTGATGAGGACCCGTAGGGCTTCAACCGACCCCAGCTCAAAAACACTTCGGCTTGGGGGCGGTGCCAAGGCTGTGAGTGCTTCCAACACTTCGGCTTGGGGGCGGTGCCAAGGCTGTGAGTGCGGAAGCCTGCCGGAAACCTGGGGACGGAGCGAGGGAAATGACGCCTGGGAGCGACAACAGGGTGGGTGGGGCTGCTGACTCCGCCCCCGAAGGAAAGGGTTAACGGTTTCCGGTAGCGGCGTCTAGGAGGGGCGGGGGAAAGGAGGCGGCAGCCAGGCTGTGTCCCCTGACCGTTGGAGCGTCTGCGACCCCCGCATCCCCGCACCCTCAAGGCACCTCCAAAGATGATGATGGGTTGTGGGGAGTCAGAGCTGAAGTCGGCGGACGGGGAAGAAGCCGCGGCGGTCCCGGGGCCACCCCCGGAGCCCCAAGTCCCGCAACTCCGAGCCCCAGTGCCCGAGCCCGGCCTGGACTTGAGCCTGAGCCCGCGGCCCGACAGCCCTCAGCCGCGGCACGGCAGCCCCGGGCGGCGGAAGGGGCGGGCGGAGCGGCGGGGCGCGGCTCGGCAGCGGCGGCAGGTGAGCGGGGGAGGCTGGCCCCCGGCCCGCGACGGCCTCGCGCCCACCTGGTCACTGCCCTGCCCTCTGCTCCCAGGTCCGCTTCCGCCTGACGCCGCCCTCCCCGGTGCGGTCCGAGCCGCAGCCTGCGGTGCCGCAGGAGCTGGAGATGCCCGTGCTGAAGAGCAGCCTGGCCTTGGGCCTGGAGCTGCGGGCCGCAGCCGGGAGCCACTTTGATGCTGCGAAGGCCGTGGAGGAACAGCTGAGAAAGTCGTTCCAGATCCGCTGCGGCCTGGAGGAGAGCGTGTCCGAGGGTGAGGGGGGCGGGCGGCCGGCCGCGTGCGGGAGTCGGGGTGAGGCGCGCCACTCACCTCCGTCCCCGCTGCGCTCTCAGGGCTGAACGTGCCGCGCTCCAAGCGGCTCTTCCGGGACCTGGTGAGCCTGCAGGTGCCGGAGGAACAGGTTCTGAATGCCGCGCTCAGGGAGAAATTGGCTCTCCTGCCGCCACAGGCTCGAGCCCCGCACCCAAAGGTGATGGGGTCTGGGCGTGGGGCTTCCTCCATGTACCCCCTTACCCGGATCCTTCCTCCCAAAGTGTAACCTTGCTTTGGGCCCAACCTCCCAACAGGAGCCACCTGGGCCTGGGCCAGACATGACCATCTTGTGTGACCCAGAAACGCTATTTTATGAATCTCCACACCTGACCCTGGACGGTCTGCCCCCTCTCCGACTTCAACTCCGGCCCCGCCCTTCAGAGGACACCTTCCTCATGCACCGGACACTGAGGCGATGGGAAGCGTAGACCCCAAAGATCCCTGGAGGGCTAGTTCGTATTTTTGTGTTAAACTATTTGTTAGAATAAAGTAATTTTGCTAATAAATGGGACTCTTCTTGGAGGCCTAAAATGGGGTTAAAAGCTCTCTAGGGGGTTATCCACTTAGCCTCAGGTTGGAAGCTGCCTGGAAGTCGGGTTTGGGGGCCTTTTTGGAACTTGGTAGAGTCATGGCAAGTGGAAAACACTGTCCACGTTAGAGGTTTACTTAGATACCCCTCCGTTCACAACCTTACCTGCCTCTCCCTGACTTCAGCCACAGCTACTGCCTGTTTTTGATCAGGTAGCGATTGTTCTCTGCATCACTTATTCTGATCTCTCAAAATGCAGAGCCCAGCCTATCACACTTCACGAAAA
The DNA here is from genome assembly GCF_000001405.40 of Homo sapiens. Classification (NCBI taxonomy): domain Eukaryota; kingdom Metazoa; phylum Chordata; class Mammalia; order Primates; family Hominidae; genus Homo; species Homo sapiens. The sequence goes on along the minus strand of NC_000007.14, from coordinate 100,434,972 downwards.
CCTTCCATGATTACCTGTCTCAAGGAGCTTGCAAGCCAGCTGTCTGCACTGAGTTACTGAAATTATCTCCTTGCTTTTTACCTTTAAGAGCCTTGCCCATCCTGTTTACACCTGACCTGAATACTCAGTATGTTCGAAGTTCCAGTAACACCTAACAAGCCCCCGAAGAGCTTCATGTTGTTAATTGCCTGTAAGTCTGATTCCACAGCACAAAAAAGGTGCTGGCCCGTCCCTGGGCATTTGATCCAAAGCACTTTTGCCTACCTCCACCGTCAACTCTTTCCAAGTTAGCCTTCTGGCCAGGTGCAGTGGCTCGCGCCTGTAATCCCAGCACTTTAGAAGGCCGAGGCGGGTGGATCACCTGAGGTCAGGAGTTTGAAACCAGCCTGGCCAACATGGCGAAACCCCCGTGTCTACTAAAAATACAAAAAATTAGCTGGGCATGGTGGCGCGTGCCTGTAATCCCAGCTACTTGGGAGGGTGAGGCAGGAGAATCACTTGAACCTGGGAGGCGGATATTGCGGTAAGCCGAGATCACACCACTGTACTCCAGCCTGACGACAGAACAAATCTCCATCTCAGAAAAACAAAAACCAAAAAGTTAGCCTTCTGCCCAAAACGTCTACGGGGTTTTTCTGGGGAGGGAAGGCAGACTCCAAGTTCCACACCAAAATTTGCATTACACACCTTTTCCTGACTAGGCTTCTGTGTACTTGCGTGTGGACTTGACTAGTGTTCAACAATCAGCTCAACCACTGAAAAACGTGTCTTCCTTGAGATGGAAGATAAACAGCACAGGTTCTGGTGGGAGGCACCACCCATCCCCCACCAGCTAGACAGTACCGAGACAGGTGTGGGGGCCACTGCCCTAGACATCAAGTTTATTGTGCTGTTCTCACATTGAAAACCCAACCCCCTCTCCCACTGGGGGAGGGCAAAGGGAAGGATTTTCACAGTACCTGCGTGCCTCCCTGCCAGTCTTCCCCGTCTAACCCTCAGTCCCTCTATCCATGGTCCACTGAAATGCAGCTAGGGACAAGAGCTAGGTACAATGGCCGAGGAGAAATGGGAATCTCTCTCCTTGGGAGAATAGGAGGAAAGGGCTAGAGAATTTGATATCCTCCCACCTCCCATGCCCTAAGAGAACAGAGGTCAGCAAACAGTCCATGCCATCCAGCCTGGGAGGCTGGGGGAGAGGAAGATGATGGTGACTCCAGCACAGCCAGCCTTGCTGCGCAGGTGCCAGAGGCATAGGGAGGAGGCTGAGGCAGCGACGGAAGAAAAGCTTTCTTTGCAGATCCAAGAAAGGAAACTATTTTTGGAGTCAGAAAGGAAAGACCTTGGGACACTTTCCTCTTCCCCCAGGTCCTTATGAGCAGCGAGGGCAGCCTCTTCACACTTTCTGTTTAGGGGGCCACTTAGTGGCTGGGGGATCGGGCCTTGTGGAACAGGTACACAGGACGCTGGAAGCCTGAGGGGAGAGAGAGTGATCAGAAGGGGTTGGCAGCACCTCAAGAATCCCCATGGGGGTCTGCACTCTTTCAGCCAGGACCAGCCTCCCTGACAAAATAAACCAGCCTTACCTTTAGAGGTGTTGTGGGGTGTGGCCACAAGCTCATAGCTGGAGAAGCCCACGTCTGGGGATGTCAGGTAGGAACTGAACTGCTCTGGCTTCAATTGGATTCGGTAGTAGTTCTTGTAGATCGTTTCCTAAGGAGAGAGGCAAGGGACCACTTCAGCACGCTGCCGCCTCCCCTGGCCAAGGGCGATGCCCACCTCGGGGCCTTTTCTTGCCTCAACCAAAGGAATGACTATTCCCCCAACACCCAACTCACTGTAAGAGTCTTTCTCTTGCCATACGACGACCAGGGTTGGGGCTCTAGGACCAGGATGCCCCCAGGGCGTAGGTGCCGGTAGATCCGGCGAAACATGCGCTTCAGGCCCTCGTCTCCCCAGTTCAGATGCACCCACTTGGTGAGGCTGAGGCAGAGCACCACATCATACTCAGGTGTTTGGGCCTCCACCAGGTCATCTCGATCCAGCACATAATTACCCTGAGGGCAAGAATCGGCAGTGAGGTCAACTGAGGGAATCAAAGAACCCCTGCTCCCAGGCAACCTGCTCTGAGGCCGATACAGTCCCGCGGCCTCACTTTAGCCCGTGGCCACTTTCTTCTCAGACTAACTCCCAAAAGGTGCCTGCCCTCTTTGAGTTTTGTTTTCTCCTCTACACCTTCCTGCCTCTGCTTCTTCCTACTGGTGGTAAGCCAAAAAAGGTCGACGGAGCCTGAGTAATTTTAAATGGTGCAAATTATCCATGAAGTCTTCCAAAGCTAGGGTCCCAGGACCATATCCTGTGTTTATTCTCACTCACAGACATTAAGTGGAGTGACTGCAGGTTCTGCAAGGGTAACTAACCCAGGTTTCAAAGGCAGACCTGTGGTTCCTTCCCTGCAGTTGGGGCTGGCAAAGTTTCAGGCCTATTCTTTCCTTTCTCTGAGAGAAATGAAGAGCCACATCCTTTAGGAAGCCTTTTCTAGAAGCTCAGCTCATCACAACCCTCTAAAAAGACCATTCTTCAGGCTTAACCCAACACAATGCCAAAGATCCCAGTAGGCAGCCTAACTGGAGTGTTCTCTGGGGAGCTGTGTGCAGTCAGGGGACTCTGCAGGGCACAGGACTCTCTCCTCTCTGCAGAGGAGTTTCTGGTTCTTCCCTCTCCCACTATCTAGGGTCAATGTGGAGAGGATCTACAGCCAAACCACTTGGGTTCCTGACACGCTTCAACAAACTGTCTAGGAAAACAAAAGCCGCTGATAGGAGCAAGGTGGCTATCAAAGGGCAGAAACGCCAGTATTAGTCTGTCGCTACCCTAATCTCCTCCCTAGAAGACATTCCATGTCTGACTCCCATTCTCAGGCTCCTTCAGTAAATCTGAGGACCAAGTTCCACCTGGATCAAATTCCCTAGTGAGCAGCAGCCTTCAAGGGAAGGGAAGGTGGACCAGTGTGGATTATAGGCCAAGCCGGGAGCAGAGCAAAAAGAGAGTCCTCCTCTATCTTGGAGATCCTTGCAGTCATGACAAAGGACTCCAGGGTCAATGCCCCAAGGTAGACACCCCACCTTTCCAGGTTATAAGAGGGGAGAGACGCCCAGCAGAGGCTCTCACTTGCCAACCCAGACCCCTCTTTTGAGGATCTGGGTCATAACCTTCCCTGCTACATTCCCATTTAATCTCATCTTCACACCTGGCCCCTATTCCAAGAGCCTCTGGACCCTCTTACCGTGACGAAGACAACATTGTTGGGGAAGACTGATGTGTCCGCTCCATCCAAGGGCACTTGGGGGGCAGCGATGGGACCCCGGCTGGCAGTCAGCGAGGCTGGGAAGCAGCTCCTCTTTCGAACGGTGGTGGTCCCTTCCTCACCCTCTGCCCCCGGGTCCCCTTCCAAAGTCTGGGGTGGGAGACGCAGCTCCTCGGAAAGGTAGTGTCGGATGTTTTGGCGGGCAGAATGGATGAGCCGGGAATCGATATCCAGGCCCACCATGCGGGACGGGCCCCACTTGCAGGCAATGCTCAGGGTCAGATGGCCCACATTGCAGCCCAGATCTAGGACGTCCCGGCCCCGAAACCACTCAGGCTTCAACACCCGAAGGCGCCCATCCTCACAGGAAGGATTGCGGTACCCATAGTATTTGCAATAATTCCCATACTGGAACTTGCGCTGTTGCTTTTTGAAGCCTGCTGCAGGCAGTGGGTGGTGGTGGTGGTGGCGGCCTCCCCAACTCCCTCGGCCCTTTTCCTTGGAACCCTGGCCTCCACCCCTAGCCCCTGCCTCCGACTTGCTGGAAGTCCTGCGACGTTTGCGATGTCGGGAGGAGGAAGATGGGGGTGCAGAGATAACTGAGGCAGCTGGAGGGGCTGATAGGGAGCCTGAGGGACCCTGCAGAGCAGATGGAAGGGGAGACACCACTTCATCCCTGCAGTTGATGGCTGTGTTGAGTTCATAGGGTTGGGGGGCATCCCGGTTCTGGCCCCTGTGCCGCGGCTGCTGTGAGGCGCCCTCCCCGTGGAGTAAGGGGGTGAGAGGGGCTGTGGGCGGCACGGGGTGACTCTCACTCCCTCCGGCTGCCTGCTGCTGCTGGTGGTGCTGTCCCCGGTGTCTATGCCGCTTCCGACCAGTCTTGAGTGGCGAAGCAAGAACTACATGGCCCTCATCAGTGCAAGTATTGAGACTGAGCGGGTCAGTAATATCTTTGGGGATGAGGATCTCCACCGGATCTCGCCCTTTGGCCGGAAGGGGGGATGACTTAGGGGTCTCCGCGTTGAGAGTGCGGCTCACTTCCTCATCCAGGAGGCTATTCAGGTTCAGGGGATCAAAGATATTGCCCCCCAGGAGGAAGTTGGAGGGTAACACAGAGTCACAGTCCGAATTCACCCGCCTGCGCCTCTTGAAGGCCGGATGTTTGAAGCCTCCCCCGCCTCCCCCTACATTACAGCTATTTCTCCTCTTGCCCCCGCCCCCCCCAGGTGGCCGGTGGGGCTGATAGCCATTGCGGGGTCGAGGAGGAGCAGGGGGACCCAGCTCTGTCCCGCCCCCTCCCCGGCGCTCCTCCCCCACGTCCGGGGGAGCGGCTCGCCCCGGGGGATCCGACAGGCGGGCCTCCCCATGCGACTGCGCCTGGGGGCCGCCCCCTCGGTGCTGCTGCGCCTGGGGACCACTGGAGGAGGTGGCCGCGGCCCCGGGGCTTTCCCGACCGACCGCAGCGGCTGGGGACCCCGCAGATGGCGCGCAACGACCCGGACCACGCTCCGTCCCGCCGCGGAGCTCCCCAGAGGCGGCCTCTTGGTGCGGTGGCACCGTGGGGCCGCCCCCTCCGCCCGACTCATCTTTGAGCGGCGGCGGCGGGGCCGGCACCAGAAACGGCTCCTTCTCCGCCGCCATCTCGATCATTTCCTCCCCTTATTCCGTGCCAGTCGGGGTAACGAGGGGGATCAGGGGGCCTAACCCCCCCTGCCTGGACCCTGCTCCCTTCCCCCCTTTCCCGAGTGCGCGCGCAGCTCTGCTCTTCACGCCTAGTCTCGCGCCCAAGCGCCTCCCCGCCAAGTGCGCCCTACTAGCCCGCGAGACCAAAACAAGAGGCCCGCGAGACCCGAACTACTCGAGGACTCAACCGCGCGTGCGCCGACCCCTTTCTCCTCCGCCACTACCACCCGGCCGCGAGCGCGCACGGTGAGCGCGCGTTCCCTTCGCCCGGGAACCACGCATGCGCACTCCGCCACCACCCTGGTTGCGCGCGCATCAGACTACGAACCAACTTAACGGCTCTGGGAGTTTAAATATAACCCCCCCACAGCCCCCGCAAAAGCCCACCACCCCAAACTGACACCCTACTTCCCTGCGCAGCTATGTCCGGCCCTACTGATCTCCTTTGTCTCTGCCGCGCGATCCCACCCACCGTAGGCGGGGGACGGGAGCTGGTGTGAAAAGGTCTCCTTGACACCCGACCCTTGTTCCTGAGGAATGAGTCTCAGCGGTCTCCGCCCGGCTCTAAATCCAACAACCTCCCCACCCCGCCTCCTTCCTCCCCCCTAGTGGGCAGCGCCTGCGCACACCCTTTTGGGCTTGCGCGGGTAGAGGCAGCACGTGCTGAAACTGGCGCCCCGCCCCCCGTCTTAGGGGTTGGGCCTGTGACGTCGCTTCCTTAAGTTTGGTAAACGCAGCGTGCGTCAGCGCGATCCGGAGGGGCGGGGCTTCCTGACGAAGGGCGGGGCTCATGAATTATTCATGAGCTGTTGGTAGCAAACCTCCCCCCCTCTGCCCACCTTCTTAGAAGCGCTTCCGAGGGAGCGGAGGGGAGACCCTACAAAGCCAAGGAAGGGCGGGAGTGGAACTGGGCTCAGTAAAACGCGATAGGTCATTATAACTCACCCCCCTTGAAAATATTCTCTGCTGAATTGGGGAAAAATAAAAAGCACTAAAACAGCCGATGTTGTCCAACTTCCTCTTCCCCCGAAACGGCTGAGTCGTTCTCTGGCTCCTCTACCTTCCCCCAATCGCAATCACCTGGAGACGCCACACCACGCCTTCCTCTCCGCCTCAACACCCACGACCCGAACCCCAACGCATCCGCCCACTCCCGACGCCCGCTCACTGGCCCGTCAGTTCGCGGGCCTCTCAACACCCACCGCGGCGCCACGCCGACTTATATACCAGCGAGTGTGGGCGGGGACGGGGGTTCGGTCCGCGCTGGGCCCCCCCAGCTTCTGCCAATGAGGAAGAAGCGAGTCTACGCCGTTTTCCCGGGGAGATGCGCCGCCCGGTCTCCCTGCCAGCGGAGTGCTGGGCCGAGGACAGGGCGGCAGGGGTGACAGTGGGGTCCAGGAGAGTCTCAAAATCCTAAGGTGAGGGCGTGAAGGAGACCAGCAGGAAGAGGAGGAATTAGAGAACGGAAAGAGGGAGGAAAAGGCAGTCTGAAACAGAAAAGTTAGTAGATGTGCTTCAGGAACAATCAGGCGCCGCGGCCGCCGCCTAAAAATATGTGACACCAAAGAGGATTCTGGGATTTGTAGTTTTCCCGGGACGTTCGGGTGGAAGATGGCGGATTTACCTCAGCTGCGGAAACGCAGACGCTGTTTCCAGTTGCGCATGCGCCTCGGCCCCGCGAGCGCACCGCCCTCGGGTGGAGCTAGTGCTCAGGGCGTCCTCGTGCCTTTTCTTGGTGGCGGGAAACCTGGGTTGAGGTGTGAGGGGCTTGCGGAGTCGCTGCGGCAGCTGGTTCCGCCCATCGCCTTTAGGTCCTCCTTGCTCCTGAAGGTAGCCAGCTAGTTTCTGGTTGTAGGTGAAGGTGCTAGGCGCTGCCAGTCCTGGCACCCGTTGCCTGAGGAGAAACTTTCTCAGGGCGACAACCAGCCCTTCGCCCTTTTTCCTCAGAATCTGTCGCCCCCAAGAAACAGACAAAAAAAAAATAGCCCAGTCTCCTGGCGGGCACCAACGATATGAGTGAGAATAAGGATCACGGGGCCTCGGCAGGAGTGGGGGTGGAGGGGAGATTCCCTCATGGTGGGAGGAAGGAAGGGAGGGGACGGGGAAGAGAGAGGGGGACGTGTGGCTCAGGGACACCGACTTGAACCGCTATCCCTGAGAGAGAATAAGGGGTGAGGGAAGAGAGGAAAAATGGGAGCGCCCCACAAATGGGAAGAACTTCTCTGCAAAACTTCTTCCCTTTGGATTGCAGGTGGATTTGGAATTGGGGCTTTTTTTTTTTTTTTTTTAAAGACTGTCTCGCTCTGTCGCCCAGGCTGGAGTGCAGTGGCGCAGTCTCGGCTCACTGCAACCCCCACCTCCTGGGTTCAAGCGATTCCCCTGCCTCAGCCTCCCGAGGAGCTGGGACTACAGGCGCCCGCCACTGTGCCCGGCTAATTTTGTATTTTTAGTAGAGACGGGGTTTCTCCATGTTGGCCAGGCTGGTCTCGAACTCCTGACCTTAGGTGATCCGCCCACCTTGGCCTCCCAAAATGCTGGGATTACAGGCACGCGCCACCGTGCTCGGCTGATTTTTTTGTATTTTTAGTAGAGACGGGGTTTCACCGTATTGGCCAGGCTGGTCCCGAACTCCTGACTTAAGGTGATCCACCCGCCTCTTCTTTCTTGTTAAAAGTTTTAAATCGGGCTTGCTGAGCTTGTGCACAAACACGAAGGAAGAAAGCAAGGGAGGGAAGGGGGAGGAAGGAAGGAGGGAGGGAAGGGGGAGGAAGGAAGGAGGGAGGGAAGGGGGAGGAAGGAAGGAGGGAGGGAAGGAGAAGAGAGAGAGGGAGGGAGGAAAGGGAGGAGGGAGGGAGGAGGGGGAGGAAAGGGGAGGGAGGGAAGGAGAAGAGAGAGAGGGAGGGAAGGAGAAGAGAGAGGGAGGGAAGGATAAGAGAGGGAGGGAGGAAAGGGGAGGGAGGGAGGAGGGGGAGGAAACGGGAGGGAGGGAAGGAGAAGAGAGGGAGGGAGGAAAGGGGGAAGGGAGGAGGGGGAGGAAAGGGGAGGGAGGAGGGGGAGGGAGAAGGGAGGGAGGGAGAGGAAGGAAGAAGGAGGGGAAGCAGGGAAGGGAGGAGGGGGAGGGGGGTAGGAAGGAGAGGGGGAGGAAAGGGAAGGAGGAGGGGGAGAAAGGAGAGGGGGAGGAGGGAGGGAAGAGGGAGAGAGAAAGGGAGGAGGGCAAGGAAGGAGGGGGAGGGAGAGAAGGAGGGGGAGGAAGGGATGGAGGGACAAAGGGAGACAGAAGGAGGGAAGAAGGAAGAGAGGGAGGGAAGAGGGAGGAAGGAGTAAAGGAGGGAGAGAGGGAGGGAGAAAAAGTGAGAGGGAGGGAGGAAACTGCTATTAGTTAATTGAGGCATGAAAATAAGCAGGAGTCCACATACTGTTATTAATGCAAAAAGGAAGATCAGACTCTGGCTTAAAAAAGATTTGAAATATACTTTTTTTTTTTTTTTTTTTTGAGACAGAGTCTCACTCATTTTGCCCAGGCTGGAGTGCAGTAGCACGGTCTTGGCTCACTGCAACCTCCACCTCCTGGGTTCAAGTGATTCTCCTGCTTCAGCCTCCCAAGTAGCTGAGATTACAGGCGCCTGCCACCACGCTGGCTAATTTTTGTATTTTAGTAGAGATGGGGCTTCACCATGTTGGTCAGGCTGGTCTTGAACTCCTGACCTTAGGTGATCCACCTGCCTTGGCCTCCCAAAGTGCTGGAATTACAGGCGTGAGCCACTGCGCCCGGCTGAAATATACTCTTTAAATACCGCTTTTTTGAGGCTCAGGGAGTCTGGGTTAGAGGACAATGCTAAAGGGTTTACTTCTCTTAGACCAAGGATTTGAGGAACAATATAAGGAAGGGAATGATTGGATGGTTAGGAAGAGGAAATTTGGGAACACATTCTGAATGGTGTGTGGGGAGAGAGAATTACTGTTTATTTAAAAAAGTATTGGCAATACTGACAAGTTATTTCACTAGGTCAGTTCTCAAACTTTTTGGTTTGAGAACCCTTTTATACCCTTAAAATTTATGGAGGACTCCAAAGAGCTTTTATTTGGTTTGTATCTGTTGATACTAACATTTTAGAAATTAAAATTCAGAAACATTTAAAGTTTGATTAGAAATAACAATAATAAATATGTTAACCTAAACAGGTTTTTATGAAAAATACATTCTCCTAAACAAAAGAAAATTTAGCATGAAGAATGGTGGTGGTTTACATTTTTGCAAATCTCTTTCATGTCTGGCTTAATAGAAAACAACTGGGTTCTCGTCTGTTTCTGCATTCAGTCTGTTGGGATATCTTGTTTTTGTAAAAGTACATGAGAAAATCCAGCTTAATACAGATAGGTAGTTGGAAAAGGGAGAGGGCCCCCTAGGATTTTGGGACTACACTTAGAACTGCTGAGTTAGGTGATTTCATCTCAAAATTTATGTGATGGTTTTTAATGTTCTAAGTGAAATAAAACTCTTTTTTGAGATCCTCATTCACCTTCCCTTGGTTCCCTTTATTATTTCTAAGTTCTTTTTCCCTCCTTATTTACCCTCATTTCATATGTTGAGTGATGAGAATATGGTTTCTGGAACTGTACTGGTTCTTTTACATTCTTATTTAAAGCCTTTGCCCCTCTTATTAAAGCCTTCCCCGCAACCCCACACCCTGCCCCTCTTCATCTAAGGTAAGAAAAGAGAAATTAAAACCTCAAATTTTATTCCTGGGTCTACAGCCCCTAGTCATTTAGTAGCTGTACAGAAGAAAGTTAGTGGTATTTTATATTTTTATTAACTGTCTATATTTTTTTCTCTCTCTCTCTGAACCAGCTTTCAGTATTTGTTATTGTGAAAGAAGTTAATTCACCTGAAACAGAGGAGGGGCAACCTGAGTTATCAGAAAGTGACTTCCTGGCCTTCCCTTCTTTACTGATCAGGTTAGAGCTTTTGTTTGAAAGCAGTGTTATCACATGCACAGATTATACATATTATGTGATACTATACATCACTGTTTATAGATTTATTACATCTTATTAACTCAACAACAGTGAACCACAATTCTATCTAGTTGGTTGGGGCTCCAGAAATATACTTTGGCCTAGGAAGATCTTTACAGGTTTAGATAAGGATTTGAACCTAAATACTGGAAATGTTTGCATTTTTAGGTTGGTCGAAATACTCTCTTTTAATTTTACTTAAAGAATTTCGGCCGGGCACGGTGCGTCATGCCTGTAATCCCAGCACTTTGGGAGGCTGAGGCAGGTGGATCATGAGGTCAGGAGATTGAGACTATCCTGGCCAACATGGTGAAACCCCGTCTCTACTAAAAATACGAAAATTAGCTGGGGGTGGTGGTGCGCTCCTGTAATCCCAGCTACTCGGGAGGCTGAGGCAGGAGAATCGCTTGAACCTGGGAGGCAGAGGTTTCAGTGAGCCAAGATTGCACCACTGCACTCCAGCCTGGTGATAGAGCAAGACTGTGTCTCAAAAAAAATAATAATAATTTAAAATATTTTTTGAAGTGGCAACATTTATAGGTTTTAAAATGCCAAAGATAAACGAGGGAGTCCACCAAAAGCTTCCTTTCACTCTCATCTACCCAGTTCTACTCCCCAGAGGCATTTTGATCCATTTTTTTTCTCTTCCAGAGAAAATTTATGATTAACAAGCCTATTATACCAGACATATGTTTTTAAAAACTAAATGTTGTCATCTGAAACACACTAATTTTCACTCTGCTTTTCTCACTTAGCATAGCCGTTGTAATTTAGACAGAGACTTCTTGTGATCTTTTTTGGAATTTTAAAGTCTAGGAAAAGATATATTTGTCATTTGTGGTCAAATTAATATTCTTTTTACAGGCTAATTTTACCCAGTCTTTTTTTTTTTTTTTTTTGAGACGGAGTTTTGTTCTTGTTGCCCAGGCTGGAGTGCAATGGCGCGATCTTGGCTCACTGCAACCTCCGCCTCCTGGGTGCAAGCGATTCTCCTGCCTCAGCCTCCTGAGTAGCTGGGATTACAGGCGCCCGCCACCACGCCCGGCTAATTTTTTGTATTTTTAGTAGAGAAGGGGTTTCGCCACGTTGAACAGGCTGGTCTCGAACTCCTGACCTCAGGTGATCCACTCGCTTCAGCCTCCCAAAGTGCTGGGATTACAGGTGTGAGCCACCATGCCTGGCCAATTTTATCCATTCATTACCTTCTATTTAGAATTATAATAAAGGAGATTAATTTGCTTGAGTGTTTCTCCCCAAAATTCCAACTTGCCTTTTTTTCTGGAGCAAATATGTTTTGGGATTGGTGATGATGAGTTAAAATGGAAACAGCAAGAAAATGTGCCCCTTAATATAAAGGAAACGTCGTTGCTTTAGAACAGCACATCTGAATTATTCACATTTATAGAAGTGAGAAAAGGAAGAGAAAAATGCTGAAGGGTATTCACATTTAGCCATGCTGTGGCCACGCTGTCAAAACCTCAGTACCCTTTAAGTTTATCTTATGGTCTAGAGAGAGGAACCCTACACCTTGAACGAGTTTGGCCATTTAAGGTCTTAAAATTTTCTGATCCTTTAAAGGGAAGTGTATATGAACCAAATGATCCATTTTACGTCGCTTTTGGATCTCTTTATAGTGGGGGATCACAGATTTAGAACAAAGAGTTTCAGTTGCAGGGTTTTCAAACTGCTCAAAGCCAACAGCCAGAAACAAGATCACTGAGTAGAATAGATATGTTATTAGTAGAATTGAGAGGCAAAAGTCCTGGGTTCATCTAAGCTCAACAATATATTAACACTGAGTCTTTAGGCAAACCACTTAACCTCTGTTAGCATATTTTTTTTATCTGTAGAAAGGGGAGTTGGGGCTTTATTATCCCTAAAGGTCTTCCCAGAGCTATAATGCTTTTTATAATGGTTATAAAAGTAAGAATGGCATATATCCCCTAAGCCTAAAGAAAACTGGGTGAAGGGCTGCAAGAAGTTAAGGTTAATAAAATAAAACTTTTCTTCAGAAAGCTGGGTGGACACAGAATACTATGCAGCCATATAAAAGAACAAGATCATGTCCTTTGCAGCAACATGGATAGAGCTGGAGGCCGTTATCCTAAGTGAATTAACGCAGGAACAGAAAACCAAATACTGTATATTCTCACTTATAAAGTGGGAGCTCAACATTGCATACACATGGACACAAAGAAGGGAACAATAGACACTGGGGCCTACTTGAGGGTGGAGAGTGGGAGGAGGATGAGGACTGAAAAACTACCTATTGGGTACTATACTCACTACCTGTGAAACAAAATTATCTGTACACTAAATCCCATGACATGCAATTTACCCATGTAACAAACCTGCACATGTACCCCTTGAATGTAAAATAAAGGTTGGAAAGAAAAAATAAAAATAAAGCTGTATGGAAATAATATCAGTAGTGGGAAAGTATAAATTGGAAAATAAAAATACTGGAATGTTCGCAGATGAGTCTTGGCACACTGGTGGGTCACGAATAGCTTGTAGCTGTGTAGATACTAATTTCTTCTTCAGCCTTTGGTGTGACTCTTCAGTTGCCTATGGCTGTGAGCAGCCTGGTCCTTTTACCCCCAGAGTACCTGGAAATGTCATTTTCTATGTGTTTCAGTATACGCTATTAATGTATGTTTTCTGTGTGTGCTGTGATAGCAAAATGGTGGTGAAGCACTGAATTAGACTGTTAGGATGTCGTGTAGCAGTTATTAGCACAAACTTTGAAATCAGACAGGTTCTAATCCTGATTTTACTACTTATCGATGACTTAATATCTTTAAATCCCTGTAAACCTGAATTTCCCCCAAGTGTAAAATGTTACCAATCTCATAGATCTGTTGTGAGAATTAAATGGAATGCTACATAAAGGGTAAAGAATATAGTCAGTGCTCAATAAGTGTTAGCCATTACCATTAGTCACAGTGTCATTAGTAATCAAGAAACACATGATGTCAGGCCGGGTGTAGTGGCTCACGTCTGTAATCCCAGCACTTTGGGAGGCTGAGGCAGGCAGATCACCTGAGGTGGGGAGTTCAAGACCAGCCTGACCAATATGGAGAAACTCCGTCTCTACTAAAAATACAAAATTAGTCGGCGGTGGTGGCGCATGCCTGTAATCCCAGCTACTCGGGAGGCTGAGGCAGGAGAATCGCTTGAACCCGGGAGGCGGAGGTTGCGGTGCACCGAGATCGCACCATTGCACTCCAGCCTGGGCAACAAGAGCAAAATTCCATCTCAAAAAAAAAAGAAACACATTGATGTCGTGTGGAACATCTGTGAGTAGATTGCTGAAGATGAACTATGAATATCAAGGCACTAATTTAATTTCTCATTATTAGGTGCTAAGGTAGAATAAGGAAAAAGATACTAAATTTTCTGGGAACCTCTACTGGTTATCAAATACTTCTGAGCTATGACTAGAGATTGGTAGAATCTAGTACATTTGAAAATTGATTGGACTGAGGATCTAAGAAAGGGAAAATAAACATTATAATGATGTTAAAAGTGGGGCTTCTCTATGCACAGAGACCTCTGAGGTCAGAGAATTACCAAATTATATGTGTGTTCTAAGTGTTTAGGAGAGGCTTATGAAATGAGGCTATCCCTCTGAAGAAAACTCTTAACTGCCAGGATTGTTCATACCCTACCATCACTGCTCTACTACCACCTATGCTTCTGGTACTACTACCATTTCTGCTGCCTGCCTTAGGTTGGACATGGTTCTAGGCTGGACATGGTTCTAGGCACATAAAACACTAAGGATTGCTGCTAATATTTATTTGTTATTTAAATTTTTGAGTCAGGGTCTCACTCTGTCACCTAGGCTGGGGTGCTGGGGCACAATTTTGGCTCACTGCAGCCTCCGCCTCCTGGGCTCAAGTGATCCTCTCACCTCAGCCTCCAGAGTAGCTGGGACTACAGGCGCATGCCACCACACTGGCTAATTTGTTTTATTTTTTGTAGAAATGAGGTTTTGCCGTGTTGCCCAGGCTGGTCTTGAACTCCTGGGCTGAAGTGATCTGCCTGCCATGGCCTCCCAAAGTGCCAGGATTACAGGTGTGAGCCACCACACCCAGCACTGATTGTTGCCAATCTTTAAAACAGTAACTCATTATTCCCTGGTGTGTAATTGGCACCACAGAGGAGGTCAAGAATGCAGAAACCTAGTTCAGAGGTCTGAAACAAAGAGTTTCTGAACCCAAGTAGACAGAAAGTTTAAAATCTTGTTTAATCAGAGTCATAGCAGTTAATTTCTTTTTTCTAACAGAGGCACACAAAGCGTAGTTTCTAAGCTGAATGATGACAACGTTGCAGAATAAAGAAGGTGAGTCAAGAGTGAGGGAGGTTCGCTTCATACATTTCTCTCATTTTTCTCCTTTTGGACATCCTTTCCACCAAAGGATGGTACGGGTCCCTATATTCTGTGCCCACTCAGGTCAAATTACTGCTCTGCTAGATGCTTTGAGTGAAATAAATATGACTTAAAAACAGTCCTGCTCGAGGAACATATAAACTCAGGGAGAGAAAAGGCATTTAAATACCTATCATAAAGTTGAATGTGGTAAATGCCACCAGTTATGTGCAGAGTATTAAGGAAGCTCAAAGAAAGATATACCTGGGAGGATCATTATAATTTTTATTGAGGAGGTGGCATAAGAGCTGTGAATAATTTATAGATTTTGACTAGTTTTTAAAAATTTGCTCTAATTTTCCATAACATTTTATCTAAAGTAAAAATGAGCAAATTATACAGTTTCACATTTGGATAACTCAGCTTCCTGCATGCTTATATTTATCACCTTTGACTTAGTGGTTCCCAAACCTGGCAGTATATCAGAATCAACTAGCCTTGTAAAATTACAGATTGCTAGGCCTCTCATGTCTAACTACCTCATCAGCATCTCAGGGCTGAGGAGTGGAGTAAGCAGTGAGAGACCCAGGAATCTGAATTTGTTAAAAGCTCTCTCCATATCATTCTGTTATGGCTAGTCAAAGGGTAATGTTTGGCAATCTCTGTTAGACTGTATGTTTCATAAATTCCACTTGATCACATTTCTTTCAGAATGTGGAAAGGGACCAAAGAGAATCTTTGCCCCACCTGCACAAAAATCTTACAGCCTGTTACCTTGTAGCCCTAACTCCCCTAAGGAGGAGACCCCGGGGATCAGTTCCCCAGAGACAGAGGCCAGGATAAGCCTGCCAAAGGCCAGTTTAAAGAAGAAAGAGGAAAAAGCAACCATGAAGAATGTTCCAAGCAGGGAACAGGAGAAAAAAAGAAAGGCACAAATCAACAAGCAAGCAGAGAAGAAAGAAAAGGTACCAGTCATAGTGGTGGGCTCTGGTAGGAGATTTTCTCATACCTTACCCCTGGCTCAGGCTAGACAAACAGAGTCTTTTCACACTGGGGAAATTCACCCTAGAGTTTCAGGTTTGTATTCCTTTTTGAGGGCTTCCTTTTTTTTTTCTCAAAGAGGTCAAAAATGTTTTGATGAAAGAATTGAGCAGGAAATAATGGGATGAGGTGGGTTAGAGGTGGGGATAGAAGTAGACAGAGACATTATACACTTTTCTCTTTCCTTTGACTCCTTTATTCCCAGGAGATCTGGGATATAGTTCATGGCCTCCTTAGGTATGCTGACTGCATGCCTTCCGTCTTATAAACTTACTGCCTCATCTGAAGGAGGCTTCCCTGACTGTTCAGAGGGGAAAACTATGGAAAGATAAGTGGTTTTCCTCCCCTACCCTTGTCTCTGCAGGAAAAATCAAGTCTTACCAATGCAGAATTTGAGGAGATTGTCCAGATTGTTCTGCAGAAGTCCCTTCAGGAGTGCTTGGGTATGGCATGTAGTAAGAGAAAAAGGGTTTCAGTTAAGCAGTGACTGTTACCTGAGAGGGAGAGTTAAGTCTGACAGCTTCTCTCTTTCTCTCCCATCTTCTAAATAAGGTAATATTAGATGAGACTTCAACATATTTTAAAAATACTTCATCATCTGTCAACAGGACTATAGCTAAACCACCTTAGATAAAGGGTACATATTTTTAGAAAAAGTGGATTACATTGACTTCAGAATTTATATATAGTCTTAACTAAATTTTCAAGCCATTATGGGATTTTTGTTGTTATTTATTTACTTATTTATTATTTTTTTTTTTTTGAGATGGAATCTTGTTCTGTCACCCAGGCTGGAGGGCAGTGATATGATCTCAGCTCACTTCAGCATCTGCCTCCCAGGTTCAAGTGATTCCCCTGCCTCAGCCTCCTGAGTAGCTGGGATTACAGGCGCCCACCACCACGCCTGGCTAATTTTTGTATTTTTAGTAGAGGCAAGGTTTCACCAGGCTGGCCAGGCTGGTCTCGAACTCTTGACCTCAAGTGATCTGCCCACCTCAGCCTCTCAGTGCTGGGATTACATGTGTAAGCCACTGCACCCAGCCTGTTGTTTTAATTTTTACTTTTTGTAGAGATGAGGTCTTGCTATGTTGCCCAGGCTGGTCTTGAACTCATGGCTGCAAACGATTCTCCCATTTCAGCCTCCCAAAGTGTTGGGATTGTAGACGTGAGCTACAGTGCCTGGCCCTAAATTTTTAAAATGCAGTTAAAATTCGTTTCCATGTATTTACAAACAACTTCAAATAAGATAAAATTGTTTTCCCTAGATTTGAAAAACTTAGGGTACATACCCTTGCAAATTTCAGTTTCTAATACCGATTTTGCATGTGGTTAGAGATTTAGTTTTTGGAATAAAGAACGCAGTGAGGGAGGCCAGGTGCAGTGGCTCATGCCTGTAATCCCAGCACTTTGGGAGGCCAAGGCGGGTGGATCACTTGAGGTCAGGAGTTCAAGACCAGCCTGCCCAACATGGTGAAACCCCGTCTCTACTAAAAATATAAAAATTAGCCAGGCGTGGTGGCGTGCACCTCTAGTCCCAGCTACTCAGGAGGCTGAGGCACGAGAATCGCTTGAACCTGGGAGGCGGAAGTTGCAGTGAGCCGAGATTTCGCCACCTCACTCCAGCCTGGGCGACAGAGCAAGACTCTGTCTCAAAAAAAAACCAAAAAACAAAAACCAAAAACCAAAAAACCAAAAACCTCTATGAAGGCTTTTCCATAAGTTCATGAGGCTGAAGAGAACAGTCTGACATTTCAGCCATTCTTAGGTATACTTCTATTCCTAGGCGTTTGAGCAACAAATGATATAAAATACAGTACATATAATTTTTTTTTTTTTTAGATGGAGTCTCACTCTGTTGCCCAGGCTAGAGTGCAGTGGCATGATCTTGGCTCACTGCAACTTCCGCCTCCCAGGTTCAAGAAATTCTCCTGCCTCAGCCTCCCGAGAAGCTGGGACTACAGGTGCATGCCACCGTGCCTGGCAAATTTTTTGTATTTTAGTAGAGACAGGGTTTCACCATGTTGCCCAGGCTGGTCTTGAACTCCTGAGGTTTGGCATTCCACCCACCTCGGCCTCCCAAAGTGTTAGGATTACAGGCGTGAGCCACCATGCCTGGCCTATAATTTTTTTATGTACACAAAATTATCATTACCTGGCCATCCTGGAATGAGGCAGATCGATCTGGAAAGGCTTGCAGAAAGATACATATTTGTAGTTTTTCCTGAAAATTTAAATATTTAAAGTTCTGTGATATGACAGGTAGGCTCTTTCAGGCTACAGGGAGAAGACACTTTAGAGAAAATGTTAGGGAGTAATAGAGTGGCTTTTTCGTTTTTTTGCTTCTCTGCTTATAGTATTTTGTTTTGGGAGGGATGGGATCTGGCCTTGATTTTGCAGAGACTTCTTGTGCCCAGCCCGTAGTATCTACCCAATCAGACAAGGAGCCAGGAATTACTGCTTCTGCTACTGATACTGATAATGCTAATGGGTAAGTTTATTTCAGTGAGGCAAGTTGAACACAGAATGGACTACACATTCATGGTCAGTCAGTCTATCTATCTGTCTGTCTATCTGGTCATTTATCATATTTCTTTTTTTTTTTTTTTTTGAGACGGAGTCTCGCTCTGTCGCCCAGGCTGGAGTACAGTGGCGTGATCTTAGCTCACTGCAACCTCTGCCTCCTGGGTTCAAGCAATTCTCCTGCCTCAGCCTCTCGAGTAGCTGGGATTACAGGCGCCTGCCACCACACCCGGCTAATTTTTATACTTTTTAGTAGAGACGGGGTTCACCATATCAGCCAGGTTGGTCTCGAACTCCTGACCTTGTGATCCACCCGCCTTGGCCTCCCAAAGTGCTGGGATTACAGGCGTGAGCCACCAGGCCCAGCCCATTTATCATATTTCTATAGATTTCTCTCAGCTCAGGAAAGATACCTGTTTGAGTTGGGAAAAATAGGCAAGTAGATGGATGAAATGGCCTCAGGAGGTCTTAGAGAGCTTAGGATTCATCTGTCTTCCTTTTACTCGGGTTTTTTCAGAAGAAGAGTTCTGCAATTGCTCTATTTTTACCTTTCATTAAAATAAAACCTCATTTTCAGAGAGGAGGTACCACATACTCAAGAGATTTCAGTGTCTTGGGAAGGTGAAGCTGCCCCTGAGATAAGGACATCTAAGTTAGGCCAGCCAGATCCTGCACCCTCTAAGAAGAAATCCAATAGACTCACCTTAAGCAAAAGAAAGAAGGAAGCTCGTAAGTACAGTCAGATATACTTTGAAGCCTGGCTCAAGTACTAGCTCCAGGAAATTAGGGAATGGGACCATGGGCAGGCTGAGAATTTTCAGCCCAAGACTTGAGACTATTAGGCTGTGATTCTTCTTCCTTCTTTCACTGACCTTTACTATCTACAAAGATTGTCTTCTTCATCTCCCCACCTCACGTTTTCTTTTTTCTTCCCAGAAGATGAGAAGGTGGAGAAAACTCAAGGTGGACATGAGCACAGACAGGAAGACCGACTAAAGAAAACAGTTCAGGATCATTCTCAGATCAGGGACCAGCAAAAAGGAGAGATAAGTGGTTTTGGTGAGTTTAGCTGGTTTGGCAAACCTACTTGGCCTGAAAATTTGAAATAGAGCAGAGAGGCAGGGTTAGGATGTTAGAGGAACCTCTGCAAAGAATATAGTCAATCTCTCACAGCTGCTTGTTGCAGAATATGCTGCCGAAAGAATAATTTCATTCATTCAGTCATTTATTCACATAATCCATAGTTGTTGGGTGCCTACTGTGTACAAAGCATTTTAGATGTTTCCCAGGAAGAAAATGAAGATGTGGTAAGAAAGGTAATAGTTTGAGATAATGTGGTAAAAAAGGTAATAGAAGATGTGGTAAGAAAGGTAATAGAAAAATAAGGAGTGGTATTATAGATCCCAGGGGAGGAGAGAATTTAAAGAAAGAGGGATGCTCAGCCATGTCGAATGCCATCGTAAAGAAATCAAAGAGGATAAACATAAGCTCAAGGACATCACAATTAGGAAGCCATTAGCGGTTTGGTTATAGCTACTGAAAGAGTTGATAAGCGTGAATGGCAGCTTATAGCTGGTTGAAGAGTAGACACTTTTTCAATTAGTTTAGATAGGGAAAGTAAGAGGGAGAAAATGGTAGATAAAAAGGAATGGAGGCTGGGCATGGTGGCTCATGCTTGTAATCCCAGCTCTGTGGGATGCCGAGGTGGGTGGATCACAAGGTCAGGAGTTCAAGACCAGCCTGACCAATATGGTGAAACCCCATCTCTACTGAAAATACAAAAATTAGCTGGGTATGGTGGCATGCGCCTGTAGTCTCAGTTACTTGGAGGCTGAGGCAGGAGAATCGCTTGAACCCAGGAGACGGAGGTTGCAGTGAGCCAAGATTGTGCCACTGCACTCCAGCCTGGGCAACAAAGGGAGACTCTGTCTAAAAAAAAAAAAAAAAAAAAAAAAAAATGGGTACGGAGTTGAGGGAGGGGTTTTTTGTTTTTTTGTTTTGTTTCGTTTTGAGATAGAGTCTTGCTCTGTCGCCAGGCTGGAGTGCGGTGGCGCGATCTCCACTCACTGCAACCTTCTCCTCCCGGGTTCAAGCGATTCTCCTGCCTCAACCTCCCTAGTAGCTCGGACTACAGGCATGCGCCACCACGCCCAGCTAATTTTTGTAATTTTAGTAGAGATGGGGTTTCACCATGTTGGCCAGGATAGTCTCGATCTCTTGACCTTGTGATCTGCCCGCTTCGGCCTCCTAAAGTGTTGGGATTACAGGTGTAAGCCACCGTGCCCAGCCTGATAATGGTAAATTTTATGACAAGAAATAAAACAGATCATACAATATACTAGTGTGTTCAAAAATTCAAAAATACCAAGGCAGGAGGATCACTTGAGACCAGGAGTTTGAGACCAGCTTGGGCAACACAGTGAGACCCTCATCTCTACAAGAAAAAAAAAAATTAGCTGGATGTAGTGGTAGTGCCTGTAGTCCTAGCTGTTCAAGAGGCTGAGGTGGGAGGATCTCTTGATCCCAGGAATTGGAGGCTGCAGTGAGCGATGATTGTGCCACTGCCCTCCAGCCTTGGTGACAGAGCAAGACCCTGTCTCTAAAAAACTAAATAAATAGACAACAATCTAAACAGGCTTGTACCAAACAAAAACAAAAACCCCAAAACAAAACATAATACAAAAAGACAGAACAAGTTCCAACTTTAAGAAACAGTGGAATAAAAAGTTACGTAGTGTCTAATCTGTATGTGTACATATATGTGGTTTTGGTTGTGGAAGCATAATATAGTTTGCACATACTTGGAAGAAAACTCCAAGACTATGCAGGCACCAAACAAGGTAGTTCAGGTCAATAAACCATTCCTCTTGTTATAATGACATAGTAACATAAGGCACTGAGGTATAAGTCTAATTTGAACAACCAGGTGGCCTGGAGTTCAGACTACCCGAAGGGAGTTTCTAGGTAGAGTCAAAAAGGAAACTAAAAGGTTTTTCTTTTGGTTTTATGTGACTATATAAACTCAGATGTGCTTGTTGAGAACTTTTGGGGTACTGCAGACCCCACTGACCTGATCTCTGGTTAGCTCAAATAAATTGGTGTCATTAGATTTGTGTTGCTCTGTCTCCTGTACTCAGAATTACTGTAAGAGGCCTGGCGCAGTGGCTCACACCTGTAATCTTAGCACTTTGGGAGGCTGAGGCAGGAAGCTTGCTTGAGTCCAGACTAGCCTGGGTAACATAGTGAGACCCCCGTCTCTATAAAAAAGAAAAAAAGTGAATTTATATTAAAAAAGAAATGGAAAAAAAAGAATTACTGCATGGACTAGATCTTAGGCTGGCAGATGAGGGTTCACCCTCTAGGTGATTGTGAGTTGAATTGTGATTGTAGTGGATTTATTAGCCTCCTGCTATAAATAAACCATTCTTCCCATTTCTTACAGTTGCCAAGGAGAGGTGAGTGCTCCTGAAGTAGGAAGGAGTATTTAATGAATACAATTTGCATTAAGTACAGAGAAGGAAAAGAGCAGTGTGTCATGAGAGGAAGTAAGATTGGGCTGGTCAGGGAGTGCATTTCTAAGGAAACAGTATTTCAGCTGAAACCTGAAGGCAGAGTAGAAGTTATCCAAGTGAAGAAAGAGTTTTAGGTAGGGTAAAGTGTGGTATGTTCCAGATACTAAAAGAAAGCCAGTGTGATTGCGGAGCTCAGAGAGCAAGGGGAGGCAAGTTGGGAACGTGGCTCTGGATAACTGGAAAGAGGGAGGCAGTGGCTAGGTCAAAGACCATGTACAGAGTGAACATTTTATCCTAAGTGCAGGGGGAATCCACTGGTGGGTTTTAACCAGGGAAGTGACATCTTCACATTAATGTTTTAAAAGGATCCTTTGGTGATTAATTGGAGATGGAGTATGGGGAGAAAAGAAGAATAGACCAGTTAAGAAGTTAGTATTAGGATTAGGTATTAGGCTTTGATTAAGATGATGGCTGAGCACAGTGGTTTACACCTGTAATCCCAGCACTTTGGGAGGCAGAGGCAGGAAGATCACTTGAGCCCAGGAGTTTGAGGTTGCAGTGAGCTATGTTCATACCACATCACTCCAGCATGGGTAACAGAGCAAGACCCTGTCTCAAAAAAATATATATTTAAAAAATAAGGCTGGGCGTGGTGGCTCATGCCTGTAATTCCAGCACTTTGGGAGGCCGAGGCGGGTGGATCACGAGGTCAGGAGATCAAGACCATCCTGGCTAACATGGTGAAACCCCGTCTCTACTAAAAATACAAAAAATTAGCCGGGTGTGGTAGCGGGCGCCTGTAGTCCCAGCTATTCGGGAGGCTGAGGCAGGAGAATGGTGTGAACCCAGGAGGCAGAGCTTGCAGTGAGTGGAGATCGTGCCACTGCACTCCAGCCTGGGCGACAGAGCGAGACTCCGTCTCAAAAAAAATAAATAAAAAAAAAATAAAATGGATTAGGATGATCAAAATAGAGAAAGAGAAAAGTGGATGGTTTTAAGGTATGTTTTGGAGGTAAAATTGTTAGAAGTTGGTAATGAATTAGATACTGGAAGGTTGGAGCAGGAGAAGGTATGTCAAGGATGATTGGTTTCTGTCTTGAACAGTTATGTGAAGGGAGATGGGAAAGAGCGGAGGAAGAAAAAATTTGTAATATAAGATGAAGCATTCAGGTTTGGGTACATTTAGGTTTGAGATCCTTGTGAGACATCCAAATAGAGATGTCAAAGAGCAAGGCGGCTTAGGAATCTCGAGCTCAGAACAGAGGCTGTAAGTAGACAGCTGTGTTCTGTCAGGTATGAAAATAGATTTCAAAGCCATGGGAATGAGTGAGCTTGCCTCAGGAGAAAGTGTATCATGGGGAGAGAAGGCCCATGATTGGGCTTTGGGACCCCTGACATTTAGAGATTGAAGAACGAAGAGAACCCAGCAAAGGAGACTGAGGGGGAAGCTTGCCAGTAAAATCAGGGGGAGGGGGACAGGAGAATGAGACATCACAGAACCCAGGAAACTAGTGTTTCAAGAATGAGTGGTCAAGTGAAATCCTCTTAACATGTGTCTGTGACATCAGTCTTCATGATCATAGAGCCACATCCGGGCATCAAACACAGTTTTCCAGAGCACATTATCTTCTCCTTTAGGTTACTTGAACTTTTAAAAAAGTACAATGTTCTTGTCAAAAATATTATTCCAAGCCATAAATTTCCAGTTCCATATCATTATAGTGATTTTTTCCTACTCATTTTCTTATGAGTACTCACTGCTTTCACAGCTAACAATTTGTATTATTATTGATCTGTATTAATATATATGACTCCTGGCCTCTCCTCCTACTCTTTTTTTCTAGTCTTGCTAGCTCACCTCTGTAAACATCCAAAACTACTATTGGCAACTGTCATTTCAGACTAACATATTAGTCCCAACCAGTACTTTGTTCTTCAAGATAAGGTAATTGAGGCTGGGCATGGTGGCTCACCCCTGTAATCCCAGCACTTTGGCAGGCTGAGGAGGGTGGATCACTTGAGCCCAGGAGTTCAAGACCAGCCTGGGCAACATGGGGAAACCCTGCCTCTGTCAATAAATACAAAAAATTTTCTGGGTGTGGTGGTGCATGCCTGTAGTCTCAGCTACTTGGGAGGCTGAAGTGGGAGGATCACTGGAACCTGGGAAGTGGAGGCTGCAGTGACCCGAGATTGCGCCACCGCACTTGAGCCTGGGCAACAGAGCGAGACTGTGTTTCAAAAAAAAAAAAAAAGTAATTGCGAAAGTGATCCTTATATGTGATATTTTGAAAAGACCCAAATGCACGTCAACTTTTCTGAGGGATGATTCTGGAGGGATGGGATTAGGAGCCATCCTTTATGATCAGGTATTTAAGGTAAAATTTGGCAGTGGGAGAGAGTGAACTTACTGGAGAAATATGTTGGTTGATAAATAAATAGTGAATATATAGCGATACCTATGTGTCTGTTATGTGATTTTTCTCTGTCAACTCAATTGCTTGAGTGTAGGCTCAGAAAAGGTGGAGAGGGTTCATTCTGGTTGGTGTTTTGCCACCTGGGTGGGAAGAACGACAGTGGGAAAGGGAGCTGAAGGTGTCTACAAGAGAATCCAAGTAAATGTCAAGTAATCAAACCAGAGTGGAACAGAGTGAAGAATGAAAGTTGCTTCCAGATGGAGAGGATGGTAGTGGGCAGTGGGTTGGAGAGCTAGATAAAATGAAAGTTGCTATAGGAGTCTTTGAGCAAGTGAGGTGGAAGACGGGGCATTTTTGTAGATAGGATGTTTGGATGAGTGGCTCAGAGGGTGTGCAGTTCCTGCAGATGACTGGGTGGGGCATGCAGGAGTGGGAGTGGGTTCCAGAGGTGACATGAAGAAAAAAGTCAAGGGACTGAAATAATGGGGTGCTGTATGAGGAGTTCCTGTGGATGTAGAGGTCATTTGGAATGAAGGCAGGAGGTGGAGAGAAGACTGAATCAGATACCAGCATCTCTACAAGGGAGATGAGAGGTGAGGATAGTCCCATGGCATAGACCTCAAGGGAGGAAGTTTTTATAAGAGTTGGAGAGTAGTAGCAATGGGGCAATGATAATGCCAGCCTGACTTTCTGTCCCAAGAGACATGGGGAGTGTGAGAGGAACTGACTGCACTTACAGGGTTGTAGGTGGGGGTGGTTTAGGTGGGGCAGTGTCATTAGTGGGTCTCCAGGCTTCAGAAAGGAGATAGAAGTTCAGATTTGAGGTTGAGGATATGTGGACTTTTGTTGCTCGAGTCAATGGACTTTCCAAGACCACAATGGAAGAGTTTTGGTGGGAGAGAGGAGAGGCTGAGGGACATGGGTCAGCTTAGGAGAGGTGGGGGTCTGGAAGGTAATGGATAAAAGGAAGGCTTGGCCTTTGAGCAGGGCCCAGAGTTAATAGTTGATGGAGAAGTGATAGGCTTAGACCTGTGTCTTTTGGAGAAGAGTGAACTCAGACACTGTTGGTCCTAAAGTTTGCAACTTGGTGATTTGGTGACAGGTAAATCAGTTGAGATTTGGATAAGAACTCTGGATGTTGTGCACAAAAGAGATGCAGGTTAGCCCTTCAAAAGAACTTTTCAGTAGTGTCATGCCAGCAGAGAACAAGGCACTATCTGGAAAGATGCCAGGCAACCTTTCAATTTAAGAACTGTCAATACAAGAAACATTCCTTTCAGCCTTGGGGCAGGGAGACATGGTAGCCTAGTACAGGAAAAAGATCAAGGCATGAGACTTGAGTTCTAAGTTCAGCTCTATCGCCAAGTTAGCTAATCCTCAGCAAGCCAGTTACCTCTTTGAGCCTTGGTTTCCCTCTTATAAGTCAGGGATCGGGCTGGTTGATCTCTAATGTCTCTCTGGCTATGTCATTCTGGGAGTTGGGAGGGTTATCCTGATTTTAGTTGGATTAAAGAAGGAAGAGCATATTTTTAAGTCTCTTATTTCATTTTTTTCCTCTCACAGGTCAATGTCTGGTCTGGGTCCAGTGTTCCTTCCCAAACTGTGGGAAATGGAGGCGGCTGTGTGGGAACATTGACCCCTCAGTTCTCCCAGATAATTGGTCCTGTGATCAGAACACAGGTAGAAAAGACTGGAAATGTTTTCATTCATGTTTTATTGTTCCTCCCTTTCTTTCTCTGCACTTATCCTTTAGATTAAATACTACGTAAATATAGTTAGCACTCAGTGTCCTTGTAGTGCTTGGGAGAGAGGAAGGATCTGCCTCTCATATGGAGATGAATCTGGGCAGAAAAGGCTGGAGGAAGATGCCCTGTAAAGTGATCTTGTTGGGGAGGGGCCTGGAATCTAAATACATGAGCATTGGTCTGCCCCTGTCAATCCTGATTAAAATATTGGTATTGGGTTGGTGGATAGGGAGGGATATAGGATATATCGGGGAAAACAGACGAGAGAGATCTGGTGCGCTTAGAATTCTAGGCTGTTTGGAACTAGTTGGAAGAGATGATGATGATCTTGTCCAGCCCAATTATTTTACAGATGAGAAAACAGAGTCTCAGAGAAATTATTCTTATGGTGCTCCATAGACAGGAGCACAGTCAGACACGCGGGCATGCAAGCAGGAGTGTGGAATCTCTTCCTGGAGTATGAGGAGGCACCATTCCTACTGCCTCCAGCTGCATTTCAGCTGGTTCCAGCTGCATTTCAGCTGGTTCCAGCTGCATTTCCTCCATGGGTCTTTATTCTTCCTCTGTGCTGATCTCCCAGGTGCCCCTTTGGTCCCACCTGCTGCATATACCAATTTCCTTCTTGTTCTCTCCCCAGCTCTCATCCAGCTCTTTCTCTTAAAGAGTCTCTTCCTGTCCCTTCATTCCTTCTCTCTTTCAGCAGATGTGCAGTATAATCGCTGTGATATTCCTGAGGAGACCTGGACAGGGCTTGAGAGTGATGTGGCCTATGCCTCCTACATCCCAGGATCCATCATCTGGGCCAAGCAATACGGTTACCCCTGGTAGGGCATTATGACACAGTCAGAGCATCCTTCACAAACTTGGGAGAGGTAGATTCAAGCAGGGGTGGAAGCAAATGGAAAACATCTGTAATTGAAATGGTTCTGGCCTTAGAAAGAGCATGGGGTGAGAGAAAAGATAAAGTACCAAGCCTGGAGGCTTTGAAAGAGTGTATTTTCTGGAGGTTTCAGCATGGAGGTGATAGCTCCCTGGAAAAAAGGGTCTGATAGTGCTACCCCAACTGGTAGAAAGAAGAGGGTGGATCTGAGGCATTTAAAAATATTGAGATTGGCCAGGCGCAGTGGCTCACACCTGTAATCCCAGCACTTTGGGAGGCCAAGGCGGGCAGATCACCTGAGACCACAAGTTTGAGACCAGCCTGGCCAACATGGTGAAATCCCATCCCTACTAAAAATAGAAAAATTAGCCAGACGTGGTGGCGCGTGCCTGTAGTCCCAGCTACTCAGGACGCTGAGGCAGAAGAATCACTTGAATCCGGGAGGCAGAGGTTGCAGTGAACCAAGATTGCACCACTGCACTCCAGTCTGGGCGACAGAGTGAGTCCCCATCTCAAAAATAAATAAAAATATTGAGATTGAGAGAGACAAAGTAAAGGGAACAAGGAAAAGTGGGATAGTTTCTTCTTTGGAGATGTCTCTAGTCGAAGATTTTGTTCTTAGGATTGTGGATGGCTCAGAAGGGTAAGATACCTTCACTAGGTATATTCTGAGCTCCTGTGTGCATCGATGGAAGTCACTTTCTCACGAGTCATTCAGTAGTGACCACTAGAGGGGGATGATGGAAGGGGAATCTATTTTTTGGATCCTTTTTTTGCAAAGCATACTGCTGGCTGAGCGCAGTGACTCACGCTTGTAATCCCAGCACTTTGGGAGGTTGAGGTAGGAGGATTGCTTGAACCCAGGAGTTTGAGATCAGTCCTGGCTATATAGTGAGACCCCATCTCTGCAAAAAATAAAATAAACAGCTGGGTGTGGTGGCATGTGCCTGTAGTCCCAGCTCCTCAGGAGGCTGAGGTGGGAGGATCACTTGCGCCTGACAGATCAAAGCTGCAGTGAGCCATGGTTGTAACACTGCACTCCAGCCTGGGTGACAGAGTGAGACCTTGTCTCAGAAAAAAAATCATACTGCTCTTCTCTGTGCATGTACATTGATGAGGTTGTGTTCTGTTCATCTAACCCCTTCTCTTCTGTCCCCTACACCCAACTATCTTCTCCAGGTGGCCAGGCATGATAGAATCTGATCCTGACTTAGGGGAATATTTTCTTTTTACTTCCCATCTTGATTCCCTGCCGGTGAGTTTCCTGGTTCAGGGTAAGAAGGAGCTCAGGCCAAAGTAATGAACAAATCCATCCTCACAGACGTACAGATAAGAGACATGGACATAGCCAGCAGACACAAGTGAAAACAGACACTTAACTAGGATGACAAACACAGAGATAAGTGCTCACACATATAATAGAAACAAACTTGTATCTAATTAAATATTTATCCACTGTCAGGGCATTAGTGGTTTTGATAAATACGCTTTGGCTAGGATTCCTGAGGTTAGAATGGAAGAACAATTGCAACGAGGGTAGGGTAGATGAGTCAGGCTTTGAAAGGAGTATGTGAGGCCCAGCACCTCCTTCTGGGTGAATTCCCATTCTCCCGATCTGTTCTGGCTAGAGGAGAAAAGCAGGGAGCAGGACAGGAGTCCGTAACAGGATCATCTTTTATTTCAGTCTAAGTACCATGTGACGTTTTTTGGAGAAACAGTTTCTCGTGCATGGATCCCAGTCAACATGCTAAAGAACTTCCAGGAGCTGTCCCTGGAGCTATCAGTCATGGTGAGCACATCTTGGGGTTCTGTTGTGATACAGAGAAAACAAAATCTTCCTTTTCTTAAACCTCATTTTCTCCCAGGGTAAGCCATGTCGGGAGAAAGTTCTGTGTCTGACCAGGTGTGCCAAGGGTGAGGTAATTCATGAAGGACTCTTCTTGCTCCCAGGACTGCAGCAGGGCAATTTTTTTTTTCAGTCCCCTTCCCTGCCTACAGATTGGGGGCCATTCTGAAGATGAGGTTTTTTCTACAGTTTAGCCAAAGCAGGTGTGGCAGAAATGAGGGCACAGATTAACTCAGGATTTCTCAGTCTCAGCACTATTGGCATTTCGGGCGAGATAATTTTTGGTTGTGGAGGGCTGTCCTGTGCATCGTGGGATGTTTAGCAACATCCCCAGGCTCCAGCGGCATCTAACCAGCAGCAGCCCCCACCTCCACCCTGCCCATGGTTGTGACAACCAAAAAATTATCTCCAGCCATTGCCAGGTGCCTTCTGGGGGGCACAGTCTACCCGGTTGAGAACCATTGGGTTAGCACCATCATATTTCCTCCCTGTAGTCACTTTGGGTTTGACCAGCCTTGCAATTGAGCAGAGGCTCAATGGCTCAGGGGCCTTAGAAAATCAAGCAATGAGTATTAAATCAAACAGCTGGATCTAAAGGAACTTGTCAGAAGCTTCAAAGTGAAATCACCTGGGCTCCTATAATCCTGTTTTCAAATTTCCATGGGATTCACTTTGGAGAGGACACCAAAATGTTGGTTGAAAATATTGCTAGGGCCAGGTGTGCTGGCTCACACCTGTAATCCCAGCACTTTGGGAGGCCGAGGTGGGCAGATCGCCTGAGCTCAGGAGTTTGAGACCACCTGGCAACATGGTGAAACCCCGTCTCTACTAAAATACAAAAAATTTGCTGGGCATGGTGGTGTGTGCCTGTAGTCCCAGCAGGAGGCTGAGGCACAAGAATTGCTTGAACCAGGGAGGTGGAGGATGCAGTGAGCTGAGATTGCACCACTGCACTCCAGCCTGGGTGACAGAGTGAGACTGTCTCCAAACATATACATATACCTAGTTAGGAATTGGTAAGACGTCTATTAGACGGAAGGGGGGTGTTATGTCCGATCCCTAAATATTAAGAATAGGAGTATCGTATCAATACTAGGAACTGGAAATAAATACTGTAGTCGAAGAGAATGTCAGATGGGTAGCAGTATGCTGGGGTCACTTCTCTAATATTTATTAGTGACTCTAATCTTTTTCTTTTTTTTTTCTTTTTGAGATGGAGTCTCGCTCTGTCCCCCAGGCTGGAGTTCAGTAGTGTAATCTCGGCTCACTGCAACCTCTGCCTCCTGGGTTCAAGCAGTTCTCTGCCTCACCCTCCCGAGGAGCTGGGGTTACAGGCGCCCACCACCATGTCCAACTAATTTTTGTATTTTTATTAGAGACGGGGTTTCACCATCTTGGCCAGGCTGGTGTTGAACTCCTGACCTCGTGATCTACCTGACTCGGCCTCCCAAAGTGCTGGGATTACAGGTGTGAGCCACCGCACCTGGTCATGACTCTAATCTTTAAGTCAATATTTATCATTGGCTCTAATCTTCTATTTCAGAAAAAGCGCAGAAATGACTGCAGCCAGAAACTGGGGGTGGCCCTGATGATGGCTCAAGAGGCAGAACAGATCAGCATTCAGGTGGGAGGGTGTTCAGACCACACCCATTCCTTTCCCTACTCTTGGACAAGGGGGATTCTTTCTCAGTCCAGACAAAGATGGTTTGTGCTAGGGGCCATCCTACCTCTATATTTCACTTCAGGTTTCAGATATAAGTGCCCTAACCTCTCTTTTCTGTGGAGTCAGTTTTTATGCTCAAATTCTGTTGGTGGGGGTAGGATAGAGAGTAAAAAACAGTGAAAATTTCCCCTCCAAATTTCCCTTATTTGTTGAATTAGAAACAAACTGGAAATAGAGATTATAATTAGTTAATCTCCATAAAAAGTCAGATAAGCCTAATGTGTAATTTCAAGTGAAAATAGTATGGAAAATGAGGGCTGGGCAGGGGGTTCACGCCTGTAATCCTAGCACTTTGGGAGGCCAAGGCAGGTGTATCCATTGAGTCCAGGAGTTCAAGACCAGCCTAGGCAACACGGCAAAACCCCATCTCTGCAAAAAATACAAAATTAGCCAGGCATGGTGGTGCATGCCTGCAGTCCCACATACTTGGGAGGCTAAGGCAGGAGGATCATTTGAGCCAGGGATGGGGAGGTTGCAGTGAGTAAAGATTGTACCACTGCACTCCAGCCTGGGTGACAGAGCAAGACCCTGTCTCAAAAATAATAATAATGATAATTTTGGTATGGAAAATGAATCAGAATTTCATCATAACTAAATTCCAGAAGACAGAAGGCAAAAGCTGCGCCTGAAAGGGTAGTGGATGATGCTTTTGTTTCTTGGTTCCCTTAGGAACGGGTTAACTTGTTTGGTTTCTGGAGCCGATTCAACGGATCTAACAGTAATGGGGAAAGAAAAGGTAGGATAAATGGAGGTTGAGGACTGGAGAAGGATGGGAGGGATTCCTTCATGAGGGCAGCAACCCATGTTTTTCTTTATTTTATATTCTCTATCATCAGGCTAATTCTGGATTCTTTAATAGGAGGCTCTTGTGAATGTCATTGACCCAGTATCTAGGATGGATGGGCAGATGAGTGGAGAGAGGAATGGGAGAAACAGAATGGGGAGGGAGGGTGTATTGAATAGTGATGGACTTTGAAAAGGGTGGAAATCTGGGATCACATTTTATGGAGAAAATACCACTTGTACACAAAAGGCACAGTTAGAAGACAGATTCTTTGTGATCAGCTTCATTAACTCACTATTTTATGGTATGAATGATTTAGCCTTTCCTTCCTTTTCCTGTTCTAGACTTACAGCTCTCTGGTTTGAACAGCCCAGGATCCTGCTTAGAGAAAAAGGAGAAAGAGGAAGAGTTGGAAAAGGAGGAAGGAGAGAAAACAGTAAGATTAGCTTTAATTTCAGTTTTTATTTTTATAGAGATGGAGTTTCACCAGGTTGCCCAGGCTGGTCTCAAACTCCTGGACTTAGGCAATCCTCCCACCTCAGCCTTCCAAAGTGCTGGGATTACAGGCATGAGCCACCACACCTGGCCAACATTAGCTTTAAAAATTGTTTAGATGGCTGGGTGTGGTGGCTCACGCCTGTAATCCCAGCACTTTGGGAGGCCGAGGGAAGCGGATCACGAGGTCAGGAGATCGAGACCATCCTGGCTAACACAGTGAAACCCCATCTCTACTAAAAATACAAAAAATTATCCGGGCATGGTGGTGGGCACCTATAGTCCCAGCTACTCGGGAGGCTGAGGCAGGAGAATCGCTTGAACCTGGGAGGCAGAACTTGCAGTGAGGCAAGATCGCGCCACTGCACTCCAGCCTGGGCAACAGAGCGAAACTCCCTCTCAAAAAAAAAAAAAAAAATTGTTTAGACAAGGATCTTGGGGTTTCCTTTCAGGAGCTTTCTGTAAGGATCTCGTTAGAATGGACTTAGATTTACTAAGGAGCTATCCTGACCCTGCCTTGAGGGAGCCCCAGTTGTCAGATATTTGGGGGTTTCTAAGTCTCTTCTTTCCTCTTTATTCTCTAATTTCCCACATCTCTAGGAACTTCTTTCTTGAGTATAATCTCAGTTCCTACTGTATGTATTTGACTCCTCAGGGAGCAATTCAGAGAATACCAGTTGTTTCTTTCCACTCCTTTCTCCCCTACATGGACATGGAGGATTTTCATTCACTTGTTTTCTTAGCATCTCTTTTCCAGGTATAGGAAATATATATTTTCACTTTTTCTTCTAATTTTTAATTTAGCAATTTTTATCATACTTGTGGCCTAGCTTTATTTCCTTCTTTTATGCCTAAAGCCTTGCATTGATGAATACCAACAGACTGGGAAAGTGACCATACATTTTTCTCTGTGTTGCCAGAAATTTAAACAATATCAGGCTCACAGAAGCTACTTTGATTCCCCAAAGCCCACCTGTCATTCTGTAGCATCCTTCTCTATTAAAAACAGTTAGGGGCCTTGATTTATCATTTTTTTAAACTTTCTCTCCCATCCTCAGGACCCAATTTTGCCCATTCGTAAGCGAGTCAAAATACAGACCCAAAAAACCAAGCCAAGAGGTAAGCAGGCCAGCTGGAAATGGAGCACAACCCACAGTTAAGGCAGGGAAGTGGTAGAGAGGGAGTCTGCAGGTAGCTGGACCTCACTGCCCATCTCAGTGCCAGGACCTGAGAAAACAGGCAACACTCACCCATAGTGTCATGGGGAGCTGGAACCCCTTTGCTTCTCTGTACTGAATTATAAAATCTGAGGTGAAAGATGGAAGGTTTTAATTTCTTAGCCAAGAAGGATGGCTTTCTGGAGAAGGTAGACTCTGAGGAGAACTGTAAAGAGAAGAAGATCCAGGGGATAAAAGAAAAAAAGAGAATTGGGGGGAAAAGATGTTGAAAAAGAGCCAGAGGCCACCAGGAAAACTCACTAGATTGCAACTGAGCAGAAGATGTGGGGCAGGGCAGAAACTCAATGTGCAGTGTCCATCTGCCCTTGCCGAGTTGTCGTTTAGAGAGAAATAAACGCATTTCCCTCACGGCTAGGGCTTGGGGGTGATGCAGGCACAGCAGATGGCCGAGGCAGGACACTGCAGAGGAAGATAATGAAGAGATCTCTAGGCAGGAAATCCACAGCTCCTCCTGCACCCAGAATGGGAAGGAAAGAAGGCCAAGGGAATTCAGATTCTGACCAGCCAGGTAAGGCTCAAGGCCTGGGAAAAACTAAGGGGAATGAGGTGCCTGTCAGCATCTCCCCTCCCTGAATCATTTCTTAACCATTTTACAGCTTTTCATTACTTTACAGAATGAATGAAAATTAGAATGAAAGAGCGTCTCGGACTGCACCCAGCACACACTATAGAAACAGAATGATTCCTGATTTGATTTGGCCCAGGGGCAGGAGAATGGTAGAAGAGAAGTAACACTTAATCAGTATTGCCAAGGGCTGGCTAAAGAGATACTTCCATGCCTGCTCCTTTAAATTTTTTTCAATAGCTCTCTCACTGGATATTCCCATTTTAGATATTAGAAAACTGAGGCTCAAAGGATTTAAAAAGTGCTCAAGGCTGGTGACTAGCATAGGGCAGACGGCTTGACTCTCTTTCTGATCCCAAAGTCCATATTCTTTGTATTGAGAAAGGTCATCTTTTCCAGAGATTTCTTGGAAATAGAGATTTAGGAGTTTGACTTATAAAAGGTAAGGACAGGCTGACCTAATAGGACTCTTGGCTTTGTCACCTTCTCATTTAGGCCCTAAGAAAAAATTTAAAGCTCCCCAGAGCAAGGCCTTGGCAGCCAGCTTTTCAGAGGGAAAAGAAGTTAGAACAGTGCCAAAGAACCTGGGCCTATCAGCGTGTAAGGGGGCCTGCCCCTCATCTGCGAAAGAAGAGCCCAGACACCGGGAACCCCTGACCCAGGAGGCTGGAAGTGTCCCCCTTGAGGACGAAGCCTCCAGTGACCTGGACCTGGAGCAACTCATGGAAGATGTTGGGAGAGAGCTGGGGCAGAGCGGGGAGCTGCAGCACAGCAACAGTGATGGCGAGGACTTCCCCGTGGCGCTGTTTGGGAAGTAGCTGGTGCTCCTCTGCTCCCTCTTTTTCTCCCTTCTCTGGGGCGCAGGAGGGAGAAGTTGCTAAGTGCTGGGTCTGTTCATTGGCTATGAGGTTCAAATGTGTGTGGTGCAGTTTCTGTGTTAATAAAGCAGGTTACAGTCGACTGGGTTGGCTGGTCTCTAACTGCCCCCTGTTGGCTGCTCTCCCTCCTCCGTGTCACTGTGGCGCGTCACTGCTTCTAGCGGGAGCCTGCACAGTGCAGGCATCTGGGGAAGGCAGTGAGACCTGAGTCCTAGAGGACTTCAAGAAGGGCAGATCTGGGTTCAAATCCGGGCTCGGCTCCTCACTAGCTACCTCCATGGCCTGGGGAAAAGCATGTTCACCATCCTGGTTCTGCTCTTCATCTTACAGCGAGTGCGTTCTCTACCTTATAGGGTTGTGAATGATGTCAAATGTGATGCTCTCATTGTCACCATAGGGAAGACTGTGATCGGATTTGAGGACAGGCTTTGGGTTTGGGCTGGCTACCAAGGTTTGGGGGCTTATGTTCCCTGGCCCAAGGAAGTCACTAAAAAAAGTACTAGAGGAAGGGTCTTGGGTGTGAGTTCTCTGTTAGAATTCATTTTCAGTGGGAGAGACAGGAGTTGAAGGTGATGTCAGTTTTCTCCTTACATTCAGGTAAGTTTTGGGGGTACTTTTAGTTTTATGGGCCAGGGTTGGGAAGGTGAAGAGGGAGTTGGAGTAGATGGCTCTCTTTCTGTCAGTTCTCTGGCTGGCCTCTGAGTCATCTGTGTGGCCTTGGTTATTGCTGGAAGCTGTGGCCCTTTCTATTGGAAGCGTAGCGTACTCGTAAGAAGGTCATTGTGCAGTCTTATTTTTACTTGTTTCTCTCTGTACTTGAATGGATGCAGATTTTAAAAATAGTTTTGAAGACAATCTTTTTAAATTTGTTACTTTATTGTTAATATATATTTTTAACTAGAGATGGCATCTCGCTCCATTATCAAAGCTGGCCCTGAACTCCTGGGCTCACTTGATTCTGCCTCAGGCTTCAGAGTAGCTGGGATTACAGGTGTGCGCCACTGTACCTGGCCTCACCATTCAGTCTTGAGAGGGCTGTCCATTGGTTAGGCCTTTAAGACAGAGTACAGGGTCTCGTTCTGGGGGCTCTTGAGGGGACGGTGGCTGGGAGGTGCTCTGGGTGAGGTGGAGCTGGAGAGGGCAAGGGAAGCATAGACGATGCCGTCATCCTGGGCGAGAACCCAGAGAGAAAGGGTTAGACAGTGGAGACGGAGCTGTTCCCATCTTAGCGGCAAGCCTACAGTTTGACTCTCCTGCCCACACCACACTCCCCTTCTCCCTTCCACCCCACCTTCTCCAGGCTTCTCTTTAATTCCTTCAGGCCCTGGTCTGATTGCTTACCTTGGGATTTAGCTTGGGATCTGTATTTTGTCCTAAGAATAAAAAGCAAGGTGTGCCAAGGTCAGGTGGCGTGACAGCCAGGGGAGAGAGATGGGCAGGGGGCTCTAGGAGTGAGGTTATCTGCTAGGTCAGGGCCAGGGTCACGTGAGGGCAAGGGGCAAGGAATGGAAAGAAGAAAATACTGACAGGGGCACGGACCCAGGTAGGGGGTATTTGGGGAAACAGGAAGTGCCAGGGGTAGAAACTGGGGAAGGATGGTGGTAAGGACTCACCTTCATTCCTGATATTCTCATATGGCTCCTCTGTGTTTTGGAAGGGTTCCCTGTATGGGAACAAGAGGACAGGAAATATGTTAGAGGTTGGGCATTTTAAGACATGGGCTGGGTGGTGGCACCTGTAATCCCAGCACTTTGGGAGACTGAGGCAGGTGGCCATTGCTTGATCCCAGGAGTACAAGACCAGCCTGGACAACATAGCGAGACCCCATCTCTACAATAAATACAAAAACTAGCCAGACGTAGTGGTGTGTGCCTGTGGTCACAGCTACTCAGGAGGCTGAGGTGGGAGGATCACTTGAGCCCAGGAGTTCAAGGCTGTGAGCTATGATTGCGCCACTGCACTCCAGCCTGGGTGACAGAGCGATACCCTCTCTCAAAAATTAAAAAAAAAAAAAATTGAAGAAAGAGTTATGACACGTGTTAGGGGTTGGTTCTCTTTGGGGAGTGCTCTGCAACCTGTCCACCCTGCTCAGGATGGGTGTGATGGTTTTAGACTCGGAGGCTGCTTGGAAGAGGAATTAGGGGCAATCTGTGTGGCTTAGCAGAGGTCCCTCGGTGCTCAGTGAGTTGGGTTCTTCTAGAGAAGTTGCTCGTATGAGAGAGGAACACGGAGAATAAAAATAGGAAAAAGGTCAATCCTTGCTTTCTCTCTGCTGGCGCTGCCTTGGCTAAAACTGGGAGAAGCAAAACAATTGCGTGAATTTCAGGTCTTCTGATCAGGGAGGGGTTCAGGCTGGGTGAATGGATAGAGAAGGGTTGGGGACAGGAGAAGGGCAGCTGGCAAAAGCCAGTGCAGGAGAAAGGGTAGGGGTGAGGCTTTCTTCCAGCAGGAGACCTACGGCTATGGAAAGGAGGGGCCAGAGGAAAGGAAAGAGAGGTGGGAGGGTGGAGAGGAAGAGCCCAGAAAAAGGAAAAGTGAGGCCCTAGCCTGGAGAGGGGAGCCAGGCAGAGGCTGGTGAGTCCCTCCTGAGCAAACACAGGCGGGGAGAGGAGCTGGAGGCAGAGGAAGCCTGGAGTTCCCTGCACATTCAGCAGGGGAACAGGACAGATTGAACAGAGTAGGCAATATGGAAAAGCTGGAAGATCCAGGCTGAGAGGAAGCAGGTAAAGAGCAGGAAAAGCTTAATAACACCAGGAAAGGCAGGCAGAGGGCACAGATGGGCACTCCAGAAAAGAGATTCTTGAATGTTTGTGCTGGAACCTGGAGTCCACTAGTCTAGTATTTAGGGGACAGAAAGCCCAAGGTCAAGAGCCTGGCCCCTAGAGGACAAAGGAGAACAAGGATGGGTAAGTTGGGGATGCAACAATGGCCGTGGCAGGCTGGGTTTGTGGGGTTCTTAGCAGCACACTCCCTGTTTCCCAAATCAGCCCACTGCCTGCACATGCACCCCCCAACCCACCCTGGGGAGGCCCAGCACTCACCTGGCTGGGGTTGTGGCTTTAGTCCGCTGCTGACCTGTAGGGGGACCAACAGTGAGTCAGGGTGGCATCCGGGTGATGGCAGTCTCCATCCCACCTTCTCTGCTGCGCCCTAGGCTGAGGCCCTCCTTAGAGGGACCGGAGCAGCAGAGCTGCTCCACCCAAACCCATCAGGAAGGGCCTGGGACTCAGCCGGCACCCTGAGGTCTCCACCTGTCCTCCCTGTTGTCTTCCATGTCACCTCCTGAGACCCCTTCACCCTGACCCCCTCCCTTGGTTTCTTTCTCTCTTGAGCTCTCTGCTCAGCCCCAACCTGGCTCCCTCCACCGCTGAGCCCTCGCCCAGTCACTTCTCCCCTCCCCTCCCCTTCCCTTGACATTGGCACCCCGCCCCCATTCCCTCCAGGTCCTCAGGGAGACCGTGCCTGTGCTTTCCTTCTGGGTGGCGGCTATGTCTGCCCTCCAGCCTTGGGAGCGTCGTGCTTGGGACTCATGTTTGTGGCTGTTCAAATTCTGTTGCCACCACTAGGCTTCCCCTCCCCTCTGGCTGGTCCCACCCTGAATCCTCTGCTGCCTCTCCCATTGTGTCCTGCCCCTCCCATCCCCGTGGCATCCTTGCAGTGTTTCCCAAGCAGTGGGCTCCTGGTCCACAGACATCCCCTCCACCATCTAGCCTCCTCCCAGGAGGGCTCCATGTCCACAGAGACACCCTCTGAACCCAGGCCTTGAGGTACCCCTCAACTCCAGGGACCTCCCCTTCCACTTCTACAGGACTTTTTTTTTTTTTTTTAATGTTTAGACTGAGAACTCTGAAATATTAATTGCTAGTATCATTTCCATGCTGCAGCTTTCTTTCCAGCACTCTTCTGTCCCTCTGTTTTTTCCCTCTCTTTAGGTTATGTTTTATTTTACTTACGGTAAAAAAAAAACAAAAAAACAAACAAAACACTAGAATTCACTTTTAACCACGTGTACAGTTCATTAGTGTTAAGTATATTCACACTGTTGTGAAACATCTCCAGGACCTTTTCATCTTGCAAAACTGAAACAGTTTTAAAGAACCCCTACTCCCTCCTCCCTGCGGTTTCTGACAGCCACCATTCTACTTTCTGTTCCTATTAATTTAATATCTCTAGGCACCACCGAAAAGTGGAATCATACAATATTTGTCATTTTGTGACTGCCTTATTTCACCTAGCTTGATGTCTTCCAGTTTCGTTTATACTGTAGTATGTGTCAGAATTTCTTTTTTTCTTTATTTTTTGAGACAGAGTTTCGCTCTTGTCACCCAGGCTGGAGTGCAGTGGTGTGATCTAGGCTCACTGTAACCTCTGCCTCTCTGGTTCAAGCGATTCTCCTGCCTCAAGCTCCCAAGTAGCTGAGATTACAGACGCCCATCACCAGGCCTGGGTAATTTTGTATTTTTAGTAGAGACAGGGTTTCACCACGTTGGTCATGCTGGTCTCGAACTCCTGACCTCAGGTGATCCACCCACCTTGGCCTCCCAAAGTGCTGGGATTACAGGTGTGAGCCACTGCACCTGGCCCAGAATTTCTTTTAAACACTGAATAATATTCCATTATATGTATAAACCACATTTTGTTCATCCATTCATTCATTGATGGACATCTGGGTTGCTTCCACCTCTTGGCCATTGAAAATAGTGTTGCTATCAACATGGGTGTATCAATATCTCTTCAAGACCTTTCTTTTCAGTTCTGTTTGGTATGTACCCAAAAGTGGGATTGCTGGATCGTATGGTAGCTTTATTTATTTATTTATTTATTTATTTTGAGATGAAGTCTCGCTCTGTCATCCAGGCTGGAGTGCAGTGGCACAATCTCAGCTCACTGCAACCTCTGCCTCCCGGGTTCAAGTGATTCTCCTGCCTCAGCCTCCTGAGTAGCTGGGATTACAGGTGCCCGCCACCACACCCAGCTAATTTTGTATTTTTAGTGGAAATGGTGTTTCACCATGTTGGCCAAGCTGGTCTCGAACTCCTGGCCTCAGGTGATCTGCCACCTCAGCCTCCCAAAGTGCTGGAATTTGAGGTGTGAGCCACCACTCCTGGCCTTTATTTTTAAATTTTTGAGGAAAGGCCATGCTTTTTTTCTGTATCATTTGCACTATTTTATAGCCCCCATCAACAGTGCGCAAGGGCCCCAATTTCTTCACATTCTTCCCAACACTTGTCATTTACACACTTTTTAAATAGTAGCTGTCCTTCTGGGTATAAGGAGATAGCTCTCTGTAGTTCTGATTTGCATTTCTCTGATGATTAGTTGGCCATTTTCATCTGCTTGTTGGTGATTTGTATACTGTCTTAGTCTATTTTGTGCTGCTAATGTATATAAGAATATCTGAGCCTGTATAATTTATAAAAAAACAAATTTGTTTCTTCTGTTGGACAAGAGGTTGCTGAAAAGTAAAACAAAGCAAAGCAAAGCAAAAATTATTTCTCACAGTTCTGGAGGCTGGGAAATCCAAGATCAAGGTGCCAGCATCTTGCTTTTTGCTGTGTCTTTCAGAGGGGAGGATTACTGTGTCCTCACATGGCAGAAGATTAGAAGACAGTGAACCCACTCCTGAAATCCCTTTTTATAATGGCATTAATCCGTTTGGCAGAGCCGTCATGACCTAAGCACCTCCCAAAACACACTACCTCCCAGTTGTCACACTGGGGACTAAGTTTCCAATACATGATTTGAGGAGACACATTTCAGACCATAGCATATATCATCTCTGGAGAAATGTCTGTTAAAATCCACTGCCCACTTTTAAATTGGGTTGATTTTTTTGTTGTTGAATTATAGGAATTTTTATATATTTCAGATTTTCACTCCTTATCAGATATATAATTTACAAATATTTTCCCCATTCTATAGGTTGCCTTTTGATTCTATTGATTGTGTCCTGTAATGAAAAAACATGTTTAAGTTTAATGTTGTCCTATTTGTCTATTTTTTCTTTTGTGGCTTGTGCTTTTGGTATCACAGGCAAGAAATTATTGCCAAACCCAGTGTCATGAGGCTTTTTCCCTATGGTTTGGGGTCTTACATTTAGGTCTTTAATCCATTTGGAGTTAAATTTTGTATATGGTATAAGATAAGGATCCAACTACATTCTTTGGTTTGGATATTCAGTTTTCCCAATGCCATTTGTTGAAGAGATTGTCCTTTGCCCATTAAGTGCTCATGGCACCCTTGTCAAGTCTTTTGACCATATGCGCAAGGGTTTATTTCTAGACTCTGTATTCTATTCCGTTGGTATATTAATCTATTTTTTTTCAATTCAGCTCCTTTTTTTTTTTTTTTTTTTTTTTTGAGATAGAATCTCACTCTGTCACCCAGGCTGGAGTGCAGTAGCACAATCTCGGCTCACTGCAACCTCCGCCTCCCAGGTTTGAGTGATTCTTGTGCCTGGCCCATGGTGTATAATTCTTTTGCCGTGCTGTTGAATTTGGTTTGCTGGTATTTTGTTGATGTTTACATCAATATTTATCAGAGTTATTGGTCTGTAGTTTGTTTTGTTTCTGTTTTTGTTTTTCTTGTAGTGTCTTTGTTTGGCTTTGGTATCATGGTAATGCTGACCTCACAGAATAAGCTTGGAAGCATTCCAGCTGTCTTTTGTCATTATGCCACTGTACCTGCTCTTAGACTTCATTGAACTCTTATCCCGTGATAATCTACTTTTCTACAGATTATTCAGACTCCCTGCTGACCCCTCTGCTCTTCATTCCTGCCTTCTCACTAGCTCCTTGACCTGTGATCTCCTGTCTTTCTGCCACACTTAGCTGGCAAGTCTCTAATCCTGGGGGTGTCTTATGGCAGAAATGGTATTTGATTACCCAATATCTATTCAATTATTCTTAGTTACAGAAAATTGATTGTATTTGGAGTGGGAGGGTTCCCCCTACAGATAGCTGTGGGATATGTGACCAAATTCTAGCCAATAAGATATAAACTGGGTCGGAGGGGCGGGGATCGGCTGTGTGGAGAGGGCCGGGGCTCTCACACGTGAAGAAGTTGTTGTTAGGTCTTTCAGAAAGACTCTTTAAAAGGGAACAGAGAGTTGAGGCATAGTATTTTTTTTTTCCTTTCTTCCTTCCTCCTATTTTTTGCCAGGAACCCAGAAATAGTGGCTGGAATCCTTGCAGCCGTCTTGGGCTATGAGGCAACCTTTGGGACAGAAGCCAGCATCAGGGCTGGTGAATCAGAAAGGTAGGAACCTGAGTGTCTAAGAACAGTGATGTGCTGTCTGCTTCCAGATCTGTTTACAAGAGGAAAAAAATAACCCAACTCTGTCTTGTTTAAGCTACTTTTACTTCTGGTCCCTGGTGGTAGCAACTGACAACAATTCCTGACCAACACAAATCACTAAGGTCTCAAAATCTGAATGGTTGACTACTGCTGGGGAAAAATGCAGCCATGCACAACACTGCTATCATAGATTTACAGTTTCGTATCTGAGCTGAATCCTCAAACTCCACTTCCCATTTCCTCAGTGACTATGTCAAACTTTCTCTTCAATTCCCTGACCCTCTTATTCATTCTCAGGAGAAAAGTGCTGTGGTTTTTGTTCTGCAGAATTAAAAAAAAAATCATAAGTGGTTGATTTTAATTTTTTTTTTTTTGTTTGAGACAGAGTCTCGCTCTATCACCCAGGCTGGAGTGCAGTGGTGTGATCTCAGCTCACTGCAGCCTTCACTTCCTAGGTTCAAGCGATTCTCATGCCTCAGCCCCCCAAGTAGCTGGGATTACAGGGGCGCATCACCATGCACAGCTAATTTTTATATTTCTAGTAGAGACGGGGTTTCACCATGTTGACCAGGCTGGTCTTGAACTCCTGACCTCAAGTGATTTGCCCACCTCGGCCTCCCAAAGTGGTAGGATTACAGGCATGAGCCACTGCACCTGGCCAGATTTTAATATTTTAATCCATGGCTTTGGGGCTTGGTCATACTGAGGAAGACTGTCTCTACTGCTTATGAAATAATCTCACATTTTCTTCTGGTACTAGGGTTATTTTTTTTCTCATTTAAATCTTTGATCCCTGTGGAATTTATTTTGGTACAAATTATGAGGTAAGGAGATAATGTTATTTTTTCTCAGATGGCTACTGAATAGTTCCAGCACCATTCATGGAATTACTCATCTTTCCTCATTGATTAGAAACATTTTAACCAACTAAATTCCCACATATATTTGGGTCTCTTTTCATTCTGTTATACCTAGGTTTTCCTCTTTTCTTCCATTGCTTTATCTGTGTATGAATATGCCAATATTGTACTGTTTTGTCTTTTAAATGTATTCATACGATGGTGCTCCCATGAGAGCCAGTGTTCCCTGGTTTAATGCCCACTGTTTAGTCATTCTAACTGCTGATGCTCCTGTGGCACACCCTCTGCAAGATCTAAACACAGTACATTTAATCATCAGGACAACCCCACGTAGGTACTATCTTCACTCCCTTTGCCCATGAGGAAGGTGAGGTGCACAGCCTTTGTACCAACAAGGCTGTTTCCCTGGCGAAGGTGTGAGGCCAGGATCTGACTGCAGGCAGCCCCAACCCCATGCTCCTCCCCTCTGTGCTTTCATAGCTGATAGGGCAAATCTCCTTGCACTCTGTCACCCAGGCTGGAGTGCAGTGGTACTCTCTCAGTTCATTGCAACCTCTGCCTCCCAAGCTCAAGCAATTCTTCCACCTCAGCCTCTCCAGTAGTTGGAACTACAGGTGCGTACCACCACACTTGGCTAAGTTTTGTATTTTTAGTAGAGACAGGGTTTCACCACATTGGCCAGGTTGGTCTCACACTCCTGGGCTCAACTGATCTGCCCAGCCTGGCCTCCCAAAGTGCTGGGATTACAGGCGTGAGCGGGAGCCATCATGCCTAGCCCATTGCAAACATTCTTGATGGTAACTTCAGATCAGGTTTGGAGGATGTTGGGGTGGAACTCATTAATGCCTCAGGCCTTGTCCTCTCTTTTGAACTGTAAATGTGTACTCTGAGTTTCCAATGGACAACTCTGCTGAGATGCCACACATGGATCTCCAGTGTAACAGATCCCAAATTAAATGAGGCATCGTTCCCCTCCAAGCATGATCTCCTCTCTTCCCCATTGTACTTGGTGATTTCATTACAGCCTCATCCACTCAAGTGGAAACAGGGGCTTATTCCTGCTCCCTCGCCCCTACATCAATCTAACAATCAACTTATTTATTTATTTATTGAGATAAGGTTTTGCTCTGTCAGCCAGGCTGCAGTGTAGTGGCACAATCATGGCTCACTGCAGCCTCGACCTCCCAGGCTCAAGCAGTCTTCTCACTTCAGCCTCTGGAGTAGCTGGGACCACAGGCGCACGCCACCACACCCAGCTA
This sequence comes from Homo sapiens, assembly GCF_000001405.40. Lineage (NCBI taxonomy): Eukaryota > Metazoa > Chordata > Mammalia > Primates > Hominidae > Homo > Homo sapiens. Next base: position 100,391,538 of record NC_000007.14, on the reverse strand, counting down.
ATTTTTGTATTTTCTGTAGATACGGGGTTTTGCAAAGTTGCCCAGGCTGGTCTTGAACTCCTTGGCTCAAGAGATTCTCCTGCCTTGGCCTCCCAAAGTGTTGAGATTACAGGCATGAGCCACCCTGCCCAACCAACCAAGTGTCATTTATAAAAAATTTTTTTTAAATTATTTTTATATTTAGTTGGAGATAGTTTGCTCCGTCTCCCAGGCTGGAGTGCAGTGGTGAAATCACAGCTCATTGTAACCTTAAACTCCTGGGCTCAAGCAATCCTCACATCTCAGCCTCCCAGTAGCTGGTACCACAGGCACAGGCTACCATGCCCAGCTAATAATAATAATAATAATAATAATTATTATTATTATTATTATTGTTATTATTATTTTGTAGAGACAGGGTCTCCCTGTGTTGCCCAGGTTGGTATCAAACTCCTGGGCTCAAGAAATCCTCTTGCCTCAGCCTCCCAGAGTGCTGGGATTACAGGCGTGAGCCACCTCAACGCACCTCACCTCTTTGGTTTTATTACTTAATCTTTTCCAGGATCTGGCCCTTTTCCTCTTTCCACCTCACCCCTGCACTGCACTGACCCAGCCTGGCCCACCTCTGGCCACTCCTCCATAGACTGAGGTCTCTCACGGTAGCTGAGGTCACCCTTTACTGCTTCATGCTGCCTCTGGGATCAGAGGCTCTTGGGTGTGATTTCCAAGGTCCTCTCCTTTCCTGCCTCCTCCACCAGCACTGAGCTTCCTGCAGCTCCTGGAATGGTTTCCTCCACCCACAAGGAAAGTGAGTGACCTCTACACCACCCTCACCACTTGCCAGGCTAATTCTTTTTCTTCTTTGAGACTTTTGCATATATCACCTCTGGGAAGTCCTCTCTGATTACCTCTCCTTCTTCCCACCCTTATTAAGTGCTACCATAGTTCTTTCTCAATGAAGCAATTAGTCCTTGAGGCAACTGAAAACCCCACACCCCTAGTTCCCTGAGAGCAGAGTCTATGGTTTATGCTTTATCTACTTTGCTTCTGCAGTTTCAAGCCAGGCCGTGGCAGGTGGGCAGTTGGCCAGTGCCTGCTGAGCTCAGCTTACTTCTGGTCCCTTCTGCTCTCTCTCTCCTTTTCCCAGGGCAGACCCTCCCCTCTCCTCCCCAGGAACCTTCAGGGGAGGTAGATGAGTGATGACTGAGAGAGAAGAACTAGGGGGGGATCGGCTGTGTGAAAAGGGCTGTGGGCTCTCACATGTGACCCTGCCCCGCCCCACTGCAGGAGCCTCACAAATGCAGACACCTCAGCATAGGCCACGAAGTCGGCCTCGGTGGGCTTGAGGGGAGCCAGCAGGGTCTGCATATTTCAGGAGCCCCATAGCTGCAGGTGGGCTTTGAGAAACCCCCAGATGGGAGGCTTGGGGAGAGGGCGGGTCCTGGGCACTTACCTTTCCTTCTCCTCCACCTGAGGAGGCAGATCAGTCCCAAAATCATGATTCCGAGCACAGTGACAGCCACTGCCACCCCCACAGCAGTCTCCAGACTTATGTGCCAAGAGTCTGAGCGTCGTTTGCCCTGTGTGACCCTGAGGCCGGTTGTGGTGGTTGTGCTACTGAGCCTCCAGGTGGTAGTCATGCTGCTGGGCCTCTGGGTGGTGGTCGTGACAGCTGGGGAGAGATGAGGAATGAGCAGACCCTCCCCTGGGGGCACAGGGTGTCTGGGTGAAAGGCGTGGTGTGCTGCTTTCTAGGTTGGGGGACATTAGTGGTGAGGGAGCTCCTCTCTGAAGCCCACACAGGGAGCGGGGAACAGGGTGAAATGTTAACAGCTTTCAATGCAGACGACTCAGTTCATTTTATATTATTTTTCCTTTCCTTCTTTTCCTTTCCTTTCCTTTCCTTTCCTTCCTCTCTCCCTCCCTCCCTCCTTCCTTCTTTCCTTCATTCCTTTCTTCCTTCCTTCCATTTCTTCCTTCCTTTAATTTTATTTCTTCCTCCTCAAATTCAGCTTAACAGGCAACTCAGTTTAAATCCGATTCTATACCAGTTATCAGCAGGGTGACCTCAGAACCTCATCTCCTCACTCACAAATAGGGATAACTAAATCACAGGATCAAAAAAAGTCTATTGTTGCCAATACAGGTAACATAAAATATGTCATTTTAACCATTTCTACATGCACCGTTCAGTGGCATCAAGCACATTCACAGTGCTGTGCAACCATCACACCATCCAACTCCAGAACCCTTGCATCTTCCTCAATGGAAACATTTTTTTTAAGTTAAAAATTTATTGACATTCTGATTGTGAAAAACTCTAATATTACTTTTAATTTATAATAGGAGTTACTTCCCAAAAATGTTAATCACAGATGAATTGAAAGAGTCTTTGGGATTTCACCCATTTCACAGCCCCACGTCTTAACGGAGTGCTTTTTTATTTATTTCAAGATATAGAAATCTCTACTGAAGAGGAAAAGGATACTGGAGATCTAAAAGATAGCTCTCTCTTGAAAACAAAAAGGAAACATAAGAAAAAACATAAAGAGAGACATAAAATGGGAGAAGAAATTATACCATTAAGAGTACTATCAAAGTAAGTCTGTGGTTTAAATTCTGTCATTGGCTTAACAATCCACCTCAATGGAAACATTTCACGTGTTAAACAACTCCTCATTCCTGTGTCCCCACCCTTCTACCCCTCTACTTTCTGTCTCCATGAGTTTGACTAAATACTTCATATTAGCTGAATCATACAGTGTGTTTTTACAGGATTGTCTTTTTTTTTTTTTTTTTTTTTTTTTTTTTGAGACGGAGGCTCGCTCTGTCACCCAGGCTGGATGGAGTGCAGTGGTGCAGCCTCGGCTCACTGCAACCTCCGCCTCCCAAGTTCAAGTGATTCTCCTACCTCAGCCTCCCGAGTAGCTAGGATCACAGGCACATGCCACCATGCCCAGCTAATTTTTGTATTTTTTTTTTCTTTTTTTAGTAGAAACGGGGTTTCACCATGTTGGCCAGGCTGGTCTCCAACTCCTGACTTCAGGTGATCTGCCCGCCTCAGCTTCCTAAAGTGTTGGGATTATAGGTGTGAGCCACTGTGCCAAGCCAGGATTGTCTTAATAAGTGAGAACACATCTGTAAAAAACCTACTGTATATTGAAAATATGTTTTTAAGGTCACATTAATATATATTGACCTTCACATCCTACAAACAAGTTACACCTTCTTTATAGATGTTTCACGCACCCTTAAAAAATTGACATAGTACTCAGCCACAGGACAAAAAAATCAGGCTCCTTAATGTCTTCAAGTTAGTATGAACTAAAATCTTCATCCACTCTTAAGAGAAAGTAATAAAAGTGTAAATGCTATGTCTTGATTGGGAATTTTAAAATGTTTTAATTACTTAAAGGAAAACATGTATAATAACATACTGTTTAGAAAATAAAAACTAGAGTAATACATATTTTAAAAAAGAACCCTGGAGTATGACTAAAGCAACACTCTAAGCTAAATTCATTGTATGAAATGGATTTATTACTTAAAATGGGAAGAAATTTTTAAAACAAATAAAATATTCAGTTTCCAAAGAAAAAACCCCAAACAGGAGGAGCCAGCTGTAAAGAAACTCAGAGGAAGAAAGTAATGAAAAGTTACGTAGGAATAAATTAGGGAACAGATAGCCACAGGCAAAATAAATGCAGAAACTGGTTATTTAAAGGAGCAACAAGAAGAAGATAGACAAGACTAGCAAACCTAATGACAACAAAAGCCAGCTGCAGTCACGAGTGGGTATATGCTCAATTATATGTTGTTAAATGTTAAAATATCTGTGAAATGGGTGTCTTTTGGGTTTTTTGGACACCGTCTTGCTCTGTTGCCCAAGCTGGGGTGCGCAATCGTACCTCACTGCAGCCTCCACCTCCTGGGCTCAAGTGATCCTCCCACCTCAACCTCCTGATTAGCTGGGACTACAAGCATGAACCTCTGAGCCAGGCCTGGGTGATATTTTTAAAAATTGATTTAAGAACTAGTATACCTTGGGGCCAGGCACAGTGGCTCATGCCTGTAATCCCAACACTTTGAGAAGCTGAGGTGAGCAGATCACCTGAGGTCAGGAGTTTGAGAGCAGCCTGGCCAACATGGTGAAAGCCCATCTCTACTAAAAATACAAAAATTAGCTGGGTGTGGTGGCGGGTGCCTGTAATCCCAGCTACTTGGGAGGCTGAGGCAGGATAATCACTTGAACCTGGGAGGCGGAGGTTGCAGTGAGCCAAGATCATGCTACTGTACCCCAGCCTGGGTGACAGAGCAAGATTCTGTCTCAAACGAAGAAGTAGTATATACCTTAACTCATTTATGCCTAGTGTTCTATTATTAGAACGCTAAGTTTGTGGGAGTTATTTATATCCTACTGCTCAAGGTCATCGCCAAGTTCTGATCTTTCACACAAAAAATTTGCAGCCTCTGGCGTAAATGAGTTAACTGATCATTAGACAGAGAAGAAATGAGAATGCTATGCAAGAACTACCTTTCATAAGGTCTCCATGCTTAGGAAGTTTTAAAAAGAAATTCTTGTAAAAATTTAAGGAACATAGAATTCTCACATAGAAGTTTCCAGAACATAAAGATGGAAAACTATGCAATTTGAATCCATTTCATAAAATGATTCCATAATCCTAATGCTAATATCCATTCAAAAGTTTTTTGGTCGTTTTTTTTTTTTTAAAGCTGGGCACTGTGGCTCATGCCTGTAATCTCAGCACTTTTGGAGGCCGAGGTGGGCAGATCACTTGAGCCCAGGAGTTTTGAGACCAGCCTGGGCAGCACAGTGAGACCCCCGCTCCCCCTGGTCCCTATGATAAATACAAAAATTAGCTGGGTGTGGTGGCACATGCCTATAGTCCCAGCTACTCAGGAGCCTCAGGAGGAGGATCGCTTGAGCCCAGGAGGTTGAGGCTGCAGTGATCTATGATTGTGCCACTGCACTCCAGTCTGGGCAACAGAGAGAGACCCTGTCTCAAAACCAAAATTTTTGTGTTTTGTTTTTTTTTTTGACATAGTGTCACTCTGTCAACAACAACAAAGTGCAGTGGTACAATCTCGGCTCACTGCAACCTCCAACTCCCTGCTTCAAGGGATTCTCGTGTCTCAGCCTCCCAAATAGTTGGGATTGCAGGTGCATGCCACCACACCTGGCTAATTTCTGGGACAGGGATTAAATAAATTATGATACATCACTACCATGGGATGCATGCGGCCATTTAAAAAGGCATTGCTGATTCAGAGCACAATGACTAGGAGTTAGCCCTGCTCTGCGAAGAGCAGCTAAAAAATTTTTTTAAATGGCCAGACGCAGTGGCTTGTGCCTGTAATCCCAGCACTTTGGGAGGCCAAGGCAGGTGGATCATCTGAGGTCAGGAATCAGACCAGCCTGGCCAACTTGGTGAAACTACAAAAATTAGGTGGGCATGGTGACACGTGCTTGTAATCCCAGCTACTGGGGAGGCTGAGGCAGGAGAATCACTTGAACCCAGGAGGCAGAGATTGCAGTGAGCTGAGATCGTGCCACCTCATCCAGCCTTGGTGACAAGATTGAAACTCCGTCTCAAAAAAAAAAAAAGACATAGGCCGGGTGTGGTGGCTCACGCCTGTAATCCCAGCACTGTGGGAGGCTGAGGTGGGTGGGTCACTTAAGGTCAGGAGTCTGAGACCAGCCTGACCAACATGGTGAAACCCTATCTCTACTAAAAATACAAAATTAGCCAGGTGCGGTGGCACATGGCTATAATCCCAGCTGCTTGGGAGGCTGAGGCAGGAGAATCGCATGAACCCGGGAGGCAGAGGTTGCAGTGAGCCAAGATCATGTCATTGCACTCCAGCCTGGGCAACAAGAGCAAAACTCCATCTCAAAATAAATAAATAAAAATAAAAAATAAAAAGACATAGATGTATATATACTGGAATGAAAGAGATTCAAGTTACTTTAAG